>NC_000005.10:173943142-174246172 GCF_000001405.40 Homo sapiens | reverse complement strand
AGAATGTGAGGACTCTTGAGCTCCCTGCTTTCCCCCGAAACACTGTAGTTCCCATTGTCACGTTCAATGGTGGCCCCCGTTGGCCCCAGGATGAATGGCCTGCCATAGACACATTTTGTTGGCACCGTCTTCATTTCAGCCAATCTGCAGGTGCTAGTACACAAGGGCTTACGCGGCTCACTGCCAGCATGTAGTTGTCAGCTGGAATAACTATATTCTACTTGCTAAATTGGATTTCTTTCAGAAAAGGCTAGGACGGCAGATAATAGCAGATTTTATGGCCATCCAATCAGAGGAAGCTGAATTTCATTTGAACAGGTGAGCCTGGATATCTTTCAGCTTTCTCTTTTAAAACCAGAGGGAAGCACTTACATGCTGAGGCCAATTCATCAGGCTTTAGGAGGCTTTTTTATTAGTCGCTTACAGAAAACATTTTCTCCTTACAGATGGTTACGTATTGCAACAAAAATTCCTGTCTAGGCTCCATGCCTAGCTCAGACGTGAAAAGCCATGGTGGGGGGCAGGGAGGTGGGGAAGTAAATGGCAGCATCTCATTCCAAGTCAGGAATGAGAGATCACAAAGATGCCAGGGTAAGTCAAAGGGGAAAGAGGAGACTTTCCAACACGTGGTGTTGGAGCAATTCAATATCCACAAGCAAAAATGAACGTCAACACTTAGCTCACACCATATGCAAAAATCAAAGCAAAATTGATCACAGACATAAATGTAAAGCCTAAAACTATAAAGCATCTAGAAGAGAATGGAAGAAAATTTCTGTTACCTTGGGTTAGGCAAAGATTTTTATAGATAAGCACATACAGCAAAAACTATAAAAATAATTGATAACTTGGACTTTATTAAAATTAAAAACTTCTGCTCTGCAGAAAACACTGTTAAGAAAATTTTAAAAGCAAGCTTCAGACTTGTAGAAAGTGCTTGTGGAAAAACATATCTGATAAAGGACTTGTATCCCAAACATATAAAGAACTCTTACCCCTCAATGATTAGAAAATCAACACCATTAAAAATGGACAAAAGATTTAAACAGACACTTAAGTAAAGATGCAGATGGCGAGTAAACACATGAAAAATGCTCAATAACATTAGCCATTAGGTAAATGCAATTTATTTATTTTATTTTTTTTTTGAGACAGAGTCTCGCTCTGTTGCCCAGGCTGGAGTTCAGTGGCGTGATCTCGGCTCACTGCAAGTTCCGCCTCCAGGGTTCACGCCATTCTCCTGCCTCAGCCTTCCAAGTAGCTGGGACTACAGGCACCCACCACCACGCCTGGCCAATTTTTTGTATTTTTGGTAGAGACGGGGTTTCACCATGTTAGCCAGGATGGTCTCCATCTCCTGACCTCGTGATTTGCCCGCCTCGGCCTCCCAAAGTGCTGGGATTACAGGCGTGAGCCACTGCGCCCGACCAGGTAAATGAAATTTAAAACCACAATGAGATACCTCTACATACCTATTAGAATGGCAAAAACAAACAAACAAACAAAAGTCATAAATAGCAAGTGCCATAGAGGATACAGAGCACTGGAGCTCTCATGCATTACTGGCAAGGATGCAAAATGGCTCTCCTGGCCACTTTGAAAGAACAGTTTGACAATTTCTTATATAGTTCAATATATACCCACCATATGACCCAGCAATCTTATTATAGATGTTCATCCAAAAGAAATGAAAATATATGTCCACAAAAAGACCTGCATGCAAATGTTTATGGCAGCTTTATTCATAATCACCCCAAATTATAAACAATCCAAATGTTCCTCAACTAAAAAAAGATAAATTGCTACTGCTATGGATTCAATGTCCCCTCCAAAACTCATGCTAAAATTTAATTGCCATTGTGACTGTATTAAGAGGTGATTAGGCCATGAGGGCTCATGAAAGGATTAATGTCATTAGGAAGGGAGTGAGTTTGTTATCTCGAGAGTGGATTGTGATAAAAGTGAGTTGGGCACTCTCTTGCTCTCTCACTTTTGCTGTCTCTTGCCCTTTCACCTTCCACTATGGATGATGCAGCATGAAGGCTGTCACCAGATGCAGGCACCATGCTCTTGGACTTTCCAGCCTCCAGAACCATGAGCTACATAAACTTCTTTTCTCTGTAAATTACCCAGCCTCTTGTATTATGTTGTGTCAACACAAAACAGACTAAAACAGCTGTGAAGCAATAAAAAGAAATGAACGACTAGTATATGCAATAACATGGATGATCTTTAAAAGCATGATGCCAGTTGAAAGCAGTCAGACACAAAAGGCCACATACTGTATGGTTTTATTTATATAATAACACTTGGAGCAAAACAACTCAAAAATATTTGGACAGAAATCAGGTGAATGGGCTGAGAGCAGGGGCAGAATGGGGAAGATTGTTGATTGCAAAAGGGCATGAGGGAACTTTCTAGAGTGAGGGAAATGTTCTACATCTGAATTGTGGTGGTGGTTATATGACTCTGAAACTTCGGCAAATATGTATTGAATTGCATACTTAAGAAGGATAAATTTTACGTTTTGTAAATTATCGATAAAGCTGACTTTGAACAAAAAGAGTGAAAGAATTCACATCCTACTCTTTCCTCCTCCCTGTAATAATATATGAAAGTGATAATAAAGGTGAAAATAACAATGCCAGCACAATTATTCCAATAGTAGAAATTTACACTGTAGCACATACATTTAATATCAAGCATCAGTCCTGTATTCCCCAGAGCACAAAGCTTGTAGAATTGGATAATCCTTCCCTTATCTTCTGTTTCTATCACAAAACAAAACAAACACGGAAAATACACTTTCATTTTCCAAAATGTTCTTTTTCTGAAAAAAAGATAATATTTTATTTCCTTACACTCTGTTTCAATCCACAAAGGAATAGAGGCAGCTTACAAGAGTGCTTTCAATAAAGTAGAAGCTATAAATAAAAAATCAGGGTCAAAGAAAATACATGTCACACAAAAAGGTCTAAAGGAAGAAGGAAGTTGGGACGTGGACGGGCAAATCATAAGCTTTTACTCACTCATTTAACCATGATTTTCCTGATGGACCATGGAGGGAAGGATGGAAAAAAAAGAATGAGCCAAAGAATTTACATAGCACATAACCAGAAACCCTCTAACTCCTCAGTGGGAGAAAATAATATCGATGCAAGACAAGCCACCAAAGGTATTTCAGTAGCTTCCCCCATTTCTAACTGGCGTTGTTCTAGGAGAGAATTAACTTGGCTTGAGAAACAGAAGCAAACATGGTCTCAGAGAGAAACTTTCCCATATCTGGTGCCCTCTGTGTCGCCATGGTGCTGTCCAGGTGGCCTCCTTCCCTAGGGCCAGATTGTCCTAGAAGATAAGCAATGCAGGCTGTCGAAAGGACCTCAGACAAGAAGGCAGACTGGGCTCTGGGCTTTGGTCATGACTCAGATACTGGCTGGTTGTTGCATGGCTTTGTGCAGGTTTCTTGACTTCCTGTGCCTCAGTGTCCTCATCTGTAAAATGGACATACCTAATGTAAGCATCTCATGGGACTATTGTGAGAATTCACTTACCAGATGTAAAAGTCATTTGTGAACTTGTGAGAAAGGAGAGAGTGAACCACAGAACAGAAGCGTCTCCCAGGAGGGAGCATGCCACAGGCTGCATCTGATCTTTCTAGGCTGCTGGGAAGACAAGAGACAGAGGATCAAGAGAGGGAGAATGTTCTTAACACCTGACCTGACCAATGTCCTCAACCATGACCAATCCACGGGAATGCCCCTCTTCCTTTTTTTTTTTTGAGAGTCCCACTCTGTCACCCAGGCTGGAGTGCAGTGGCCTAATATCGGCTCACTGCAACCTCTGCCTCCTGGGTTCAAGCGATTCTCCTGCCTCAGCCTCCCTCATGGCACTACAGCAAGTGCCATAGAGGATACAGAGCACTGGAGCTCTCATGCATTACTGGCAGGGATGCAAAATGGCTCTCCTGGCCAATTTGAAAGAACAGTTTGACAATTTCTTACATAGTTCAATAGACACCCACCATATGATCCAGCTGGGACTACAGGCATGCACCACCACACCCAGCTAATTTTTGTATTTTTAGTAGAGATGGAGTTTCACCATGTTGGCCAGGATGATTTCGATCTCTTGACCTCGTGATCCACCCACCTTGGCCTCCCAAAGTGCTGGGATTACAGGTGTGAGCCACCGTGCCCGGCCGGGAATGCTCCTCTTCTTGAGGTTGAAACACACTTTCTTTGATCCAGACCCATCTTTGAGACTAAGGGAAGGTCAGGGGGAGGGAGGAAGGGTGACCTCCTTTTAAACGAACAGGAGTCATGAACATTTTTCATGTGGTTATGGACTCTGCATAAACAAGCTTTTAAATGGCTCCGTTGAGATGAGATGACATTTCACTAAATCATTTCCCTATACCCTCTTCTCCCAGATCTTGCTGTTATAAAGCACACTGCAGCCAGGATCTTCATGCACTCAGCTTCCCTGACAGCCTCTGATTAGTGGATGGGTGACTAGACACACTGAAAGAACATGTTACTGGATAAAACAATAGCTCTTATTATGGGTTGAATTGTATACCCTTAAAATATTTCAAAGTGATCTTATTTGAAAATAAGATCACAGATGATCAAGTTATAGTGAGGTCTCTTTTTTTTTTTTTTTTTTTTGAGACAGGGTCTCACTGTCATCCAGGCTGGAGTGCAGTGGCGCAATCATGGCTCACTGCAGCCTCGATGTCCTGGACTCAAGTGATCCTCCCACCTCAGCCTCCTGAGTAGCTAGGACTACAGATACAGGCCACCACACCTGGCTAATTTCTTTGGATTTTTTTTAGAGACTCGCCATGTTGCCCAGGCTGGTCTAGAACTCCTGGGCTCAAGCTATCCATCTGCTTTGGCCTCCCAAAGTAGTAGGATTACAGGCATGAGCCACCTCACCTGGCCATGATGAGGTCACTAAGGTGGGCCCTAATCCAATGTGACTGTGTCCTCATAAAATGGAGAAATTTGGACACAGAGACAGATATGCAGAGAGGGACAGTGATGTGAAGACACAGGGAGAATCCCTTCTACAAGCCAAGCAATGCCTGAAATTACCAGCATCTAGGTGAGAGGCATGGAGCCAATTCTCCTGCAAAGCCCTCAGAAGGAACCAGCCCTGCTGACACCTTGACCTTGGACTTCTGGCCTCCAGAACGGACACAGTACATTTCTGTTGTTTAAGCCACCCAGTTTGTGGCACTTCATTATAGCAGCCTGAACAGATTATCCAGACTCTCAAATGCTGGCTCAAAGCCAGCCCACGAACAAGTTTTTAGTGGTCTGCAGTCAACCAAGAAAAGAAAGGACACTGTAGAAAATTCTTTGTAATTTAAACTCATTCAATGTTTTATTGTCACAGATTACCCTTTTTTGGTACTATGTGGCAGGTTTATTGTTACATCATTATCTGGCCAAAGTTTTTTTAAAATATATATTACTCCAAGAAAGTGAAAGGCATAGAAAATCCTGGAATAAATCCACTGAAGGGCACTTTCCACCTCTGTTTTGGTGAGTCTAGTTGAGCAGTAGAACCCTGGAGAAGGCAGGAAGGACACACAGCCACGCAGAAGGCAGTCTCTAGATGGCAACCACCGTGAAGGACTTTTCTTTGTCTCCACAACATTTTAGCACAGACCTTTCGACATAGACTTGCTCTGTGATTCCTACTGATTGATTAATAAGTTAGCAAGATGGAATGTAATTTCTGAACCAAAGGGATGCCTGACATTGGGAGAAAGAGCCAGGAATGCTGATCATTGCAGGGCAGACACCTGCTGAGAGGGCTGCCACTGCCCTGCTGGGTCTATGGTGCACCTCGCTACTCAGTCACAGCCATCCTTCTCAAAACCTTCCTCCACAAGGCATCCAACACAGCTGCTAGGAACTGAACTTGACACTTGAGCTGAGTCCAATGTCTTCACTAAATACCCAAGTAACAAATACTCCCTGAAACTCTACCAACCTAGGAAGTGTGCTAAGTTGTCACTCTCCCAAGTGGAATTTCTGGCTCCCTCTCACAAGCCAGGCTGCTGACAAGAAGCCCCCTCCATGCCTTCCTCGGATTTACAGTGATGCAGGGCATGTTCCCCTTTAGTACAGAAGAGCTTTCGTCCCTTTAGGCCTTTGTCCCAGTGGCCTGTAGCTGCCTCTGATGATCAGGTCTGGGACCAGAGCCCAGGAATCTGCTGTGTTGTGTATGACACACACTCCGGGTGTGGGTGGGCGTCCCTAGCATGAAATCATCATGTGTCAGGATCCAATCTGGGTCACTCCAACTGGTCTGTTCATGACATCCTGAAGACCAAACCCCTGAAGCAACATTGCCTGCATTTCCCACCACTACTTCTCACTCTGGTTAGACCTGGTGTATTGGTTTTCCATGGCTGCTGTAACAAATTACTCAGGGGCTTACAACAATAGAAATTTATTCTCTCACAGAAGTCCAAATTTAGTATCACTGGGCTGAAATCAAGGTGTCACCAAGGGCCGCACTCCTTCTGCAGGCTCTAAGGGGAGGATTCATTTCTTCCCTCTTCCAGCTACTGGTGTCTGCCAGCATTCTTTGGCTTATGGCCACATCGCTCCAATCTTCTAGGCCAGCATCTTCAAAACTCTTTCTGCTCTTACGATCACATCACGTTCTCCTCTCCGTCTCAAATCTGTTTCTCTCTTACAAGGATACATGTGATTGTATTTAGGGCCCTCCCGGATAATCCAAGATACTCTCTCTATCTCAAAACCCTTAACTTAATCACCTCTTTTGCCATTTATGGTAATATTCATGTTGCCATAGAAGGTAATATTCACTTTGCCATAGAAGGTAATACAGATTCCAGGGGTCAGGATTTGGAATCTCTTTTTTTATGGGGGAGGGTGGCATTTTTCAGTCTGCCAGACTTGGTTTTATCTCTGTACTCCATCCTAACCATGCCCATTAAGGCCAATGCAGCTGATGTGTGTAGAATTCATGGGCTATATGGGATTCACGTGAGCTCATATCTAAGGCTGGGGTAGGAATGGGGAATCACTGATGAGGCTTCTGGGCTGGTAGTTGAAGAGATAAAAATCAAGGTGGTGGGCCAGGTGCAGTGACTCACGCCTGTAATCCCAGCACTTTGAGAGGCCGAGGCAGGTGGATCACTTGAGGTCAGGAGTTTGAGACCACCTGATCAACATGATGAAACCCCGTCTCTACTAAAAAGTAGCCAGACGTGGTGGCACACACCTGCAATCCCAGCTACTTGGGAGGCTGAGGCAGGAGAATCACTTGAACCCGGGAAGCAGAAGTTGCACTGAGCCAAGATCACGCCATCGCACACCAGCCTGGGCTAGAAGAGCGAAACTCCATCTCAAAAAAAAAAAAAAATTACGGTGCTGTTGGGCTTATCTTGCAAATAAGATGAGAATAAAGCTTTGCTCAAACTCCAGCAATCATGCTCTAGAGAGAAAGAAGCTCATGTGTATTTATGCAAGACCCTATTGCAGCCTCCAGAACAATAGAACAGTGTTGCCCACGGCCTTATGGAAACTTTTCTCTGTTTTCCATTCACTTCCCCTCTCTTGAAACAGGTAACACGGGTTATCTACCCGAGGTTTAATTCCTCCTGCCTCTCCTTCTTAACAGAACCCACATATTCTTCGGAGACCTACTCCCCTCCCTAAGGACTTGGCTACCTCATCCCTATGAGCTTGCAAGATTGGGCTCTCATTATTCTAGACCAATCATCGTGGGTTCAATCATAGTGGGAAGTGCTGCACCTTTTTTTTTTTAATTTATTTATTTATTTTTTTAGTGAGCACATAGGGAGCCAATGTAAGAACACCATTTACTTACTAAAGATGTCAGCGTGAAGATGGGAAAATATGAGTCCTTAGTGAGTTAACTGAGCTGCTGAATCAGCCAACCCAGAGCCTCCTCATTCTCAGAGTTCTTACGATGTTGAGCTCGTACATTTCCTTGTTTAAGAGAATTCAAGTTGGAGCCCGAAGTACTGTAAGCCGCTTTCTGTGGAAGGACCTGATACTGCCCAGGCAAACCCACTTTTCCTTCTGGCAACACAAAACAGGAACTGTCAACATCACAGAGAAAAGCTTACATTAGATTTCAGATCAGGGCCTGTATTTATGTAACAAGTTGGAGAAAGATGAATTCACCAAAAATCTCTTTAAAAGTGATAGCTGAGGCTGGGCACGGTGGCTCACACCTGTAATCCCAACATTTTGGGAGGCTGAGGCGGGTGGATCATCAGGTCAGGAGATCGAGACCATCCTGGCCAACATGGTGAAACCCCATCTCTACTAAACTACAAAAAATTAGCTGGGTGTGGTGGCACATGCCTGTAGTCCCAGCTACTCAGGAGGCTGAGGCAGGGGAATCGCTTGAACCTGGGAAGCAGAGGTTGAAGTGAGATGAGATCCTGCCACTGCCCTCCAGCCTGGAGATACCAAGACTCTGTCTCAAAAAAAAAAAAAGAAAAAGAAAAAAAGTGATAGCTGAGTTAGTGAGAAAAATAGTTTGATAAGTATTTAAAGTCACAGTAGTGATTGTGAAGCATTAAGCTTCGCTAGAACAGAGGAGAGGATATTATTTGTTGCCTAGGAAAAGGTGGAATGTTGAAATAAGAGGACAAAAGAGAGAGAAGGGATTCAGGAGACGGCAGAAAGCTAGGAACCTGCGTGGTGTCACCACTTTCTCTGGAAACTTCTCATATCTCCCCACATCCCCCCATTCTAGTACAGCTCAGAAAAAACACAAAATGCTAATAAAAGTGGACCACTTGTAGAAATCAGTGACACAGCTGATTTTGGTTTCTATAGGGTCATAGAGGTAATAGAATAAATAGCATACAGGGAGTAAGAAAATGAAGACAGAAACATAACAAATAATTCCCCATCAATTTCTCCCAAATCAATAAGAGACATTTGGTTTTCATGAGACTAGTATTGGGGCCTAAGCATCAGGGAGCTTTAGATTATATCTAGGTTCTAATGCTGTTTCTCTACCACAAATCACACTGAGCTGTCTGGCCCAATCTCTCCCCAAATTTGGACCACTAGTCCACTAGTGGGCTTTGTTTTGAGCATTTTGTTAGTCTGCCCCACTCTGTGGCCAATGCAAGCCATGCTTACCAGCCACATTTGGAAAAGCATAGCCTCCAAACCTCACATCCTTCCAGTACGACTTTGGTCTTCCCACCTTGCTTGCTGCTCTCTTTCTTTTTTTCCTTTCTTTTTTTTTTTTTTGAGACAGAGTCTTCCTCTATCACCCAGGCTGGAGTGCAGTGGTGCAATCTCAGCTCACTGCAACCTCTGCCTCCCGCCTCCCAGGTTCAAACAATTCTCGTGCCTCAACTTCCCAAGTAGCTGGGATTATAGGTGGGCACCACCATGCCCAGCTAATTTTTGTATTTTTAGTAGAGATAGGGTTTCACCATGTTGGCCAGGCTAGTCTCGAACTCCTGGCCTCAAGTTATCCACCTGCCTTGGCCTCCCAAAGTGCTAGGATTACAGGTGTGAGCTACCGATCCTGGCCAGCCCTCTTTTTATGCATCCATGGCATCGTGTTTCCTAGACTTTTCAGCACTTTGAGGATGTGAATATAGCCTTTCCTAAGGAAATGACTTCCTAGCAAAATTTCCCAACATGAGCACTCAGACCTGCCATTTGCTTAAGTAAGCAGTCATTTGTACAGATGAAATGAGCAGTTACATATGTGCAGATAGGTCCTAATAGGTACCGTATGTTTCAATTACCCATTTTCCCAGCCCCCTGGATGGATTGGTTATTAATGCAACAGATGGAGCAATTTAGCACCAGCAAACTCCCCAAATGCCACCCTTCCCCTCCCCTTCCCAGACCCACAAGCTTTTCCTGGCATCCTCCACTTCTTTGTCATTGCAGAATAAATGCCACTACGCAGTATCCAACACATGCCCTTAGTTCTGCTGTCAGTTAAATTGTGTTTCCTTAACGAGAGTGCCACTTGGGAAATCGACAAGCCTTCATTGTCAAGGAGACTCTCGACTGACAAAAGCTGGGTTTCTAAATTGCATCCTCTGTAAAAGCTGGTCTGTTTGGAGTTCTGTCAGCTCAAAGTCTTCGAAGGGTCTGAAGTTCAGGGATAACTGATGTTTGGGAAGATGACCCAGAGTTCTTATGAAATCCTGGGGTTTCTTGTGAGCCATCATGAAAACGTCGATGATGTTCACTGTTCAGCACACCCCCATAATACCATCAGAGACGCTCAGAAATCTTTAGAAACGAAAGCAAATAGGAAATCATATAAGCTAACAGCTTTCAGGCTGTTTTCCCTGCAACGCTGGGAGTCCCTGGAGAAACCTATAGGTGGGAGAAGTCTGAGTGGGCTGGGATCCTGCCCTTCACAACGCTGCTTTGACCAGACCTGTACTATTTATACTTTATAGGCTTTATTATTTATTGAGCTTATTCATGTGAATAAAAGATTCCACAGCCAAAGGAAGTAGAGAAACCAAACAGGTTATTGGTTTCTGACCTGGCCCTCCAAAATCTTTTAAGTTCTTGAAGTGATGGGGGCAGGGGAGGTGGTGGAACAGAACTATTTTTAAATATTTCGCAAAGCTTAATAGAGCTTCTCCATGTACTGAGTGCACCCTGAAATGTCAAGCAGTGATCTCATCCGCCCCTCCCACCCCCTGGCTTCATTACCACCTTCACAGCCATGACTCACAGGCCATGTCTCCAGCGCAGACCCCTTTTCCAGAATCCAGACCTGAATAGACACTTGTTCAAACCACAGCCACGTTGGGAACGCATCTCAAACTCAGCATGCTCAAACCCAAAGCTATGTTCCCCTCCCCACCATCCACTGCATGGGCCAACGTGACTACCTCAGCAAAAGGCAGCTTTCTCTCTTAAGCTGCACACAATAGAACCCAGAGACCATCCTTGATGATGCCTCTCTCTTTCCTCGAGGATCTGGGCCATCACCACGTCGCCTCCATTCTCCCTTCTCAACAGCTCTGTAAAGCGTTCTCATATTTCCATTTCCTCTGATATCACCATACTACAAGAACTACTTGAACAGGCAACTGGTTTCTTTGCTTCTACTCTCCCTTCTCTACTCCAAACTCCTCCCTACTAAAGTAAACGGAAATCAACATTTTCCAAGACGAATCTGACCGTGTCCACTTCGGTCCCCTTAACGTCTTCACATCTTATGACGAAGCGCGCAGTCCTTGACGTGGCCCAGGACGGGGCAAGGCCTACTGTCATCGTTTACCTCATGCCCCTTGTAACGCATGGTCCAGCCACTCTGGCTTCTTATCAAATTCCTGATGGAGCCGGTTGCTGTCACTTGAAACATTCGGAAAGGCTCTTTGAGACCCCTGTGCCTCAGAAGATTCTATCAGTGTTGGGAGAGTGAATCAATTCAACTGCCCACCTTCCTTCTTCACTGGGCCCTAACTCTCCACTGCTGGATGCACCACCGTGGGTGAGACAGAGACAGGCGGAGGCCACAGCAGGGCTGGATGCTGAGTCGCTGTCACCATGACAGTGGCCGGGCCTTATGAATGTGGAAACAGTGCATTATATTGCCAGGGCTGCTCCTGCTGTGATACAAGCCAAGTGACCCAGCCCAGAGGCAGCTGGGGCCCTGTGGGGTATGTTTCCTAATGTTAAATTATTCTCTTTCTGAGCTCTGATACAACGCGGGGCAGGGAAAAGAGCGTGGACTTCACAGTGAAAACAATCTGTTTTCAAATCTCGACTCCCAACTCATGAAATTTCTGAGACTCTTCTCTCACCTGTAGAATGGGGGTGATGGCAGCATCTGCAGCATCAGGTTGTGGTAGGACCATTTTTCAAGCTTTTCTGGGACAGTAGGCAGAGAAGAATGCACGTGCGGTTCCAGAAGGCTGGGGTGCAGGTTAAAGCAGCCTATTGCATACATGAAATACCCTTGAACTGGAGTTGCTGTTAAAAAATTAACTTGAGATGTGTATTCTAGTTCATAGTTTGTTTTAATTGTTAAAAATTTCCCTCGGCTGGGCACAGTGGCTCACACCTGTAATCCCAGCACTTTGGGAGGCCAAGGCAGACGGATCACCTGAGGTCAGGAGTTCAAGACCAGCCTGGTGAACATGATGAAACCCTGTCTCTACTAAAATTACAAAAATTAGCCGGGCGTGGTTGCGCACACCTGTAATCCCAGCTACTCAGGAGGCTGAGGCAGGAGAATCGCTTGAACCTGGGAGGCAGAGGTTGCAGTGAGCTGAAATCACACCACTGCACTCCAGCCTGGGTGACAGAGCAAGACTCCATCTCAAAAAAACAAAAAAACAAACAAACAAACAAAAAAATTTCCCTTTACAAAATTTTACATAAAAACCCAAGTTCTAGAAACAGCTTTATCATGCAAATATGTACATTTTCTCAAATACCACCCATCTTCTGAAACACACCACCAGAGTCCCCCTGGGGGTGCCTGAGTACTCCATTTTGAAAAGCACAATTTGGAATTGGCAACAATAACCAAAATTACTACTCAATTTATTGAATGCATGTTAGGGACTTAACTTGAATTTTCTTATTTGATCATCTCAAAGACATTAGGAGGTAGGAATTCTTTCCCTAATTTTACAAAGCGAAAACCAAGGCTCTGAGAGATTAAGTGTCCAGCCCAAGTGTGTAACAGGAGCAGAGAGAATTTGCACCTGGTTTGTCATAGCCAAAGGTCAGAACTTTATGCACCAGGCTACATGAATTGCTGGTGTGTGTGGGGGGCCTGGCCCAGTGGCTGGCACGTAGTAGGGACCAACGGCAGTTCCCACTGTGACTGCCCCTGAGCAGGTGAGTCAGGGCACACCACCAGGAGCAGGCACTGAGAAGCCACTCCTGTAGGTCACCAGGGTGGGCCAAGCTGGCATTTGCCAGGGAGGTGGCTGGAATAACTTCACCTCTTGCTCACCAGTTGAGCCTAAATCTCTTTCTGCCTCCTTCCAGATTGGGTAGTCTGAAAATCTCCCAGGTGTTCCCCAAAGCTAGTCAGCTGTTACCATTTAATAGTGAGCCTGGGGAGGCTAATGGCAGTGTCTACCCTCTATCATAGGGATCAGTGGCCCCAAAGAGAGAAGTGGCTGCCGTCAAGAGGACGAGCCATTTTGCAGGCCAAGCCAGCCTTCGTGGCCTTGGGAATCTAAACAGCCCCATTAAAGGGATGTAATGCAAGTTTTTTGCTCCAAGTAAAAAATAAAATAAAATATAGGATGTTGAGTTTCTGAATAGAAAAATATAAACCAAAAGGTTATCGCTATTATTCTGCTAAGTTGTCATAACAAGGATTACAGTTTGAGTGTGATATTACTTTTTCATACGTTTTCTCTTCCTGAGCAATCGCTTGATAATAAACAGTCATGTATGACAGCAATATCCTTATATCCATCCATCCACCCACCCAACCACTTGCAAGGGCCAGGAAATGCTTTTGTCACTGCAGAAGGGCCTTCCACATCCCTGACTTCTTCTACCAACCAGAGGCTGAAGACACAGATATGTTGCCTCCCTGGCCTGGCCTCGCTGAGCTCCACACAGATGTACCGAGGCTTATGAAGCAGAGCTCCCTCAACTTATGCAACACAATCCCAAACTGACACATTTCCCTCTCCTGTCCCCAACTTGCTTCTCTTATAAGATCTGTCCTGGCATCACCATCTAGAGTAATTAGAGGTAGTTTGGACACAAGTAAAAATCCTGAAAATTTCTACATATACTGCATCTCTCAGAGTAACCAACTAGTTGGTGAGGGGAAGTTCCTCTTTACCTCCTGGCAAAGAGGGAAGGTATAATTGTATGATCAGCATTTTGCAACCCCTAATGAAATAATGGATTTTGGCATTCGTGATCAAAGGCCACTAACATCAGGAAAAGAAAAATAATCGGATCCGAGCTGCTTCCTGTGCACAGCACCACTTATGCGGTGGGGCTGGCAAAGTTTCAAACCTGGATCCGAGCAGCTTCTCGAGCCAACCACCAACTTAACAGGAAACACAGAAGACATAGGAGCTTGTTAAGTGCCAATAATTAGCAAAATCCAGACTGTGGGAAACGTAGAAGACACATGACTCAGTTCCTTCAACAACAACAAATGACAAGACAGTAGAGAAGGGGTCTATAGACTTTTTTAAGTTTTAAGAGACATGTTAACTGATTCAAAGAGATTAATTTAAGAAAAACATGTATAAGACAATTGGGAAGTATCAACACCAACTAGGTGTTTAATGATATCAAGAAATTATTATTGATTGTTCTGGGCTGTGATGATGGTATAATGATTATATTTTTAAAGGGCAGTTTTGCTTTTAGAACTACATGCTGAACTATTAAGAAATAAAAGGGCTGGACACGGCGGCTCACATCTGTAATCCCAGCACTTTGGGAGGCTGAGGCAGGTGGATCATCTGAGGTCAGGAGTTCGAGACCAGCCTGGCCAACATGGTGAAACCCCATCTCTACTAAACACACACACACAAAATTAGCTGGGCTTGGTAGTGGGAGCCTGTAATCCCAGCTACTTGGGAGGCTGAGGCAGGAGAATCGCTTGAATCCGGGAGGCAGAGGTTGCAGTGAGCCGAAATCATGCCACTGCCCTCCAGCCTGGGCAATAGAGCGAGACCCTCTCTCTTTAAAAAAAAATAAAAATAAAAAGAGAGAGATAAAAGGGCCAGGTGCAGTGGCTCACACCTGTAATCCCAGCACTTTGGGAGGCAGAGGTGGAAGGATCATTTGAGCTTAGGAGTTAGAGACTAGCCTGGGCAACATAGTGAGACCTCATCTCTAAGAAAAAATGTATGTATATAAAAAAGAGATGAAAGGATAGAATGTCTGGGATTTACTTCAAAATCATCTAGGGTGCAGATGGGAGGCTGTGTACATGGCAAAAGCTTGTTCACAGTTACAAGTGTTGAAATTGGATGATGGATATATAGGCATTTGACATACTGTTCTCTCTATTAATTTGTATATATTTAAAATATACCATTATATCTTTTAAAACTTCAAAAATAATGTCTTAAACAAGATTCATTAACACATTTTTTTCAACACCTACTATGTGTTGTGTGGGAGCTTAAAATACATTAACAATGGCCGGGCGCGTTGGCTCACGCCTGTAATCCCAGCACTTTGGGAGGCCGAGGCGGGCAGATCACGAGGTCAGGAGATGGAGACCACGGTGAAACCCTGTCTCTACTAAAAAAAAAAAAATACAGAAAATTAGCCAGGCGTGGTGGCGGGCGCCTGGAGTCCCAGCTACTCGGGAGGCTGAGGCAGAAGAATGGTGTGAACCCAGGAGGCGGAGCTTGCAGTGAGCCGAGATCGCGCCACTGCACTCCAGCCTGGGTGACAGAGTGAGACTCCATCTCAAAAAAAAAAAAAATACATTAACAACAAAACAAAATGCTTGCCTTCATGGAGCTTCCATGCAGGTGGTGGGAGACAGACTGTGCACAGTACACACAATAAATAAACACAAGTACAGCAACAAGCACTGGACGTCACTGGAGGGGGTGGGTTGTCATTTTTAACTGGGTGGCAGAGACATTTGCACGAAGACTTGATAGAGACAAGGAAGTCAGCCGCAAGAATATTTAAGTAATAGTACCCCTGGGAAAGGAAACAGCCAGTGCAAAGGCCAGAGGTAGGAATGTGGCTGCGAAGTGTGAGCAATAGCAAGGACACCAGTGTAGCTGCAGCAGAGTGAGTTTGGGGAAGAGTAGTTCTAAAGAGGGGTCAAAGAGCTAAAAGGATGGGGGAAAAGTCATGTAAGGTCCTGTAGACTCTCTTAGGGACTTGGACATTTATCTTGGACGGGATGAGGAGCCATGCAGAGTTCTGAGCAGAAGCAATATGACTCAACTACATTTAAAAAGAAGCCCTTTGACTGCTATGAGAATAGACTGCAGGGTGCAGGGAGGCTTCTGTGGTGAGGAGCCTGGTGACTCAGACCTGGGAGACAGCAGTACAGATGGACAGAAGTGCTGGATTCTGGATATATTTTGAAAGTAGAGCTACCAAGATTGCAAGTGGAGTTTGAGAGAGAAAAAAGTCATGGATGACTCAAAGGCTTAAAGCCAGAGCAACTAAAAGGATGGAGTTCTGTGTCAACTCCATTGACTGAGATGGATTTGGCATAGAACTTGGTATTTCTCTCACATACAGTGAGTTCAAAATAAGCCATCCAGAGTTAGTGTGGCTGTGCCTTGGTCTTAGACACAGACTGTCTGCAGCTTTTTCCTGCACCATCCCCTGGGATTTGGGCTCATGCTCCTGGTCCAAGGCAGAGTTCCAGCCATCTCATCTGCATTCTAAACAGCAGTATGAGGAAGGAGGGGAAGGGGAACAAATGACATGGCCCAGTTCTATTTTAACGACATTTTCCAGAAGCTGACACATGATGCTTCTTCCTGTATCCCATTGTCCAGAACTTAACCACATGTCACTGCTATTTCCCGGGATGCTAGGAAACAGCCCCTATTTCTGGTACCCAATGAAACACTGGAGGTTCTAGTACCAACAAAAATATAGAGAATGGATATTACAGTAACCATGTACAGTTTGTGACAGACCATCCATCCAGTTGCCTCAAGTGGAACCTTAATCACTTTCAGTTGTTCATCCTCAAATGGTGTCAGTTGTGTCTCCTCAATAGAAGAGAATACTCTCATCATTGGACTTCTGAGTCAATCAAACATGAATTTAAATCCCTGCTATGTTCCTTACTAGCCATATGTCCTTACACTCCCACCCTTATGATACTTTGCATAAGCTTCCCCCAGATTGGGAATGCTCCTTATCCTCGCCCTTCATGTAGCACACTCCTATGCACTCCTAGTCATCCCTCAATACCCTTCCCAAATGGCCCCTTGGGGTCATTTCTTTAGGTAAGCCCTCCTTGATTTTATCAGAGTGATATGTATCCACCTTCCTAACTGACCTAATCTCCCCTAAGCACTATATCTAACTCATTTATGTGTATCCAGAACACAATCAACATTCAGAAAATGTTTCTTTTATTTGAACTGTGTTTCCAAATTTTAAATGTTTGCATGTAGTAAGAAATAAACGACAGCTATTGTTATCTTTGTGGTTACTATTATTATTACAATTATTTTGTTGTCATGTGTACACAGTGTAACGTGGTGGCCTGGCTCTTTCTCCATATCCTTGTAAAGCAAGTCAACAGAGTGAAAATTATCAATGAAATCTCAACTAAAGAAGGATCTTTGGAAAGTGACCAAAATAAGAAGTTTTTTTTGTTTTTTTTTTTTTTTAGGAGGGCTGGCCACCCTGTCACAGCTAAATGGGCCTTCATTTTCTCAGTGTGTGGAACCTAGAGCAAAATCCAGGCACGACTGAAAAAACTTCTGTCCTCTTTCCAGAGTCTTAAATCAAAGAGAAATTTGCGTGCAGCATCAACTCTGAGTCTTAAAAAAGCAATGCATTAGCATCAACAACGGGATTAATTAGGCTTCCCTAGAAACTGTTCAAACAAAGAATTGTGCAGTTCTCTAGGAAGGTCAGGCTTTTTCATTCTTTTCTGCAGCAGTTCAAGTTATCACTTCTGCACAGGCCCACGTTCTGCCACAGGTTGGAGGAACATTCATTCCACTGCCCTGGGGTCTGATGGGATCAGACACTGGTTCCCAGGGGTGGTGCTCTGAATGGCCAGGCCTTCAAGGGTATTAGCCAGAGGTGCTGGGTTCCAGGACCAAGGCCTAACGAAAAGATGAAGGGCTTTGAAGTCCAGCATAGTAAGCTCTGCCATTCCCCCCACTGGACTTCATTTTCCTCCTCCGTGAAATAGGCCTGATATTCTCTATAGAGCAAAGTTGCCATCAAGGTTAAAAAAGGTAACGTGATTTTCCCAAACTCCAGCACACAACTATCCCAATCTCATAAAAATAGCATAATTGCTTAATTATGCTATTAATTACTTAATATTTTCTTTCAATCAATATATTTTATAAGGAGAGGCTATATTCTTTAAGTAGAAAGAAATATTTTCTAAAATTACATAACCCAAAACTACTAAAATAGCTATTAAAATATTTTTTGAAAATGTTATGTACCACTAAAAATCATCCTGTTAATTAGCAAGGTATTATACAAGCCAAGCTTTGGGGAAAACTGTGATGTTGTCTGTAGAAGACGAGATCTCCTCTGGGACACAAACGTGTAGATCTTTGTGAAGTTTGGCAGTTGTCCTCCCGGCCCTCTCTTCCCACTCCTTCCTCCGGCAGGGTCTCTTTGTTGTCTCTGTGCTGAACAGTCTCCTCACCATCTTAAAAGTCCTTGCTTCCTGGTAGGCTGATGTGTGCTTACACTGAAACGGTAGGAGACACAACCCTTGTCCAACCCATCAGGGGAGGTGCATTGCTTCCCTGAAGGAAGCCAAACTACTCTATTTTTCCCCAGTGGTTTTTCAGTTGAACCACAGTGTGTGTGTGTGTGTGTGTGTGTGTGTGTGTGTGTGTGTGTGTTTCTGTTGAAAGCCTACTATAACACTACTTTGTTTTGGACTAATGTGTACTCAGCGAGAGCTCTTTTGGATGCAAATGACAGAAAAACCCTTCCTGTGCACACTGAAATAATGATAATTTATCAGCTCACAAAACTGAATAGACCACTGGCTTCAGGCAAGGTTTGAGCCAGGGCTAAAATCACGTGACCAGGATGACTTTTTCTCTCCATTTATTTGCCTTGTTCTCTTCACTGTGGCTTCCTTCTCTGCAGACTTTCCCATCATGGTCATAAATGACTAACCTGAGCTCCCAGGGCTCATGTGTCTAGGCTTACATGCAGCAGAAATAGACAAGGCTCCCTAAGCCGGCAGCCCCTGCAAAATCCTGCGATCTGTTCTGATTGGAAATTGTAGGGCACATGCCCGCCCCAGAATCAATCCCTGTTACCGGGGATATGGCCTTTGATTGCTCTGCCCAAAGTCAGTCAACTCTGCCAGAAACATGGGCTGAACGTGGAATAGGAGGTGGCCTCACAGAGGGAAGTTGGGAGGTGGCAACAGTAAGAATGAATGGATGTTGGGGGCAGAAACCATGCTCATTCAGCCTATCGGTTAGTATCATGTGCAGCTGCTTATAAAAGAAGAGCAAAAAAGGCCTTAAAAAGATAGAAGGATAGTCCCTTCTCACACAAAATACATATGGGATTGGGTATTGCAAAGCTGGTGTGATGGTCCCACGGTATCATTAAGCACTTGCATATAGCCACTCTCAAAGTTCCATCATAATCTTAGATGAGTACTGGAGGAATAGCCTGTTATCCCGGGTTGGGAGTGGGAGGAAACAGATATATGGGGAGAATGGGAGACAAATGGGACCCCTCCCAGCTGAGTTCACAACCACCAAGTCTCATGGGCATAACTAGCTCCAATGGAAGAAAGGCTGGAAAAATGCCATCTTGTTTTCCATGCAGCTGAAAATCAGGATTCTGTTACTGTGGGTATTACTTCTTCAACATCATACAGGTGAGAAAACCAAATTCAAAGAAGTGGAGCAATTTGTGCCCCTCACATAGAGGGTAAGCCCCAGATCTGGGATCCACACTGATCTCAGCCTCTTCATTCCACTCATCCTGATTCCTCATTACTGCAGCAGCACCTTCTGAGAAATGGGAGGAATTAGAACCACACCCCAGCATCCAGCCTGGAGGGGGGCTTCATACCTGTCTGTTGATGACTGCTAATGGTAGGCTTGGGGTGGAGGGATTAGAAGACTAGGTGGTGGTAGTTGTGGTTTGAATATAAATGAGGGCACACACTAATAGATTCTCCCAAGCAATTAATTCTTAAATCAGAGATTGCGTATCAGAATGGATTCACCTGTTTAATACAGCGCTCAGGGCTCTCCTGGAGCAAAATCACATTGCAGCTGGCCTCTCTGCAGCTCAGTAGTTTCAGAGAAGATTATTTCCTGTGAAGCCAGCACCTCCATCACTTCCATCTTTAGCATGTGCTAAATGTGCCTTTAAACTTGTCCTGGGGGGTTGTCACTCACATGCACCCTCCCTGTGTTTATTAGCATGGATCAGTGTTTTAAAACATTTAAAAATTTTTTTGAATGTCTTTAGAGAAGACCTGTGTGCCAAACTGTTCCCTGGGCCTTCCCAGGAGTTGTCAAGTCCCCACATGGCTGGCTCCTGAAGTCCCCTGCTTTCAAAGGATTTCAGTTTGATACGGCTTTTTAAACCTGGCTGTGGAGTTTGTTTTTTTTTGTTTGTTTGTTTGTTTTGTTTTTTCATTTTTCCAGGACAGCAAACAGCTGAGTCAGTGTGGAGCCACGCATAGTCTGTCTCTTGAAGCATATCTTTCCAGACCATGCACTTCCCCTGTCTTTTGTCCTTTGTTCTCCCGTACCCTGTCCACATGGTGAGCTCCTTCTGTGTTTAAGAACCAGACCTTCCAACTTCGCACCCTCTACACACGCCTGTCTAATCTTGTGTTCTGATCCACTCTATTCTCTGCAGCAAAACCCAGATAGCTACATCCTCCTCTTCTGGGATTTTCTCCAGGCCCTGCCATCCTTGACCTTGAATCTTCTTTTCTCTTCTCCACTGCTGCCCTGGGGTCTTAACTCAGATCCCACTTCTGCCTGGAGACCCTGCCTGCCTCTGTAGGGAGGCCTGCCCCAAGTCCCTACGTCCACACCCAGACCCTGCTTCTCTGGAGTGGGGGTGGGGAGGGTGGGAGATCAGCATCCCTTGGGGGGTTTTCTCTGGTTGGTGGAGGAGGGGGACCTGCCTAGGGATTTGACCTGTACAAGTAAAAGAAGCACGGTGCTTTCCAAGGGACTTCCAATTCCACATATTTCACCTGACAAAGGCTGAGGAGGATGACTATTTTATTTAGGAAAAGTCATTCCTGGGCCCCTTGGAGTTTAACGCAAGGGAAGCCCAGAGCCTAGTCTGAGCAGGAGAGGAGCTCCACGTTTCTCTGCATAATGAAGTAACAGGAATAAGGCACTTTCTCTCGGCAGCCACGAGCCAGGAGGAGGAGTCTGGGTATTGAGAAAAGCAGAGAAGAGAGAAGGTTCTGACCACATGGGAGCAGGCTGGGCTTTAGGGAGAGAAGTAGCCCAGGGAGAAACTCTGAGTGGTTGTGGGGTAGAGCAGGAGCAGGGACTGGATTTTGCTTTTTGGGGGGTTTTCCCGTGGCTTTATTGGGGCATGCTTAACAAATAAAAATCATACCGTAATGCTGGGTGCGGTGGCTCACACCTGTAATCCCAGCACTTTGGGAGATGGAGGCGGGTGGATCACCTGAGGTCAGGAGTTCGAGACCAGCCTGGCCAACATGGCGAAACCCTGTCTCTACTAATAATACAAAAATTAGCCAGGCTTGGTGGTGCACACCTGTAATCCCAGCTACTCGGAAGGCTGAGGCAGGAGAATCACTTGAACTCGGGAGGCAGAGGTTGCACTGAGCCAAGATCATGCCATTGCACTTCAGCCTGGGCAACGAGAACAAAACTCCATCTCAAAAAAAAAAAAAAATCATACAGTAAAGTCTCACTTAATGTCATAGGTATGTTCTTGGAAACTGAGACTTCAAGTGAAACAATGTAAATGAAACTCATTTTTCCATAGGCTAATCGATGTAAACAAGAGTTAAGTTTCTATGGTATATTTCTGGTTACAAAAACCTCATCAAACTTCTAAATAAAGACCAAAACTCTGCTAGTTTTAAACACTGAAAACCATGTTTTTCCAGGATGTGCTGTGTGTATCTAACGTATACAATGTGGTGATTTGATATTACGTATACATGATGAAGCGATTACCACAATCAAGCCAATTAACAACTCCGTTACCTCCTCTAGTTACCATTGTGTGTGTGTGGTAAGAACACAAGATCTGCTGCCTTAGTAAATTTCAAGTATACAATAGGGCATTTTAAACTACAGCCCCCATGCTCTACATTAGATCCCCACATCATATTCATCCTATTACTGAAAGTTTGTCCCCTTTAAACAGCAAAGTGATTGGATTTTAAAGAGTTTCCTGCTCTGAGTTCTAAGGGCCTCCCTTTAAGACAGCCCCCCTGTCCCCCAGCCCAAACCTTGAGGACAAATCTGTTACACGCCATGGTCCTCAGGAGAGAAGCTGGGAAGGAAGAGGAGGCGGCAGAGAGAGGGCTACAGCCTAGGGCAGAAAAGCTAGTGGAGGTCACTAATCCAGCTCCAGGTGGAGAACTGGTGTAAGGGACAAGGAATTGGCGTAAGGGACATTGGGAGAATATAACATGCCCCTCGGGAGTTCTCAAGACCCCCCCCCCCCAAAGTAGGTGATGGGGGCTCAAGCCTATTTATTTTGCCATTAAGTGTGGTTGCAGAAGACTGGGTTGACTAGGTTGCACGTTCTTAGTGGGAAACTCGATAAAAGCCCCCTGCCTCTCCAGAGTTCTCCATACACTGTTCAGAGGAGGAGGCCCGGAGGTTATTAGTGGTCTGCCAGCACTCATGCTCCCTGGCTGCCTGCTATCTCAGGAA
This sequence comes from Homo sapiens, assembly GCF_000001405.40. NCBI lineage: Eukaryota > Metazoa > Chordata > Mammalia > Primates > Hominidae > Homo > Homo sapiens. Next base: position 174,223,590 of record NC_000005.10, on the reverse strand, counting down.
GGCTCTGCTTCCCCCATGAGGCAGAGATAACTAGAAATTGCTGCCGGGGCATCTCCTGAATCAAGGGGGCTGGTTTCTATTCTTATCTCTGGCGCCGCCAGGTCGTGCAACCGAACCACGGTAACTCTCAGCTGTTCAGCTCGACCTGAAAAGGAGGGGCGGCATCCACTCTTCCTGCACCCATGTGGGGTGGTGAACACGCAGCCCCAACCAGCCATCTGCTTCTCAGAAACTAATGAGGAGAGGGCCAGAGGTCTATACTCAGAAGGTCTGGGTGTGGATTCTGACCTCCCACCTCCAACCTGGAGTGTGGCGAGAGGAAGTCACATCACCTGTCTGGAGCAAGGGCGGTGCCACCTTGCCTCGCAGGGTTGCAGGAGGAGATGCAGGTGAGCAGCTGGCACAGGTGATAAGCACCTTAGTTATTGCTGTTGTCACTGAGGGTCCAGGTGGGCTTTCTGCCATTGGACAGGACCCCAGCCAATGACGGACAGGAAGCTCTGTGCCCCGCCCTGGGGAGGGGAAGCTGCCTGGAGTTAGCAATGATGTCAGAGCCCAGCACCTGATCCTGCTCTAAGGCAGGCCCTGGCACCAGGGGAACCAGGTGCTAAGGTTTGAATGTTTTGTCCCCTCCAAAACTCATGTTGAAACTTAACCTTCAATGTAATAGCATTAAGAGGTGAAGGCTTTAAGAGAGGGGCCTTTAAGAGGGAGTAAATTGATTGGCTCATGGATTAATAGATTAATGGACTAATCGATTAATGAGTTATCACGAGAGTGGGTCTGTATAAAAGCCGGTTTGGCTTTCAGTGCCCCCTCATGGCCCACTCACCCTGCGATGCCCCGCACCACCTCCAAACTCTGCAAAGATACCCCACCAGCAAGAAGGCCTCACCAGATGTGGCCCCTTCACCTTGGACTTCTCAACCTCCAGACCTGTAAGAAATAAATTCCTTTTCTTTATAAATGACCCAGTCTCAGGTATTAATTATAACAACAGAAAATGGACTAAGACACTAGGTTCCCCAGGACGGTGGGATGGGGGGAGATGAGCAGCAAAGTATTCTGTGTACACAGAACCCCACCCTCACCCCATACATGGGTCTCCAGCTGTCTAGCCGGAAAGCAGCCTAGCCATTGCGTGGTGAGGCTGGGCTCCAGGAGGCCCTCATGCCTGTCATATTAGAGACAGTGACGCCAAAGACCGTATGCAGCTAAGGAAGTGTGGGAGAGGCTGGGCCTGACCCACCACTCCTAGATCCTGCTACCATCACCATGAATGAGGCACCAGGCCAGAGGGAGAAGAATTTGGGCTTGGGAGTGACATGAGTCTGGGACAAACCCTGACTCTGCCACCCCTTACTGGTTTCAGGGCCTTCTACAATCCCTCTCTCCCCCGAGCCTCTGTTTGCTCATCTGAAAAATGAAGATGCTGCTTAACAAGGCATGAGAATTAAATGGAGCCCTGTTCTTCCCATGGCAGCATATGGCCTCTCTGGGACTCCTAGCTCGTGGAGCCCCCACCAGCTGTACAAACCCTGACAAATAGTGGGATCGTCTCAGTTACTCCCCAAGGGAAGGGTCAGCCTGGGAGAGCTCTGTCCTGTGTCCTTTCATCTCTCCTCAAGAGTGGGAGTCGGGGAGGAGAGGGAGCACCCCTGAATGGGCTCCAGACCCTAAGATGAAAGAGGGTTTGCACCCATTCATCAATCGCTATAGACCTCAGCTTTCTAACCAGGTTTGGAAGGACTTGAGTGTCCTGGCCAGGCAGACAGTCCAGTGGGAAGAGGATTTGAAAGCTGTGGTTGGGAGGAGAGGCCTGTGGCAGATTTTGTCTATAGAGCAGAGTGTTTAAGAGAACGGTGGTGTTCAAGCCAGGCAAACTGTCTCAGGGGCTATGCACCCCAGAGCCTCAATGATATTGATAGGCTTACAGTGTCAATTAAAGTCTGGAATGCATTCCAGACTCTTAGCACAGTGACTGACATCTGGTAAGGCCTAAGTAAGCAGTGAGTTGTTTTTTACCAGATGGATTCTATTAAAAGGGATAGAAAACCCTGTCCCAAATTGACTTAACAACAACGAAAAAATAAAGTGGGGCAGGGAGGGAATTTATTGGACTCACAATTTAAATGTCTGGAGCTAATAATTCCAGACACTACTTGACTTAAGTGCTTGAGTCCCCAGAGTGTGTTCCTCTGTGTCTCTCTCTTGGCTCCATACCCCACAGTTTCCCCCATCACGGCAGCAAGACATCCACAGCAGCTCCCACTTCCAAGCCCAGCAGGAAGGGTGTAAATGCTTCCTTAAGGGGTTGTGAACACAGCCCCTGGGTTTGCTCTGATCCAATTTGATGTCTTGGCCCAAAGTTTGCACCAATCAGTGAGTGAGCTGGTCACTGAGCCAAATAGGGAGTGGGGGATAGAACGTGCCAATGGGCCTAGATGGGTTCTAAATCTGGAGACTGATGGTGAGGTCCCTGCAAATCCCATGCCCTGAGAACGAGGCTGGAATGGGTCCCCACATTAGAATCAGCAGCCATGACTGGAAGTAGGGTAAATGGATGCTGGGCAGGCATACAATGACCATTATTTCACACTGATTAGCATTGACTAAATGTATTTTGTGGTTCTAACAAGATTAGACTTTCAGAGCCAGGTCCTTATGTTGCCTTGTTGCCCCAAAATATGTCCTTTGTTCCCCTAGGTGGAGGCTTGATTTCATTCTGGGGGTGCAGGTGGTCTTTTCCCTGTATCTCTATCCCCTGACAGACTTCACCCCCAAATCTATACCAAGCATCCCCATCAGGCCATGGAATAGCATCTCATGAAACACAAAAAAAATCTGCATTCATCCATCACGAAAATGGCCCCATTCTTGGGAGCGTTTGTCTGCTTAACCACAGAAATCCAATTATCTTCTCTTCAGAAAGTGTGCATGTGGAGACCACTTTCTCTAATTAATTGGTTCTATTGCTTGTGCTGGGCCTTTCAGGGGGCCTGAGATGAGAGCTCTGTCTGGAAGGCTGATCAGGGATGTGAAAGCTTGGCTGCTCAAGGCCTTCCATTAGCTGAGCACAGCGAAGCAGCAATCTCGGGTCAGCTTTGCCGAGACAGTCTCTTGCTCTCTGCACTAAAACATGTGTTGCCAGCACTTGTGGGCAAGGGGTCCTGTCTTCCTCTTTTCTCCTACTTTATTCTATGATCTGGAAAAATGCCTCCACTCTGGATGACAGGGTGGTGTGTGGAGGCTGGCTCTTGTGTGCACTTATTCATTTGTCCCTTCAGCTCCTGCAAGTCCCCTCTTTCCTATCTGCTTCCAACCCCACTCCTAGTTTCTCCAGAGTTCCCCAGAGAGAACCTTGCTTGTGCTCTGCAAGTTGCCCAGACTGGGTGCAGCAGCTGGCTCTGATTTTGGGGTGCCACAGCTCCCGGACCCTGGCCAGTGCTGCTGACCTACTTGGCACAGGCGGTAGCCATGGTGATTCCTCCATCCTGGTGGTTCCTGGCTGAATGATGATCCCCAACAATGTCCATATCTCAATCCCAGAAACCCGTGAATGTTACCTGATATGAGATTTTGCAGGTGTGATTAACTTAAAGCTCTTGAGTTGGAGAGATCACCTGGATTAGCCCGGAGGGCCTGGATGGCCTGATATAATCATCAATGTCCTTAGAGAGGCAGAAGATGAGAACAAGGAGAAGGCTATGTGAAACGGAAGCAGAATGGTCCCAAAAATATAGTTAGATAGAATGAAAAAGATCCAGTATTTGATAGCACAACATGGTGACTACAGTCAACAAACATTTATTGTACATTTTAAAATAACTAAAAAAGTGTAATTGGAATGTTTGTAACACAAACACAAGTGATGGATACCCCATTTCCCTGAAGTGATTATGTGTTTGCATACCTGTATCAAAATATCTCTTGTACACCATAAAGATTAAAAATAACAAAATTTAATTAAAAAAACGGAGATTGAAGTGATGTGGCTATACCCCAAGGAACATGGGCAACCTCTAGAAGCAAGGACTGGGGAGCAGAAGAATTGTCCAGAGGCCTCTAGAGGAACCAGCCCTGCAGACATCTCGATTTTAGCCCATGAGACAGATTTTGGAATTGACCTCCAAATCTGTAAGAGAGTAAATGTGTGTTGTTTTAAGCCACTACATTTGTAATCATTTGTTATAGAAGCAACAGGAAACTAATCCACTGCCTCTGACTGGTTCTCTTGAAAAGTGAAGGGGAGGAATGGAGAATGGCTTTCACCCCTGTGAGTAGCACCTGACAATGGGGACCCCAAAGAAGTGTTGCTTGGGCTCCACTGTTGTGGGAGTTCACAGGAAGCGGTGCTTTCAGTTCTTATCTGTTTGAAGTCATGGAGAGTGTGGCCAGGAATTGGGCTGTGCTGCTGTCCTGAGACTCAGCATTCTTCTCCATTGCTGGGGTGTCAGCCATGTCGGTGAGTTCTGCTGGTGCGATGTGCCCTCACTCTGATCTATTATCTCCAAGAGGTTCCTAAGCCCCTGGACAAAGACCTTGAAATAACCTCAAAATAACCATAGGAGCAAGGTTTGCCATATCAAGGAACCACTGCTCTTGGTTATAAAAAGAGTATGTTCCATGGATATCAGGGAGCCCGGGTTTACCTCCCTACACTTGTGAGAGAAAAACGTATGCAACAGAAGGTAAGAAATGAGGCCTGGTTGTCTGTAACCCTGAATCTCAGCATCTACTCTACTCAGCCAAACATTCCCCTGCCACTTGTGAAAGAGTTGAAAGGATTTTAATAATCTAACACTTGCTGAGTACCTACTAAATGCCTGGTGCTAACTGCTTTATGTGGAAGACCTCATTTGACCCTCCCAATAATTTCACAAGGAAAATATTATCATTATTCCCATTTTACAGATGAGGAAATAATGGTCTATCCTAATTCAAGCCTTGAGATTGTTATAGGACCAACAGGTTTGTATGCATGTTGCTCAGTAACAGACCAATTATCCTGACACAGCAGTTTGCCACAGAGAAAGAGTTTAATGATAGCAGGTTGCTGAGTGAGGAGATGAAAGGAGACCCCAAAACCATTTCCCTGAGGAGTCCTGGGCTGGGGATTTTAAGGGGATTATGGAGGATGGGGAGCTGGAAAGTTGGGGTCATTGATTGGCCAGGGTAAGCGGGATGAAACCAGCAGTATGTGGAGACTGCGCTTTTTGGTGAGTCACCATCTTATGGGCTCCTTCAGACCAGCTGATGTCAGCAGTTTTATTGGCTTGTAGGATCTGAAAGCATATCTCAAAGAGAAAATTTAATGTTTCATAATATTAATGTTGTATAGCTGCTCTATGGAACAGTTAAGGGGAGCCATATAGTCTTGTAACAGGGTTTACATAATTCTAGAGCAATAGCAAAAAACTATGAGGCAGCAGGTCAGAGAGCAGGCTGAACTAGTGATTAATGCTGAATGTGCTGCAAGCCTGGTATATTTTCATTTCTCCCTCTCTCTTCTTCTCTGATTAATTTTATAAAGTTTATAGAAACAATTTCAGAATCAGACTATGTTTGGAGAGTGTTAGATACTGTACCACTAGCTGTGGTAACTGATAAACACCAAAATCTCAGTGGCTAAAATTTATCTCTTATTTATACAAAATCTAGTTGGTGACTATACTCCATGTAGTCATTCAGGGATCCAGGCTTTCCTTTTTGAGGCTTTCCCATCCCAACACCCTCAGAGTCCTTCTAGTCCAGCTCTGAAAGGGGAAAGTGAGAAAGGGTTCCCCTGAGAGGAGTTTCATAGGCCAGACCTAGAAGTGGTGACATCACTTCTGGCTACACTCATTGGCCAGAACTCAGTCATATGACCATGCCTAATTGCAAGGAAGCTGGAGAAATGTGTTTGGTCACGTGCTTGGGAGAAAAGGGAACCCAGAACATTGCCACTGCCTCAGAAGAAAGAGTCTCTGATAACTCTCCAGTTTCTAAATTGGGCAAGCACATAAATGGTGATTCCATTAACCCTAGAGAAGATGATCCACTGTATACCTACCAGAATAATTAAAATCCATTAGGACACTAACAACATGAAATGCTAGTGAGGATGTGGAGCAATATGAACTCTCATTCATTGGTGGTGGAAATGCAAAATGGCATAGCCACTTTGGTAGACAGTTTGGCAGTTTCCTACAAGCTAAACATAACCTTACCATATGATCTAGCCATCGCTCTCCTTAGCGTTTACCCAGAGGAGCTGAAAAGTTATGTCTACACAAAGCCTGCACATAGATGTTTATGGCAGTTTTATTCATAATTGCCAAAACTTGGAAGCAATTAAGATGTCCTTCAGTAGGTCAGTGGATAAATAAACAATGGTTCATCTAGACGATGGAATATTATTCCTTGTTAAAATAAATGAGTTTTCCAAATATTAGAAGGAGCCTAAATGCCTACAGGGACTGGTAAGTAAATTGTGATACATCCATATAATGAAACACCATGTAATTATGAAAAAGATTAAGATGGCTCTGTAGGTTTGGCACAGATGTGAGTGATATATACAAGTGTGAAAATATGAAGTAAGTTCCAATTTGTAAGTGTGTATTTGGGTGGAAATGCCCCATTTTCTTAACAGTAATTATTTCTTGAAATAAAATTACGGGCTTAACGAGTGAAGGGAAGTTGTACTTCTTTATTTAAAAGTAAGCATTAACGATTCTTATAATTTAGTAAGAGGTTAAATAAATAGGTCAACAAATTGGCAAAAGAGACATTAATTTTATAAATAAATGGGGGGACACAGAAAGAAAAGAAAAATAGAGCTAATAAGCTAAAATAAGGAAAGTTGTTAAATTTTGACAAATAATAAAAACAAAGGAATGATGAGTTCTTTTATTAAAAAATAGTCAAACAACAAAATGACATTAAAATATCACACCTTGTGCTGGCAAAGGTGCAATGAAATGGACACTTTCTTGTATAATTAATGACATTTAAATTTTACATAAGCCTTTGGGGATAAAGTTTGGCAATTTATACCAGGGGCAATAGGACTATTTATGCCCTGGTACTCACAATAATCTTAACTCTGAAATGTAATTTTTGGAGATAATTCAACCTAAATGAAAGTTCATATACACAAACACAGTGACAATCTGGGAGTAATTTGAGATAGAATAGTTAAGTAAAATAAGGGACAGTTACTGTGGGGAATTAAACAATTATGGTATTTATAGGCACCTAGTAAGAGCTAAGTAAATGCTAGCTGCTGCTATTGTTATTATTATTATTATTATTCCACTAAAAAACTGAATCATTAAAACAATGAGCTTTGTTTTTTTAAAAAATGAGTTTTAAAAAAGAAATGAGCTTTCAAGCTATAAAAAGACATAGAAGAGCCTTAAACAGATATTACTAAGTGACAGGAACCAATCTGAAAAGACTACCTACTGTATGATTCCAGATATCTGACATTCTGGAAAAGGCAAATCTACAGAGGCAGTACAATGTCAGTGGCTACCAGGATTCGGGAAAGGGAGGGATGGCAGGCAGAGCACAGTGGATTTTTAGGGCAGGGAAACTCCTCTGTATGATACTATAATGATGGATACACAACCATACACATTTGTCCAAATCCATCAAACGTACAACACCAAGAGTCAAGACTTTGAGAGATCATGCTGTGTCAACGTCGTTCATCAATATACCACGCTGGTGGGTGACATTAACAGGGGAGGCGCTGCACATGCTGGGGCAGAGGGTAGGTGGGAAATCCCTGTACCTACAGCTCAATATTGCTGTTAATCTAAAATTGCTCTAAATAGTAAAGTCTATTAAAAGAAAAACAGAGAGAGAGAGATGAGGTGACGAGGGAGAAGGAGGACAATCAGATATATACATGGTAAATTTACAGAGCCAGTAGGAGCTTTGATAAGGACTGGATATATATGTCCTCAGCTTGGGGTCAACCAGAATCAAACAGGAGACGTCCTGTGCTTCCGAGAGAAGCTCAAGTCTTCCGGGTCTCTGCTCTCAGCCTTAAAAGACATCAACCCCAGGGTGTCCACCGTGCCAAAATGGAGCACCTCAGACCTGGTCCCATTGTCCCCAAACTCCTCACAATTGTTGTCCCAGCCAAACAGACGCGTCACTAATGAACGCCCACTGTGAAATTTTGGCCAGCATGGGGTGCAATTTTTGTTTATCTCAGAATTCTCAAAGGGAGAGAACAGTGAGGGCCTGAAGTGGAAAAAAGCCATCTCCACCATTCCCGCTTCTGTGCATTCTCTCATTTTCCTCCTTCATGGAGCTGCAATACGTGCAAGTCACTGGGGCTCATTGGACCACTCTGGTTCCTGCAGTTCATCAGACTCACAATGAATAGAAGAGATGCCAAGGGCTGCAGTTTTATAAAGAAGCAAGAGTGTTCAATTTCAGCTTGGAAGATGAAGGGAGGCCAGGGCTCCTGGCAATCGGTTGTGAGGGACAGGTCCGCACTGCTCAGAGGAGACCACAAGGCCTCTCGGTTTGGCCCGATCCCAGACACAGATACCAAAAAGATGTCACAGTCTTTCTTTCTTAATGATGTGTACAGAAATCCTCCCCCTCCCTAATAGTCCAATGGGGTCACATTCTAGAACACAGTCATCGTTGCCCCCTGTTACTCACTAGAATAATTAGACCCAAATCCTGTGCTTCAAATAACCCAGCATGAAGAGCACCGACTCTGCTCTGGACCTTGTTTGAACATTGATGAATAAGACATGCATCTGCCCTAAACGGATGCACAGGCTACAAAGGGAAACACACGTGAGAAGGATGAAAATGAAGACAATGGCAACAATGATGCGCTTACTGTTTGAAGTGAAAGGAGATGTTTTGTTTGTATCCAGGTGGCATTGGGATGCAGGTCCAGGAAACCCTCAGTCAAGCCCTGCTGCTCACCTTCTTCCCTGCTCAATGCAGGAGAACTATCTGCAAGGAGCAAGAGCCGAGTGTTCACAAGGAAGTGCTTAATTAACTGGGCAACTGTCTGAAACCAACAGCCCCACCACCTCCCTGAGAGCAGAGCTCTCTGGTAATACCTGGACTGAAATAAGAAACTTAGGTTGGAGGTCTTGATAAGCCTTTTCTGCAACTGAGCACTCCCCTTCCAAATCGAAATCTCTGGCTAGCACGAGCTGGGGCTGAACACATTCACCCACACAGCTCCCTGGGAGGGAGAGAGGTGTGTGCCCTGGGGAACAGGGTCCACCTGTCTGAGACCAGAGTGCCAGAGAGCACAGTGCCCTTGGTGCTAATCACTGAGGCACAGTTTCCCCTCAGCTCCATGGAAGGTCCTGGCTGTCAAGACTCAGCACCCCTTCCTCTTTTGTGGCGGAGCTGAAAAGGGGCTGGGGGAGAAGCAGTGATGCCTGGAGAGAGCAAATGAAAGGGCTCCTCCTCTGCAGCTTTCTAGGAGATCCTGTGACTTAGCCGGTATCACACAGCTACTGCCTTGTGGTGGGAGGCCCCCATTCTGTGTGCACCACAGCACAGCCAAGGGCTACAACAGCGGGCTGTGCAAGGAGCCTTGGAGTAAAACAAAGGAGCTGTTGGTTCAGCTAGAAATGGGAGACAGGTGGAGCCCCATGAAGGGGTCCCCGAAATGAGAATGCAGGAAAAGCATTTCTGGAGGAGGACCCCAGGATAAAGGCAGGGCATGTGGAGCATGCTCCTCCCACAGCACGTCTACCAGGTGCGGAAGCCCTCAGTGTCCTTGTCTCTAGTGTAGTGTCTGGGACCCAAGCCTGCAGGGAGACCCAGGAGACAAGCTGGGACCTGGGTGTTGCAGCAAGGAGTTTCCACTCTATTCCATAGGTGGCTGAAGGGGAGCATAGGCTTACAGGGAGCAAGGCCACATTGTCTCATGGGTGATCGGGCAGTGCAGAGGATGGGAGAGGCTGCAGGTGTGCGAGGGGACAAGGAAGAGGCCAGAGCTAGGGCCGTGGCAGTCAGGATAGAAATGGTTGGCCACAGTGAAGAGTCCTTTAGAGGACTGGCCAGGTGAGGTTACCAATTAGATGGCAAATAGAAAGAGGGGAAGAAAGAAGGAAGCTGGGGATTATAGCTTGGGGTCCTTGGATGAGAGCTCATTAAGACAAGAATCAGAAGGAAGGAAGCAGAACTGGGCAGAGGAAGAGAACATGGGGAAGCGTGTTTAGAACCATCCAACACCTGCAGAAAGAGACTGTATATCATCAATTTAGCACACATTTTCACTCAGATTTTAACATATCTGAAATTGTAATGCATCTTGCAACTGATGTTTCCAGAAAGCCATGTATCATAGTTTAGTTGGCAGCATTTTCTCCTTCCTAGTGGTGTGTCAAAAACATGTTTTCACAATTGATGGCAACTTAGATTGTATGAGATGATCTTGCTGAGTTGGCTTTGAGAGGTGTGGAAGCCTAGAACTCAGCTCTCTCCTGCTTTGTGGCACTTAGGTGACTTTGAGCACAAGTTCCTTCCTGGGACTCCGTGTCCTTGTCTCTAATGTAGGGCTAGTCACTGGTGCAGTAGCATTTGCTCAAAGGAGCTGTCCTGGGCTCCCTAACTAAGCTCAGAAGATTTGGAGTTGAAGCTGTTTTAGGATTAAACCATTTTACTGTCTTTCTTCCCCTACCAGCTGTATGCATTGTCTGATCCCTTAAAAAGCCACCTAGCACCCCAAATCCATCAACTGATACATCTTTTTTTTAAAGCGTGTATCCATGCGATGGAGTAGTATTCAGCCATAAAAAGGAGCAAAGTACTGATTCATGCTACAGCAGGATGAACTTTGAAAACATGCCAAGTGAAAGAGGCCAGTCACAAAGGACCACATGTTATATGATTCCATTTCTATGAAATGTCTATAAAAAGCAAATCTATGGAGACAGAAAGTACATTAGTAGATCAGTAGTTGACAGGGGCTGGGAGGTGGAGAGGAGATGGCTAAGTGGCAGGGTATTTTTTAGGGTATGAGGATGTTCTAAAATTGATTGTGGTGAGAATTGTTAATTCCGTGAATGCACTAAAAGCTGTCGAATTTTATACTTTAAATGAATCCATGGTACGGTGTGTGAATTATATCTCAATAAACTGCTTTGTTTTAGAAGCCACTGTTTTAGAGTGCTTCCCTTTCTCCCCAGCTGGCAAATAAGTCCTGTAAAATTTGAGGTCTGTGTCTGCTCCACGGAGCTGGAGCATAGGAGAGGGAGCCCGGAGCCCAGGGCTGGAACTGAAGACCTCAGTGTGGAGCACTGGCCAGGTGACAGGAGAAGGCTCCCAGAAAGGCCGCCCCATGTCTCCCGATGATCCCTCCCATCCTCCCCACTCCGTATCTCCCTCTCCATTAGGGGAGAGGGAGTGGGCTGCAACAGAGGGCCAGTAGCAGAATGTTACAGAGGGGGAAGAAATGGGTTTGAGGCCTTTCTGGTCCAGAAGCTCTGTTTTGGGTGTTTTGGGGCGGGGTGCTCTGGGCATATCAAGGCATGAGAGTAAAGATTTGCAACTGTGGGCTCTGAATCCCGATGGTCTGATTTTGAATCTTGGGTATCCGTCTCCTGTGTGAGCTTGGTTCACTTACTCAGGCTCTCTGTGCCTCAGCCTTCCCATCTGTAAAGAGGAGATGGGAATCCTGTCTTCCTCCAAGGTTTTTATGAATGGGGCCCAGACTGGGGTGAGAGTGAGGGCTGAGGATGCAAAATATAAGGAGAAACTCCCCTCACTGCATGCACAATGTGAGCATCTCCTTACATTTCATTCAAGATTGGTTGAAAGAGCTTTGCAGGGTGCCTGGCAAATCGAGAGCTCTCACCTGCAGGGCTGGCCCAGAGGGATGTGGGGGCTGGGTGGATAGGTGCTGGCCACAAAGGCCACTCTCGCTGGCCTGCCTTCTCTTCTCATGGCCATGTCCCACTTCTTTCCTTCTTTTCCTTTCCAACTGAAGCTCTATAATGTTGTATCAACACCCTCTCCTCCCCTACACACAGCCTTTCCTTCCTCTCCTTCCACTTTCTCCCCCTTTTCAGGATTTAACGTTCTCTGAGATATTTACACATTTGAAACTACTCAAAAAGGAAGGGGGGATATTAAATTGAGAGCCAAAAATGCCATGGAGAGAGAAGCAAACGCTCCCACAATTAACAGCCTTGGGAATAACAGCTTTGCCAGCAGCTCTCCCGCCCTCCTGAGCCTGCAGCTCTGCGGGGCTGCCTTTGCTTGCTGTTGTGAAGAACAAAAAGGGGAAGAATTATGTCTCTTTCCTCCACTCTCCTCTTTTCTTCCCTCATCCTTCCTTGACACTGACAGCATAATTTACCTGTGTTTCAGCTTTGGGTTCATTCATTTTTTTTTTTCAATAAGCACCTTGCATTCGTGATTTTATTTTCCTTTCCCAATTGTCTTTCAAGGTTGAAATTATCCCCACTTCACAGGTAAGAAAACTGAGGTTTAGAGATAAATACGACATGATTCTTGACTCCAGGGAATCCAAACATTAGTAGTGAAGGTGAACACACCAGTACCCCCTGAGGATGGAGGGGGAGGACATTCACCCAGCGTGTCCCTGAAGGCTATCTTATAACCAGCTCTCTATCAGCATCTCTGGGGGAAATAAAGCCCCAAGAGATTGTAAAAGATTTATCTTTGGTCACCACACTGGTGAAAGGTGTAGTTGGAGTCGGATTTAGTTCTGGTGAGGTTTCCTGGCAGGTGGTTCCTTCTCTACTGGGAATATTGTCTGGGCTTTGGACAAGGCATTGCCATGACTACTCCAAGCATCCGAGAGGAGTAACATGGTCCCCCACTCCTGGCACTCACTGACGGCGGGAGTACAGAGTAGGCTTCATCTTTTGCTATGCCCACTCACTCATGAATCCTATGCTGGGAACAGCACCTCCCTCTTCTTTTGGAAAAATCCTTTCCCTTACTCAGCCCCTGGTCTTTGAGTGAACTTGACTCCACTCCGAGCATAAGAGGTGCATATACGACCAGATTTAGCCATACAAAGCACCCTATCACCTAGCCCCATGATTGGCTCAGGATGGGCATATGACCCCCCCAGAGTGAGAGAAATGCAATTTTGTAATCTTTTCTGAGACAAGGCTGTGAGAGCCTTCTCAGCACAACACAAGGAAACTCCAACTGAGATTGGCGTCGCCATAGAGGAAGGCAGCACCAGGAATAGAGGCTGCATGCTGCAGGCATTCTCTGACACCTGGAGATGTCCCTTGTAGGAGGAACCAGGAAGCTCCCTCTCCACGTATGCTGGGGCAGTGAGTGCCTATCCTGTGAAACCCAGAGTCCTGGCAAGAGGGATTAGGGCACAGATGTCAGCCCTAGGCAGGACAGATGGAGGATGTGGGAGCTGGGGGAGGAAGAGGAGAGTCATCCAGGATGGGAAGACTGGGGAATGGCCCGTGGAGGAGGCAGCATCCAGGTGGATCTTGAAGGGAGAAGGATCATGCCAGGTGCAAAGCCAGAGGAATCTTAAAAAGTAAGCCTGGTTCCCGTAATGTGGACCCTTTGTGCTTTCCTGCCTCAGCTCACCCCTCTTCAACCCCAGCTCACCCCTCTTCACCCCCAGCTCACCCCTCTTCACCCCCAGCTCACCCCTCTTCACCCCCAGCCCATGAGACCCCAGCCTTGCCAGGATGTGTCCATGAAAGCCATTGTACAGGCTGTTCTCTGCTCTTGAGTGACCCTCGTCTGGCTCCTTAGGACCTGAGCCCAAACCCATTTCCAGGGCCGGCATATTCATTAAGCGCCAGAGGCACCATGCCCTAAAAATATCATGGGCCTATAAAGTGTTTCAATTTCAGTTTATCTTAAAAAGAAAAATGTCGATAGGACCATAATGAATATATAATAAAGAATACAGCCAGAAATATACTCGTCTTTATCACCAACATACCAATATAGCCATAAAATAACTTGTTAATTTGTTTAAGAAAGGAAGAGGCCCATGGAAGCAAAAGTGCTTACCACTCATTAAAATCGCGACGTGGTCCTGCCCATGTCCCTTGGGGAGGCCTTTCCTGATGCCCCAGACTTCAGAGGACTTCTACATCCTTCTTTGGACATTTATTATTTGTTTTTATAAAATTAATTTCCTTTACTTTATAAAAGGAAGAAAGGAATTTCCTTTGATTTTTATAATTACTTGTTATCTCCCGCCAGACTACACACTCCATGAATGTATGTTTCACGAACACCTGGTACACTGGCGAAGAATGGATGAACAATCGAATGAATGAATAAATGCATTAGTTTAATTAACTTTCGTTTTGGAAACTATGTTCCTTCTTCTGCAGCTTTGTATTCTTCAAGCTTCAAGACTTCCCTCAGCCTCTGGCCTGGGGGGATCACAGTTTCTCCTCTAGTCCCTAGATAAGAACTGACCTGTTAGGTAAAGTCAGCCGCACAGGACTCTCTATGCAAAGAGACTCTGTGTCAGTTTCAATTATCTTTCTCTCATTCTATCTTCATATCACTGAGGCATGAGGGATAAGGGAGTAAGTTTAGGCAGATTTATCTATATTTGGGAATAGCATTGGCACAGGTTTCACCCTAGCTCACTTATTGAAAATGACATCATTAAGGTTTATCACTTGGAAATTTGCCTAACCTCAGAGTTATTTTTCCTGATGTGCATTTGTAAAGTCCTTGTAACTTTGGCTGGTTTGTTGATCCATTCATTTATTTAATTAATATTTATTAGCACCTATTCCATGGATGCAGTAGGCTTTATCCAAGATAAGAAGATGAAGAGTGCTGACTGGAACAGAGGGAGGTGCTTACAAATGTCCCTTTCTCTTCTCCCACCGACCTCATCTTACCACCCACAGAGAATTTCTGCTGACACCTTCTTTCCCATATCACCTGCATCTTCATATTGTCTTCCTGAACTGCTCTGAGAATTCAAAAATTTTCTCCCTCCATTAAGCAGAGTAATTCACTTCTCTCTAGCTCCTGCTTCATCTAACAGAATCCATTTCACTTCACTCCACCTCTTGCTTCATTTAACAGGATCCATTCATTCTTTTCCTTTTTTTGTTTGCTTTTCATGTTCCTTTGAGAGAAGTTGTAATTATAGAAAAATATTTTGTTACAGAATTATTTGTAGTCTCAGAACTTCATTTTAACATCCCCTTTATGGGTTTTGTTTCCCAAGAGAAATACTATAGGAAGGAGAAATTTCTCAGTGACATCTGTGTACATCCTGGGAACCCAAAACCAACAGACCAGGGTAATTATCCAAGGAAAGAGGTTCCTCCTTTCTAAAAGTTTTGGGCCATTAGGTTAGGGAAAATGTTGGGAAGGAAGACTATAGCCATTCACAATAAATACAACTGAGTGGCTTCCATAACTGAATGGTTCAGTGGCTTCAGGAGAGGTGTGATCCAGCTGCTCTAACAATGTAAATGGAATCTGACATTTCTGCTTCCTCAGAATGGTTGCAGTCCCCATAGGCTCATGGTGGCAAGATGCCCACCAGTGATATCCTGGGTCACATGCTTCCTTATTCAAATCTAGTACGTAAAAAGAAAATCTGCCTTATTAGTCAATGTGAACCAAAAAAGTTGAGTCCTATTGGCTCTGATTGGCCTGAGTTGGGTTGTGTGCTCATTTTGAATCCATCACTGTGGCCAGGCTAAAACCAATAAGGACTCAATTGTGGAGTCAATCCCCCTTAAATTTCAACAGTCAGGAAATTCAGGTGCACCTGGTAAGGGGGAACTGAAGAAACATTCAATTTACAGATATCTACTGAAGGTCTCTTCCAGTAGCAAATTCTGAGGTCATCTCATGGGAAAGCCACATCAGAAAGTGGATGTTGAAAGGTACGTAGGATTTCAGGGGGCAAGAAATGGAGGATTGGGAGGGTGAAGAGGTTTGGGAATGAATTCCAAGTGGAGGGAAGTATGTAGCCAAAGACACAGAGGGGGGAAAGCAGCAACTGCCTAATCATTCTTAACAGCCCATTATGCTATCTGACATACATAGGTCCCAGCATGCTGATCTCCTGGAGCAACCGACCTTCCTTGATAGGCTTGGAGGATGCTGTGTATTTTGTTTCCTCCCAGTTTGTGTGTGCGTTTGTTTTTCTTTGTTTATCCCAGTGTGATGTGTGGAAGGACCAAGGACCGGGCCTCAGGGGCAGCCTCCACCACTTATTATCTCTAAGGCCTTGGACTAGTAACATTTCCTCCCCCAACCCATTTTCTTTTTTTATTAATTTAATTTTTTTATTTCAATCGCTTTTGGGGTACAAAAGTCTTTTGGTTACATGAATGAATTATATTCTAGCGATTTCTGAAATTTTAGTGCACCTGTCACCTGAGCAGTGTACGTTGTACCCAATATGTAGGTTCTTACTCCTCACGCCCCTCTCGCCCTCCCCCTTTTGAGTTTCCAAAGTCCATTATACACTCTGTGTGCATTTGTGTCCTCATAGCTTAGCTCCCATTTATAAGTGAGAACATATGGTATTTAGTTTTCTATTCCTGAGTTACTTCACTTAGAATAATGGCCTCCAGCTCTATCCAAGTTGCTGCAAGACATTATTTCATTCTTTTTAATGGCTGAGTAGTATTCCACCTTGTATGTATACCACATTTTCCACGCTATGGGTCAACGGACACTTGGGCCCTAACCCATTTTCTCATCTGTAAAAGAGAATACTAATCCTACCTCACAGAGTTGGTGAGTGTTCCACGAGATAATATCTGCAAAATGCCCAGCACATGGCCCAGCTCACAGGGGTGGTACTGGGAAGAGCAGTGAGCTACTGTAAGAAAGAGGGAAAATCATTCACAGTCTGAAGGAACACAGAAGTCTATTCTTGCCCCAGAAGAGTGCTGAAATGACAGAGCAGCTCTGGTCTACATGGTAATCCAGGGGCCAGGTTGCTGGCATTCTGGGGTGGTTGGCTGAGTGGCTGGAGCTGAGGCATGGAGCAAGCATCCCAAGATCCTAAGGCCCCAAAGAGAAGCATCAGCGGATGCTGGGAACAGAGATTTGTTGGGCCGTTGGGCAGCTGTGGACCCAGTTTCAACCCCACTACTCTGGAAGAAGAGAATAAATTTTGGTGGATACTAATATAGGTCCTCGGTATAGGTTTTCAATAAACAGTTCTTGCTATTTTCAAGATGTCCTTCACCAAGTCAAATCAGTAGAGAATTTCAAGAGGCAGCAGAAAGACTAAAAATATTCTTTCTTTAGTTAAGTGAAAATGTAGGGTTGATGTCATTGGCTAAGTTCAGCCGTTGACATTTTCTTTCCTGAACTGATGGCGCCATAAGTTCTTGTTAGCTTTTGTTTGGCAATCATACCCCATCAACTTTCTGAAAGAATGTTTGAAAATTAGAAATCTCAACAATAGATCCTTTGAAAGAAATCACAGGACTCAACTCTTAGATAAGAGTGCCTGGCAAGATAATTTACAACCCAGGATAAACCACCAGAGTTTATTCACCAAGGAGCTGACACAATGTGGAGGAAGGCATGGGCTTTGGCATCTGCCAGAATTTGGTTTGAAGAAGGAGCCAGCGTGCTTTCTGCAAGACTTCCTCTGTAGGAAACCATCAGCATTGATGGGGGGTGTCCATTCCCTAGGGGTCTCCTCTTCTCTGCAGGATCCACATCCAGAAATGATACTGAGTGGGAGTTTCAGAAATCTCCCTGCACCTGGCAAGATTCCCTAAACCCTACCGGTGCTGATAGCCACCATATAATATACCTTGGGGCCATCAGGGACTAATGTTATTACGGCCTTAAGCCTTGATAATGTTAGGACTTCTGTGGCCCTTGCCAGTGGAGGCTGTTCTCTCTCACACCCCACACACCGCTGTGCCTAGAGGCAGATAGGCATTCTCTAGGTTCCTCATGACTGTGTATCCTCCTCCCCAGCAATACCCTTGCTTTCCTTTCATGTCACTGGGACACAGCACCAATACCCCCTCCCAACGTGGCCCCATCTACAGGCAGTCCCCGGCTTATAATGGTTCCACTTATGATTTTTTGGCTTTACAATGGTGCAAAGGTGATACGCATTCAATAAAAACCATACTTCGAGTGCCCCTACAACAATTTTGTTTTTTATATTTAGTAGAGTATTCAATAAATTACACGAGATATCCAACATGTTATTATAAGATAGGTTTTATGCGGGATGATTTTGCCCAACTGGAGCCTAATGTAAGTGTTCTGAGCAGTTTAAGGTAGGCTAGGATTAGGTAGATTAAATGCATTTCTGACTTACAGTGTTTTCAATTTACGATCACTTCCATCCACATTTCATTGACTGGAACTGGTCCAGCATCCCTGCCCCTCTGCAGGAGGTTGAGAAATGCCATGTTCTGTGCACCTGGAAGGGGAGGAGAGCCAGTCATTGGTGAACATGAGCAATGGCCACCACACGCTCAGGAATGCAGATCAGCTGGAACGCAGAAAGGAATGCCGGCTGCCAGCAGAGCTCTCAATGAGCAGGTGCATCTCACTGTTCTCCGCTCCTCCCCCATCAGCCCCATTGCTTCCACATCGAAGAATACCAAGCTCAGACCCAGGTGGGGGAAAAAAAACAGCTTTCCTTTATCTTCAGATGTCACAGTTCTAATTATGCTCCTGTCTTCCCCTGCCAAGGGCATGAGCAGAAAATCAGAATTATCTAAAGAATGCAAAAAGAAATTTAGCCTTCAGACTAAATGTGTAACATTCCTGGCTTCCCACTTCAACAGGGCAGATATGGTTAAAAAAGATGAATTCTTGCTTTATGATGGAAAGTTCAAAATGAGTGAATTCACAAAAGAGCTGTTGGCAAAAGCTCCGGGTTTGGAATTAGAAAGATATGAGAGAGTGCCAGCTCCCCCCCCGTCACAGCATAGTCTCTATGAGATGAGTTTACCTCCCAGAGTCTTGTCTTTCCCATCTGTGATATTAGGCAGCAACACCTGCCCTGCAGGGTTTTGTGAGGATTGGAGATGACATGTGCACCTGCCTGGCCCCTGCTCTGGCCCCCGTTCTGCACTCCCTAGGGAGTGTCACTGTCCCCTCCTTCCTGTTCTAAGAGTATAAACCTATGAGATTGTGTTGATGACCAACTAGACACAGAGAGGACACATTAGACATAGCGGGACAATAGGCTGAAGTGCTTAGATGGTTTTTGTCCTTGCATTTCCTCATAGCCCTTGTCCCCTCACTCACCCAAACAGCCAGGGTGAGTAGGTTGTACTTAGTACCTCCAAGAAGGAAAGCTAAGCAAGCCCTTTCAGTTTTAAAAGCTGAGGCCCCCAGGGGAGCTTGCAAAATTCTACACAATACAATAAATTTAGGAGAATGAATAGATACAGAGGAACTAGGCCTGGCATGGCTCATGCCCATAATCTCAGCATTTGAGAGGCCGAAGTGGAAGGATCGCTTGAGTTCAAGACCAGCCTGAGCAACATAGCAAGATCCCATCACTACAAAAAAATAAAAATAAAGAATTAGCTGGTCATGGTGGCCCTCCTGTAGTTCCAGCTACTCGAGAGGCTGAGGCAGGAGGATTACTTGAGCCCAGGAGTTCGAGACTGCAGTGAGCTATGATTGTGCCACTGTACTCCATCTAGCCTGAGTGACAGAGCAAGACCCTGTCAAAAAAAAAAAAATAAAAAAGAACCAGATCCCCACCACCAAAACAAGATCAAGAGACCCCTGCGTATGAAAGTTGGGGCAGGAGAGAGGAGAGTTTCATGGCAGAGGGTCCCTCAGGAGGCTCTTGTGCCCTGTCCTTCTTGGGAGGCTCTCTAATCCCAGGGTGGGGAAGACGATGGAAACCCCAGGCCTAAAAGCAGAGGGCACCATAACTGTTTTTCCGGGTAGAGCCTTGGGAGGTAACAACATCCAGAAGAGGGGATCCATGCAGTATGACACAACAGACAGCCCAAGAAGGCCCCAGGGGTCTGCCTGGGAGTAGCTCAAAGATGCATAAACGGCCTTTAATCAGGAACCTTAAATTATGTCGTCTGTAGTCTGCTCTCTGCTGCCTATTCAAACTCCCTGATAGTTTCCCTACTTTTACCATAAATTAGGTTGCAAAGCACACCCTACTTTCCCCAGATTCGTGGCAGGGCCCAAAGAAGGCCTTGTGGGGAGGATATATCCTGTCTTCAGAAGGGCTGGGGAGAGGTCCACTCCTTTTAAAGCAGCTGCGATGAAGGTAATAGTATCCAGTCCTGAATTGTCATGCCAGGCTGCAGGCATCATCGGCCATGCTGCGTGTCCACTGTGTGAGTCCTGCAGTGGGTGGCGTCTCTCCTGGCTGTGTTGTTCTTGGAGTGAGACATTTAAATTCTGTCCTCAGGCCTTCCCAGATATTCTGTGCAACTTCCAGCCTTCTAATAAATCTTCTTCTGCTTAAACTACTGGAGTAGATTCTGTCATCTGCAACTAATCATGCTGGCTGACACAGTGACTTAGCAGTAACACATGTGCCCAACGGTGGAAAGGAGGAGATCTCAGCAAGTGCCCCTATAGGACAACAGTGAGGAACAGATGCCCATCTCATCATCCACCTCATCCGGCACATTGGCACTATGAACTCTCTGGAAGTTACATACAACTTCGATGCAAGGAAGGGACACTGAATAATCACTGTGATTACCTTTCCACCACTTAGCAGAGTGGTAAGTTAAAGTAGGCATTAGATAATGATATAATATTAAAGAAAGTCACACTTAATGCTTAATTTAATGACCTGAGGTTTATACGCAAAAGACATGCTTGTGTTCACAAAGAATACGCAAAGCAAAAGTTTTATAAATCTTTTACTCACACCGTTAAGGTGACTTCTGTCAAAAAAGAGAAAACAAGTGGCAGCAAAGATGTGGAGAAATTGGAACCCTTGTTCACTGTTGATGGGAATGTAAATAATACACGATTCCACTTGTGTGAGGTACCCAGAACAGTCAAATCAGAGACAGAAAATAGAATGGTGGTTACCAGTGTCTGAGGGAAAGGGGGAAAGGGAAGTTATTGTTTCCTGGGCACAGACTATCAGTTTGTGAAGATAAAAAGTTCTGGAGGTAGGGAGTCCATGTGAATATACTTAACATCACTGAACTACAAACTTAAAAATGGTTTCGAAGTCCTCAACAAACTAGGCATAAAGGAAAATACCTCAAAATAATAAGAGCCATCTATGACAAACCCACAGCCAACACCAAACTGAACAGACAAAAGCTGGAACCATTCCCCTTTAGAACTGGAATAAGTCAAGGATGCCCTCTCTCACCACTGCTATTCAACATAGTCTTGGAAATCTTGCCAGAGCAAACAGGCAAGACAAAAAAATAAGGGACATCCAGATAGGAAGAGAGTGATTCAAACTATCCCTGTCTTTAGATTACATGATTCTATATCTAGATAACCCCATAGTCTTGGCCCAAAAGTTCCTTAAGCTGATAAACAACTTCAGCAAGGTTTTAGGATAGAAAATCACTAGCATTCCTATACACCAACAACAGCCAAGCTGAGAGCCAAATTAGGAACACAATCCCATTCAAAATTGTCACAAAAAGAATAAAATACCTAAGAATACAGCTAACCAGGGAGGCGAAAGATTTCTGTAATAAGAATTATAAAACATTGCTCAAAGAAATAAGAGATGACACAAACAAATGGAATCACACTCCATGCTCATGGACAGAAAGAATCAGTATTACTAAAATGGCCACACTGCCCAAAGCAATTTACAGATTCAATGTTATTCCTATCAAAGCACCAATGACATTCTTCATAAAACTAGAAAAAACTATTTTAAAATTCATATGGAACCAAAAAAGAACCCGAATCGCCAATGCAATCCTAAGCAAAAAGAACAAGGTAGGAGGCATCACACTACCCGACTTCAAACTATACTACAGGGCTACAGTAACCAAAACAGCATGGTACTGGTACAGAAACAAACACATAGACCAATGGAACAGAATAGAGACCTCAGAAATAAGGCTGCACACCTGCAAATGATCTTCAACAAACTTGTCAAAACAAACAATAAGAAAAGGACTCTATATTCAATAAATGGTGCTGGGATAACTGGGTAGTGATAAGCAGAAGCTTGAAACTGGAGCTCTTCCTTACATCATATATAAAAATCAACTCAAGATAGATTAAAGACTTAAATGTAAAACCCAAAACTGTAAAAACCCTGGAAGACAACCTAGGCAATACTCCTCTGGACATAAGAAATGGCAAAGATTTCATGATTAAGATGCTAAAAGCAATTGCAATGAAAGCAAAGATTGACAAATGGGATCATATTAAACCAAAGAGCTCTGGCACAGCAAAAGAAACTATCAACAGAGTAAACAGACAACCTATAGAATGGGAGAAAATATTTGCAAACTATGCATCTGACAAAGGTCTAATATCTGGCATCTATAAGGAATTTAAACATATTTACAAAAAAAAAGCCCCATTAAAAAGTGGGCAAAGGACATGAATAGACACTTTTCAAAAGAAGACATCCATGCAGCCAACAAGCGTATGGAAAAAAAAGCTCAATATTACTGCTCATTAGAGAAATGCAAATCAAAACCACAATGAGATACCATCCCACACCACTCAGAATGGCTATTATTAAAAAGTCAAAAAATAACAGATGTTGGCAAGGTTGTGGAGAAAAGGGAGCACTTATACACTATTGGTGGGAGTGTAAATTAATTCAACCGTTGTGGAAAGCACTATGGTGATTCCTCAAAGAGGCAAAAACAGAACTACCATTTGACCTAGTAATATTGCTGGGGATACACCCAAAATAAATTATTCTATCATAAAGACACATGCACACATATGTTCATTGCAGCACTATTCACAATAGCAAAGACATGAAATTAACCTAAATGCCCATCAATGCAAGACTGGATAAAGAAAATATGGTACATATACACCATGGAATACCATGCAGCCGTAAAAAAGAACAAGATTATGTCTTTTGCAGGAACATGGGTGGAGCTAGAGCTCTTAGCATACTAATGCAGGAACAGAAAACCAAGTATCACATGTTCTCACTTACAAGTGGTAGCTAAATGATGGGAACACATGGATACAAAGAGGGGAACAACACACACTGGGACCTGGAGGAGGGAGAGGAGCAGAGAAAAAAACTATTGGGTACTAGGCTTAGTACCTAGGTGGCAAAATAATCTGTACCTCAAACCTCTGTGACATGCATTTACCTGTATAACAAACCTGCACATGTACCTCTGAACCGAAAATAAAAATTTAAATAAATAAATAGTAAAAACCAAACAAAAAAAGCACACACACGCTGGGCGCGGTGGCTCACGCCTGTAATCCCAGCACTTTGGGGGGCCGAGGCGGGTGGATCACGAGGTCAGGAGATCGAGACCGTCCTGGCTAACATGGTGAAACCCCGTCTCTACTAAATATACAAAAAATTAGCCGGGCATGGTGGCGGGCACCTGTAGTCCCAGCTACTCAGGAGGCTGAGGCAGGAGAATGGTGTGAAGCCAGGGGGCAGAGCTTGCACTGAGCCGAGATCGCGCCACTGCACTCCAGCCTGGTGACAGAGCGAGACTCTGTCTCAACACACACACACACACACACACACACACACACACACACACAGACAAAAAACCAAAAGATGCTGGTGAGACTGCAGAGGAAAGGGAATGCTTATACACTGTGGGTTGGAAGGTAAATTAGTTCAACCACTGTGGAAAGCAGTTTGGAGATTTCTCAGAGAGGTTAAAACATAGCTACCATTCAACCCAGCAATCCCATTACTGGGTATATACCCAAAGGAAAATAAATCATTCTATCAAAAGACTCCTGTTCATGCACTCATGCTCATTGCTGCACTATTCACAATAGCAAAGACATGGAATCAAACTACGTGCCCATCAATGGTGGACCGGATAAATAAAATGTGGTCCATATATACCATGGAATACTACGCAGCCTTAAAAAAGAAGGAAATCATGTCCTTTGCAGCAACATGGATGCAGCTGGAGGCTATAATTATAAGCAAATTAATGCAGGAACAGAAAACCAAATACTGCCTGTTCTCACTTATAAGTGGGAGCTAAACATTCAGCACCCATGGACATAACACAGGAACAGTAGACACTGAGGACTCTAGAGGCGGGAGGGAGGAAGGGAGCATGGGTCAACAGTACCTATTGAGTCCTGTGTTCACAAGCTGGTGCAATATATCCACGTAACAAACTTGCATATGCACCCCCTCTATCTAAAATGAAGGTTGAAAAAAGAAAATAAAACCTAAATAAAGATAACAAGAAACAATATCACATTAAAATGGAGACATTCTTTGAAAGAGCAGTCCTACCTGTTCAAACATTAACTTATGAAATATGTATATTGTGTCTTCAAGAAAATACAGTATTTTTTCCAACAACAACTAAAATGATTTAAAAGGAAAATTTTACGTTAACGTGTATTTTATCACGATGAAAATATTTTTTACACCTAATTTCTAAACCTTTCATGGAGACAAGCTAGCTAGAGTCCCAGCATGATAGCCCAGGCAGGGGCTGAAGAGATCACCCCATTCCCATTTCCAGAAGGGAAACCTGGCCTGTCCAAGGGGACAGATACTTTGTTCAGACCTGGGCCATTTTCACTCCTGCCCTTGCACTGTGACAAGGTGCCCAGGTGGCAGTCAGGCGGTCCCCATCCTTAGATGCTCCGTCCTTCCTTGCCAGGCTCTGCTCTGGCCCCCGGCTGCCGGATAATTGATGATGACTCAGACCAAGCCAGAAATGGCAGCAGCAGGCCCCAGACACTAATTAGATCCTAGCACTCCCAAAAGGATGTGCTCGAGCCTGGTCCTTAGGATGGTCACTGGCGAAGACATGACGTCATGCCAATAACAGAGCGACCCTCTCTGGAGCTTGGATCCAGGCTAGAGCCTTTACAAACCCTACCCCCTTGGGTCTCTCCAGTCCTGTGAAGTAGATGTTATTATAAAAGGTATTTAGCAAACAAAGAAACTGACACTTAGAAACGTGGAGCAACTCAGCCAAAGCCTGATGGTTGGCATAGGGCAGGGCTGGGACGTTGTGCTGGGGCAGAATGGTCCTGGGCCCAGTGCCACCCCTGACACTCAGTAGGTGCCTGGTATATGTTTGTAGTAGTGAACTCGATATTTTTTGTCCATGATAGGCTTGAGAGAAATATTGCCATTTCTTAGCCCACCTCCAGATAATAGAATTCAGGGACAATTGTAGTAAGTACGGCAGCTAGCTACAGGTAAATCACTGATTTCTTTAGAAAGACTGGTTTACTATCTTCATAGATCAGTTTATGGTTTCCCCTTCCAAGCTGTTCTTCTAGGAACCACTTTCCAAGGAAGCAGCAGCATTAGGAAAAAAACTGTGATCTCATGTATGGGCATTGCCCTCATTTGCAGAGAATGAATATATTCATCTGATTACCTTCCTCAAAGCAAATGATAGAATATTAGTCAGAGCATCCTTAGAGATCATTGCATCCACTCTCTTCCTCATTGCACAGATGAGAAAACTAAAGCTCAGAAAGGCTAATAAGCCTTCATTTGATGGCAGAAGTAAGTGGGAGCCCAGGCATCCAGCGTTCACTCTGCTGCGTGGCCTTGGCTGTGGATGTGTGAGACACTGAGCAAATCTCTCAGGTGATTGAAGCAAATTCCTTCTCAGGATCTGAACTGAGATCCTTTGGGTCCACCATGGAGTGGGTGGGGGCTACCTCTCATGCTTAAAGCCTTAAACTGCGGGCATGAGCCAGGCTCTTGCAGTCTTCTGTGAGGAAGGGGTCAATATCCCCCTTCTGCAGATGAGAAAACAGCCTCCACAGGTGAAGCACCTTGCCCAGGGCGCTGTCCACTCAGTGGCGGTATTGGTTTCCTAGGGCTGTCAGACAAAGAACAACAGAAATTTACTGTCTCGCTGTTCTGAGGCCAGATGTCCATGATCAAGATGTCATTGGGTTGGTTCCTTTTCAAGGTCGTGAAGAAAAATGTGTTCCTGGCGTCTCGCCTTGGCTTGTGGCTGGCTATCTTTTCTGGGTCTTCTCATGGTCTTTCCTCTGTCTGTCTCTGTGTCCAGATTTTCCTTCTATATAAGGACTCAGTCCTATTGGACAAGGGCCCACTTTCTTTAGCTCAGTTACCTTCTTTAAGACCCTATCTCCAAATATAGTTCCATTCTGAGGTGTGGGGGTTAGGACCCCAACATATGAGTTTTGGGGAACATGATTCAGCCCATAACAGTGGAGGAGCTGAGATTGGAGGGCAGGTGTGTGAACTGTGAATGTCTGGGCTCTCCCCTCCACAGCCTCTACCTGCCTGGCAAAGTCTAGGCCAGTTGCTGGTTTTCAGGGAATCCACTGATGAGTTGTGAACAGAACCCAGTGGCTTTCCCCAGAACCATCCAGATGGCAGAGGTACTCCATCTCTAGCTGCAGCTTCTCCAGAGTATCACCATCAAATAATAGAGAAATTCACAGAATAAGAAGCTTCAATAACTCTGAGACAGGTGAAGACGTCCTAAACCTTAGAACTTACAGTAACAGACAGGAAAATTAAAGCTGGTTGGGAAAGCTATTGTTCAACTACCAAATTGACAAAAATCAAAAAGTTAGATAGTGCCCTGTGTTGATAAGACTACAGGGAAACAGTCACACTCATCTATTGCTGGTGGGGGTGTAAGATGCAACGCACTCTAGGGAACCCTTGCGGTTATACCTCCCGCAGTCACAAACGCACAGCCCGGATGTGTCCAGAAATTACACTTCTGAGTATTTATCTCACAGCTCTACTGTCAGGCTCATGCAAATTGATGTGGGTATGGAGTTCTAGTTTATTTTATTTTATCTTTATTTTATTCTTATTTATTTATTTATTTTTGAGACAGGGTCTCACTGTGTCGCCCAGGCTGGGGTGCAGTGGTGCAATCTCAGCTCACTGTAACCTCCACTTCCCAGGTTCAAGCGGTTCTCCTGCCTCAGCTGGGACTACAGGCACGCACCACCATGCCTGGCTAATTTTTGGATTTTTAGTAAAGACGGGGCTTCACCGTGTTGGCCAGGGTGGTCTCAAACTCCTGGCCTCAAGTGATCTGCCTGCCTCGGCCTCCCAAAGTGCTGGAATTATAGGCGTGAGCCACCATGCCCTGCCTTTTTTTTTTTTTTTTTCAGAGTTTTGTATTACAGTATAATGATATCAAAAGATTAAAAACCTAAGTGCCCATTAATAGGAGACTGCTTAAATAAATTGTGTTAAGAGCCATACAATGGAATACAATTCTTAAAAAGAATAAAATAATTATTTATAAACCGATATGAACAAAGAAGTGGAAAAGAAAACCACAATGTGGAACAGAGTACAAAACATGCTGTCATTTGTGTATAAACATGATAAATATTTATATGCTTACAAACATGGAGTACCTAAGGATGGTCCCACAAATAAACTGGTAATAGTCCTTACCTTCTGAGAAGAAAACTGGATGGCTAGGGAGCAGGTGAGCGCAGGGAATGGGGCAAGAAAGGCATATTTTAAAGTCTGTTCTATATGCAGAAATTGCCTATTTAAAGTATATACAATTACAAAGAAAATTCTTGCCAGCAGGCTATAGATGCATTTTGTACTTTATTACTCCAGGCAAGACTTGAGCCTTTTAACACTTGCTCAAATGATTTCAATTAACTTTTATTCTCATTTAATGAATTCGAATTAAACCAATGCCAGCATGGAAGGAAGCTAATGACAGAGAAGCCACACAGATCAAATGTCACTTCCTGGCTTTCCAGGTCTCTGACTTCTCCCTGCACTAGGCAGAATTAACCCTTTCCTCTCCTGCATTCCCACCACAACTTGGGCCTGTTGTAACTCAAGCCGTAGTGAGTGCCAGGCATCCATTCTGGGAGGAGGGATGAGCCTGGGAGGGAGTGTGGCTCAGCAGTCAGGCTTTGGTGTTGACAGAGGCAGCTTTGAATCCTGGTCTGGCCATGCACATGCTGTGTGCCCCTGGCAGCTGGACCAACCTCTCTATGGCTCTGTTTCCCCTCTGTAACATGGTGGGAAATATTGCTTGCCTGGTGTGGTTGTTGTCGGGTGGGTTCGATGAACTGGGGCAGTGAGGAGCGCAGCACAATGCCTTCACCATCCCAGCACTTCATCAGCACCATTTCTGCTCAAGGGCTCCACATTCATGAGCGCCTACAGTGTGCAAAGCACTGAGGAGGATCCTGGGAGACACCAGGGAATAAGGCGAGTCCCAGCGCTCAGGGAGCACGCGTTCCAGTCTCATGGTGGTTCTGATTGCCATCATGCTTTCAGATGTGCATCATAGCCTCTAACACATAGAAAGGGCTGGACAAAGGACGAGGCCCTGGTCTGGCAGTGCATGCAACTCTGGTTCAGGTTTCTAGCACCTGCTCTAGACCAGCACAGGATCCCACTCAGAAAGGCCTGCTCAGCACGGCAGTGATGAGCATGTGGGACACCTCCTCTCGGGGCTGGAAAATGACAATGTAGATGAGACCCCAGCTAGCTCCCCTTCACACCCCCAGTAGGGCAGTGGGAACAGGAGGCCTCAAGGTCATGGGCCTGTTGTGGCAGCTTCTTGCAAAAAGATTGGCAGCCTATCCCCATCCCACCTGAGAAGCCTGAGGAGCCCCGGGTTCGGAGCACTCTGGAAGGCCCTATGTCATCCACAGTTGGGGCTGTAATGTAGGTGGCTCCTCTCAGAGAGCATCAGGGCACCTGCTCTGGTGGGACTGCTGGGACACCACATCCCTGAGGCCAAAAGGAAAAGAGCTGGCTGGGTCGATGGGGACACAGGGATGCTCTGCTTGGTCATTTGGGGGTTCTTGGCCATTTTAGGAAATCTCAGATGTCTATAATTCTATAATTAAGAGTTCCCTCCCATACCCTAAAATGCCTCCAAGCCAGAACTGAGATGCTGAGGTCACCTGGGGGCTCAGTGGGCTCCCAAGGCAAGCGGGTGAGGTTTGCCGCAGAGCAAACCTGTGTGCCCGCCTCCGAAATCCTCCATGTGGGGGTGACGGGGTGCTAGCAGCACAGCTGGCTGGTCCATATTCACAGATGTTGGACAAAGTAATGTGAGCTTTAATATTAATGTAGCTTTTCATTTATGTGTGAGAAAAAGAAAAGCGGCCAGGTTGAAGATCAAGAAAAGGAGTCAGCATTTTCAAGTCCTGTGATTTATTCAGTGCCTTAAAAGCTTCCCTTGATTAACCCAAAGTAATGTTACTCGCATTTTAGACGCGAGAATACCAGAGCTCAGGGACACAGAGTATATTATTAATTACCATAGTCCCCAGGGAGGAAGTGGAGGCTCGGTAGAGGGGCCACATGAGCTGCTGAAGGTCAGGCTTGTCCCCCAGGAGGGACATGAGGAGCCCTGTCCCTACTGTGTATTCAGACCATGCTGCAGAGCTTGCCTCGAAGTGAGAGCTGCCCCATCCTTCCTAAGCAAACCACATTCTGGCATCCAGTTGTGCCCAGAAATTCTCTTTGCCTGTTAGTCTAGGAAGATAGAGTACAGAGAAGAATAAGACACAGCCTTGGCCCTCCGATGACTGGTGGGCAGACCTGGAGCTGACTCCCACCTTGGGCACTTGCCAGCCATGCAACCCTGGGAAGATTCCTTTATCCCTTCCAGTCCATGTTTCCCTACTGACACTAGAAATAATGATTTCCTTATCCTCTTGGGTTGACGTGAGGATTAAATGAGATGGTGTACATAGAGCCCCAGAATACAGTCAGTGCTTAATAAATGGTGGCCCATCTTGTCGTTATTAAAAAGATGTGCTGTCCTGGCGAAGTCAGCCTAACAATGTCACGTTTTAGAGAGCTTCATCTGTTGCATGGGAGCAGAAATGTAGATTCTTGGTTACAAACTCCCATGGGGTAAGAAGTGCAGCCTAGGGCTGAAGGAGAGCAGGAAGGGGAAGAAATAAAATTATGCCCAGCACAAGGGGGCATAGCACAGGCTCAACATGACTTGTTTAATGCTTAATTTGGCCAATCTGTCTGGAAGTTTAGGATTTGGTGCTCACAATAACCAGTGAGGCAGGAACCATTACCTTGTCCATTTGACAGATGAAGGGGCTGAAACTTCAAGAGGTGGAGTCACTCAGCCATCAGCAGCCTCTTTGGTCAGTAACTCACTCACTCATTTAATTAACAAATGCTTAATGAGACCTCCTATGTGCAAGGCTCCAAGCTAAAGACAAGTGTACCAAGTGCTCTTACGACACTATGGCCTAGTGAGAGAGACAGACGGGTATCGAATCATCACACAGACACGTGCGTGGCTGCAATCCACGATAAGCACGGTGAAAGAAAAGTCCACGAAGCCGGGGCAAGGGCTCTGGTGGGGAGAAATTTTCAAGGTCAAGGGGACTTTGGCAGGCACGAGAGTCCTGTCTGCTCCAGGACAAATATTCTGGTTTCCAAGATGGACAGTGTGGCCTTTGTCCATAGACAGATGGAGTACGGAGGAAGCATAAACAAGCTTCCGTGCAGCCTCCCAGCTTGCCACATATTCTGGGGAACAAAGAAGAGGCTCCCCAGCCAAAGAGGTGCATCTCTCACTCTGCAGACAGTGCGCGGTCTCCACAGCAGCCTTAGGACCCTTAGGGGATCGGGCCCTTCCTTGCTGATTTGGAGGTCCAACCAGCAGAAGGTGTGTGTCCAGCTTCCTTGGGCTGTGAGTGAGAGGTGCCATCAGGCCTCCCTCTTGGGGGCCACCCAGAGAATATTTTCTCTTATTTAGAGAGGTTAGGTGGTTGCTGGAGCACAAATAAGCTTCCACTATCACAACAACACACACTCAAAAGCTAGTTCAGGTGCCTGCATCCAAACTGCTGTGCTACCAATTCCAGCTGCCTCCACCCCTTGAGGTCTCAGGGCTTCAACTGCATTAGGGATAGCCTGGCAATTGCAGAAAGTGTCACTGTAAGGTGGCACTTGGCTGGGGAGTGGGAGCATTGGGTCCCAAAGTGGGATGATGTCCCTTGGATCCCTTACCAAGAAACCCTGAGTGGGAGACAGCCTGGCGATTGCAGACAGAGAGGAAGTCATTTGGTAGGGGGTTATGGGGCAGGGGGTGCTTGTGGCACGGGTCGCGGGTGGGAGAAGACAGCTGAGGATTCTGACCTTTATCCTAAGCTGCTAGGGAGATGGAAGGGTTTTCATGGAAGTCACATGATCTGGTGTCTGCCTGGAAAAGAAGTCTCCGGCTGCTCTGGGAAGAATTGCCAGGTGAGGGTTGTGGAGGAGGGAGATGCAGAGTGTGGGTGCAGGAATAGGATACTAGGAGGATGACATGAAGGGATCCAGGAGCTAGGGAGGAAGAAATCACAGCTGTAAGCTCCAGGGTTCACCCTGCCCCTCTTTCTCATAAGCAGGCAGTGGGGAGCCACATTTTCTGATAGCGTCCAAATATCCAGCAATTTATCTTAATTAGAGAAAGTAGAGCTGAGGGTTTTGTTTGAACGCTGAGAGCTGACAATACGTGATAATGACCATGAATGGATTATGAAACTCAAGTGTCTACGAGATGAAAGATGCAGGAAGCAGGCAAGGGAATCGCTTTGTTGGGGTCACCAAGAAGGGGCAAAAGAGGTGTGCACCTTAGTCTGTGTGTGGTAAATCTCAATAAGCAGCAGTAGCAGTAGTTATAACATTCTGGTTTTCTAATCAGAATGTATCCCCCTTCCCTTTATGTTATTGAGTGGCCATCCTCCTTTCACACGATTTAATTTGAAACATCCCTTAACTGCAGGGTAGATCCTCACAAAAGAACAGGGAATAAATGTATTCAGATCTTAGCTTTCAAATTTCCAAATCCTAGATCCGATTGCAAAGGTACAAAAGATAAAGATGCATTGTCACAGCCAATTTTCCCCTTCCTGAAGTTGCTGTATCAAGGAGGATACAGGGAAGGAGGGAAAGGAGAAAGGACAAAAGAGGTGACAAGAAGGATAGCAAAGCGGAGGCTCAGAGAGAGCCCAGGACAAGAAGCCAGACCCAGGGGCACTGGCCTTGGAGGCCACCCTCTTCCACCCGCATGAGTGGTGCCTTCACCTGGACCTGGTGTGGCCCCCTGGACAGTCCAGTTTCTATAACAGGGGGTGCTGTTTATCAGCAGTGCCAAGGAGTGGGGGGGGGCCAGCTGTGCTTGCTGTGGGTGAAACAGGAGCACCCATCCCTGCCAGCTCACATGGCATCCATCAACATCGCACCAGCCCCAGCACTGCTTAGCTCCCATCTGACTTACCTGGGCAGACCACCACCCCCTCAACCTCCTTGGACCCTCATGAGCACCTCTCCCACTTCTTGCAGGAACTGAAAGACGGCAGGGAGGCTGTGGGAGAGACCAAAAGGCCCTCCATCAACAGGCAGGTGGGACTGAGCAGAACCAGCCCGAGGTCTCCCCTTCACTGGTCATTTTACATCCAGTTTTCTGATATGTTGGGTTTGGGAGATTTTGTTTTGTTTTCATAAGAAAGTCAAAGTACAGATATCGATCTGAGACGTGCTTTTCCCAAGTTCATGATACACTGTAGAAATATTTCCTTGTCAGAACACATAGGACTACCTTGTACTTTTGAACAGCAGCAAAATAATCCATAACTTGGACACCCCAAAATTTTTAGTCACCGTCTATTGGTGAACATTACATTTTTTTCCATTCCTTGCCATTATAAGACAAAGATTCGGTGAATATCTTTGCATGGTCCTGTGTGTGTGTGTGTGTGCGTGTGTGTGTTTGTGTGTGTGCGTGTGTGTGTGTGTTTGTGTGTGTGTGTGTGTGTGTGTGTGTGTGCACGTGTATATGTGGTTTTGGAGTATGAAATTCTTAAATCAAATTTGGATAGCTTCTGATATTTTGCTTTATAAAAAATATGTTATTGTCATGCCCATTCTGTAAATGATTTCACCTCAACTTAGAAGGGAAGGGACCGGTCAAGATCACCTGACTGGTGGAGTGGTAGAGACAGGCTCTGAACCCAGGTCTGCCAGCCCTCAAGACGGGTTGTGGGTGCACAGTGGCCTGGAGTGGAAGAAGCCTCCGTTGCATGGCAACAAGGGGGCTGTGATGAGTTTGGAGGAGCCAGGCACGCCGTGTGCTAAGCTGGGTGTGTCTTGGTCCCTAACAGCTCAGCCCTGTCTCAGTCCCACATCCTAGAGCCCCCCACCAGCTTCCTGAGAGCAGCCTCTGTCCCCCAGAGGCAGGAACTGCCAAATCAACCCATCAGTCTGGAGTCAAGGTTACCAAAGAAAACAAATTTGCAGCCTGACGGCAGATGTCTGAGACTTTCTCCTTCAAGCCCCATTACAGACCTACTGGGGATGCAGCTGCGGAGGGGGCGCGGCGGCGGCCGCAGCACTCAGCACATTCTATTACCCAGCCAAAAACACAGCCCCTATTAGTGAGGTCTGATTAATTTTTTACTCGGATTTACTCAGAGGGCCTGTTAGCAAGGAAAGAACCAAGACAGATCTTGGGGCTCTGTTCTATTTCCTCGTCTGAAGTTGGGGAGATGACTCTTTCTTTCTCAGAATATATGACTTAAGGGCAGTATTTAAAGCGAGAGGGTCAGAGATCAAGCAGAGTTCCATACAACTTGGCAGGCAGAGTCTGAGTAATTAATTAATCTCCCTTCCATTCAGCAGGCCAGGCATGTAGCCTGTACTCTGGACCATTTGTTAACTCACTGTGACCCGCACTGACTTCCCTCACGCCTACTAATTTATTGCACTGGGCGACAAGTGTCTACTTACCTTCCTTTCCTGGAATGTGAGCTCCTGAGTGTTTCTGGAGGGCAGAGACCACGCGGTATTCCTCTCCATGCCTTGCACAAGGTCAAATGCAGAATAGGTGTGCCTCAAATGTTTGATGGATGGATGCTGGTTTCATTCTTTCATTTGATAAATATTCTACAACTACAGTGCACTGTGCTCTGCTCTAGACTCAGGGTTTGTCTGATTTGGTGGCCAATG
The DNA here is from genome assembly GCF_000001405.40 of Homo sapiens. Classification (NCBI taxonomy): domain Eukaryota; kingdom Metazoa; phylum Chordata; class Mammalia; order Primates; family Hominidae; genus Homo; species Homo sapiens. The sequence continues at coordinate 174,189,530 of NC_000005.10, read as the reverse complement.
AACAAGTAAGCAAACAAAGACATTTGATGGTTCAAGCAAAGAGTCCTGGATGGAAGTTGGAGATTTGGGGTTTCCTCTTGGCCAAGTCCCTTTCTAGCCCAGTCCCAGCTCCCCTCTCTCATATGAAGATCCTTCAACCAGCTTTGAGGAAGAGCTGAAAACCTTTACCAGAGTAGGTTGCCCTTGAAGGAGACACAAGTGTTGCTCGCCAAGCACCAGATGTTAGACAAAAGTGATCAGTCTGGGGGAAATTAACTGTTTGTGCTGTTCACAGACGGAAGAGCAGATGCATTCATGGGTAAGCCCGTCACCACTGGCAGGCAGATGACAGAGGCTGGGACCAAGGCACATGGGCCAGGAGGGAGCTGTGGACCTGGACTCAGCCAGCCCTGAGCTCAACGCCTCGTTCTGCCACTTCCTAGCTCTGACCCCTCTTGGAAGCTATGAACCTCTCTGACCATGTCTCACCTCCTACAACTCTTATGAATATTAAAGGAACCAAAGTTGAGACGGTGTCATAGCACAATTGTTAGTTCCCACATTCTGGAGCCCAGTCACTTGGGCTCGAGTCTCTGTAACATTTCTGGACGGAGGACCTTGGAGAGATCCTTCATTGTCCGTTTTTCATATCAAAAATAAAGTAAGTTTTTCAGAAAGTATAATTAACTCTCAATAAATGGCAGTCATCAACATAATTGCCTGGCACACAGTAAGGCCTAAAATCTACCCCTTGGGGAAGTTCATTTACATAATTGACCATGGTGCGCCCAGTGCCTCATGGGAGTAAACTGGAGGGTATTGAGGCTGCTCCACTGTCTTTAGGCTTTAGAGTGTGAGATCTCAGGGTGAGGGAGGATCAGGATGGCTCTAGAGGGACTGGGAGGACCCTGGGTCTGGAATGAGGCAGGACCACCCTATTCCATAGTGGAGTGAGGGAGAGGACATCCCTCCTGAAAGGCCTGTGAGAATGGGTGTGATTTGCTATAGAGCTAGCAAGTCTTGCTTATGTTGATTCATTCAGATGTAGGAACAGAGCCCTGGGCGTGTCTCAGGGACTATGACACAGAGTGTGGCCAGGTCCCAGGAACAGCTGCCCTCATCTGTAAATGGTAACTTAAGTCTTCTTGGTGTGATGAAATTGACTTTAAAGATGATGACCACTGGTTTTTTCAAATGAGTTCAGGCCTGTTGCCAAGGACTTGCTGAGTTTGGGATTTGTTTACAAGGCTTCAAGATCAGTTTTTGTGGCCATATTTTCCAGGAAATCTCGCTGGTGCTACTTTTTGGGAGAAAGACAGTGAGTGAGTGAAGGAATGGGGGAGAAGCAAGAGGCAGATGGTGGGATTTGGACACAGACACCTGCACTATATCTGCTATAACTGTTGAAGTTTGTCTTTCTAAAAAATGGGGGAGGGGGAGAAGGGAGAGGGGAGGTCAGAGGGAGGAGGAGTGTTCTAAGTTTCCAACTTAGCAGATAATTACAGCAAAATCTGAAGGTCACTAATGCAGGGTCAGACAGAGGGCAGAGGAGATGCATCCAATCAGTTCTGTGAGGAAAGAGAGTGTGGTCAAGGAGGGCTTCCCAGAGGAGGTGAAGTGTTATTGGCATCTGAAAAGTTGAGTGTTTCTCAGACCGCTTTGGAAAGGTGTCTAGGCCTGAGGCGCAGCACCCATGAAGGTCCCGTAGTGCAGCAACCAAAGGCAGCAGCAAGCTCCTCTTGAAGGCATTTCACAGCAACCACAACCTCAGTTAGCACAGGAGATCAGATCTTTCTACCCGTTGAGCAGCTGGAGCTGGAGCCCTCAGGAAGCCCACACTGTGACAGGCCTTTCTCTTGTTTAGGATAAGTAGAGGCAACAATGGATATACGCCCAGCCTGGAAAGCCAAGTCTAGGGATGGGAAACAACTGTTTACTAGTCGCCAGGCACTGGGCCAAGACTGGCATTCATGTCCCCATTGCAGCCTCGCAACAATCTTGTTGGGTAAGGACTATCACCCTCACTTTAGAGATGGAAAAACTGAGGTTTAGAGAGAGGAAAAGTGATTTGCGCAAAGCCACATCTTGGTTATAATGTCATGGTGGTCTTCATGCGGCTCAAATTCTGGCTAAAACTGACTTGAATCCAAGTCCAAAGTCTTCCCCTAGATTTCTGCAAATTCTCTGGGAGCCCCCCTTGTCTGGCCTCTTGCCCTTCCTGGGCTCTAGCTTCCCCCATGGCATGCCCACATGCTGCTGCATGTCCCCAGACCTGAAACTGCCCCACACCACAGAGACTGCTGTGTTCCTCCCACCTCCATGCTCCGCTTCCTTCCAGGACTAGAGCCCTGCCTATGGCATCCCGCAAAGCACCAGCTAGAACACCGCAGTTCCCAGTAGCCTTTAAGCTGCACAGACCCCCTGCCATCCTGGAACCTCCAAGCCGACACCAGCAACTGCCTCCTCCAGTCTCCCACGATGTGAGGAAAACAGCCTCATGCAATCCCGCTGGGATTCACCTGTCCCAGCTGGAAAGTCCGCTCCTATTTTATGCATTTGGTGGCTTTTACTGACCACTTGTGAGGGATAAAGAGGAGTCACATCACACCCCCGAACAACCTCTTGCTGTTTTCATGTCTTCTTTCTCTCCTCCCATTTCCCACTACCTGTTTATTATCCCCTCCCTGCCCAAATTCTCAGGGATTTCTAGCATTTCTCCCTCCCTCTGTTAGAGTAATTTACCCACAGTCCTGTTCCCCAAACTTCAAACCCATCATAGTCTCAGCAGAACAAAAAGCCCCCCGCTTCATAGAATGCTCCTGATTTAAAAAGCAGCTTTGGTTCTGTGTGTGTGGCCGGGGAGTGGGGAAACCAATCAATAGCATGCCCATCTAGATCCCAGGCGGGCCTGACAACCGCAGTGTTCCCTTATAGTGATCACTGTCCCAGGTACAAAAGGGGCGTCTGTTGTCCCCATGCTATTAATGCCCAAGCGGGATTTATTTGCCTGGATTTGGCTTTCCATGGCTTCCACTGTGGAAACCACTGGTGACATTTCCTTCTGGGCACCACAGGAAGCTGTCTTCTCACCCTTCGCACTGAAAGGCCATCCACCAGCAGGAGCTCCTCCATGACAGCAGCCCTGCAGAGCTGGGGGCTCTTCATGCTTCCTTTAAAGTGCATGGGCTTGGCTCAAGTGCAGGGCAGCTGCAAATTTAACCAGGAAACCAGAGGGAGCAGGAGGAGCCGGGGGGTCCTCGGGGCAGCCTCTTTCTTCAATAATGATCCTGGATTGTGCCCCAGCCACAGTGTCGTCTCAGCAGACCCTCCTGCAGGCTCCCTGCCAGCCCTCATATCATGGTTTTAAAACTCCAAACTCCTAGTGGTTCTCTCTGCAAATACACACAACCCCAGCTTGATCTCACCCGCTTACCAGCAAACTAACCTTCTAACCTTCCAGGCATGTGTCCGCTGAAGGGAGCAGGTCTGGCTCTCTGATCCCTTCCTCCTCTCCAGGGCTTGTAGGTCTCTCAAAAATCACAGCAGCCCTCACACATCCTTGTCACCTAAACAAGAAAGGATCACCCCTAGGAGGCCAGGGTGTGGACAGTGGCTGTGTGCATCCCTTGACCCATTCTCACTGTTCGGGCCCTTCTTAGCTGGGCCCCAAGCCCAGGACAGTGGCAAGAGGGTGGGGTTTGCAAGATCCTCCTAGTTGGCCAAGCTTCCTTCATGTATGGTGTGTCTGCTCTGATAAGCCCCAGCTCCTGCCCACCCCCTGGATGCACCTGATTCCCCCCATCTCCTCTCTCTCACTCATTGTGCACTCCAACCCCCCACACACCCCACACCCTGGCCTTCTCTCTGTTCCTTGAACACCCCAAACCTGAGCTGCCACGGCTCAGACCCTGCTGTACCCACCATGTGAGGCTCTGCTCCCAAACCCTCCTTGGCTGGTTCTGTCTTGATCCTCAGCTCGAGTGTCTCCTCTGCAGAGGCTTTCTTTGACCGTCCAGCCAAAGTGGCCCCCACCCACCACCCCCACATACACCTGGCCCATCTGTCCCGGGCTACGGCTCATTTTTCCTTTCCTCACGTGGTGCTGCTCATCATCTGAACTGATTCTCTTCTGTTATTTACTTGCCCGTCTCCTGGCTGGGTGATCAGCTTCGTGAGGGCAGTACCATGCCATTTTCCCCACTGCCACATTCCCAATACCTACAATGCTGTCTGAACACAGGGAAGACGCCCAACTCATATTTGGATGAAGAAATTCCCAAGTGAACGTGTAAAAGAGTGAATGAAAAGGATCCCTCCAATGCTTTGCCACCTTTTTGTACAAACCAAAATTTATTAATGTTTGAACACTTTTATCTACCAGGCCACATTCGTTTCTCTCTTCAAGAATGTTGCACAGCTGGTGATAGCACACCCAGACATTCTGGAGGGGAATGAAAATTAGAATATCTCCTCAGAATTTATCATTTGAGGCCGGGTGTGGTGGCTCACCCCTGTAATCCTAGCACTTTGGGAGGCCGAGGCGAGAGGATCACCTAAGGTCAGGAGTTCCAGACCAGCCTGGCCAACATGGTGAAACTCCATCTCTACTAAAAAAATACATAAAATTAGCCAGGTGTGGTGCTGTGTGCCTGTGATCCCAACTGCTTGGGAGGCTGAGGCAGGAGAATCACTTGAACCTGGGAGGTTGAGGTTGCAGTGAGCCGAGATTGTGTCATTGCACTCCGGCCTGGGTGACAGCAAAACTCCATCTAGAAAAAAAAAAAGAATTTATCTTTTGAATATACATTATCTTATTATTACCTTTTTTTTACAGCAAACTTGCATGATAGCTGGTGTCCTCATCATTTTCACCGAGGAGGGAACAGAGGCTACAGAGACACTGTGTGACTTGCCTGGAGGCACACAGCCCAGGCATGGTGAACCCAGGCTCCTAGGGAAATCTGTCTGGAGATACTCTGTGCAGTGTCTCCCTCTTTAAGAACATTGATATCTGTCCTTTTTTCCTGCAAAAAGTTTATTGTTGATTATTTTCTCAGCTATTTCACATTCAGTGATGTCAAATCCCATGCTGGGTGCCTAGACTCAGGCCCTGCCCTAAGTTCACATCTTGATGAGAAAAACAGATTCCAGTGAATACCTAGTTGTTGTGATTGTTATCGTTTTCTTTTCTTTTCTTTTTTCTTTTTCTTTTGAGATGGAATCTCACTCTGTTGCCCAGGCTGGAGTGCAGTGGTGTGATCTCAGCTCACTACAACCTCCACCTCCAGGGTTCAAGCGATTCTCCTGCTTCAGCCTCCCAGGTAGCTGGGATTACAGGTGCCTGCCACCATGCCTGGCTAATTTTTTGTATTTTTAGTAGAGATGGGGTTTTGCCATGTCGGCCAGGCTGATCTTGAACTCCTGACCTCAGGTGATCCACCTGCCTTGGCCTCCCAAAGCGCTGGGATTAAAGGCGTGCACCACCGCACCCAACTGGTTGTTACTGTTTTCTGTCCAGCATCCAACTCTCCTTTCTTTGGTCACAGCCCTTGATTTTCTTCAGGGAATCCTCCCTCACCCATCCCATGCTCAGTCCGTGTGATTAAAGGGGCTGTGCACATCCACCTGCAGGGAAACACAGCCCTTGCCGGGCCTCTTCACGTCACAGTGCTGGGGTCAACGCAGGCACCTGCCCAAGCCAGGCCAGCAAGCATCAGTCCTGATATTTTTTGCAGGAACTTTTCGGGGGAAATGCTTTCTTTTTCCATGGTGTTACTTATCTGGTGGAATGTAAGTTCAAAGTTACCAGCGGCTATATTAAAATGAGCCCAACACAAAGATAAGGCAGTTTCTCATTGATCTTTTATTAGTACCTGGATCAAGATGTGTCTGAGTTTTATGAGCCTTAGACACTTGAGTTTTGTGAGCCTTAAAGTTTCTTTTTGGTTAAGACCTGCCAGAGTTGGGTTTTTTATTATTGATATTTTTTAATGCCAAATAAAATTGCATATATTTACATCAAACAACATGATGTTTTGATATATGTATACATAGATCATATGGCTGTATACATATATTATGTATATTATACACATGATATATGTGTAATATACATTGTGAAATGATTAAATCAAGCTAATTAACATATCTATCACCGCATATACTTGCTTATTTGTGGTGAGAACATTTAAGATCTACACTCTTAGCAATTTTCGAGTAGATATTATTTGTTCTTAACTACATCATCCTGCTGTAAGGGTCGGGTTTCTGACACTCGCAACTGAAAGATCCCTGGTGAATACAGGGTGTGCGGGGTCATTCCTATATCATGCTGTGGGAACACACAGCATGGCAGCTCACCATTCAGAGGCTAGAGAGGGTCTCAAAGAGGAAGGGACATTTTGAGAGGAGGGGACAAGATTATGCCTTTTTAAATTTTTATTTCTATGGGTTTTGGGGGTAACAGGTGGTAGTTTGTGCTCAAATTCTAGCTGTAGCATCTACTAGTTGTATGGCCTGAATCAAGGTGCTTGACCTCTTTGAGCTCAGCTTTCTCATCTATTAAACAGGGATGGATATGATGGTACCTTCCCAGTAGGGTCATTGAGAGGATTCAATGAGATTATGCACAAAAAGCACTTAATAAAGGCTCAGCCCTGGCAGTAAGTGAGCCCTTCATAAATGTTAACCACTGTTATCATTTCCGCAGTGTTGGGTAACTGGCCATTTTCTTATTGGAGCACTCAATGTGTAGACAAAACAAGCGGCATTTTAGAGAGGCCCAGTAATCTGTTCAAGATAGTGCTGTGAATGAGTGGCCAGCAGCACTGGAATCACCCTGCTACTCAGAAGGCACCAGCAAGCAGAAAGGGATGGCTAGGGAGAAATAGGACGGGCAATGGGCAGCTGTGAGGCTGTCACTAGAGACTGGAAGAGGAGAGGGGACCTTCTATCCCATAGGTGTGTCTGGAGGATCACGTGTTATGTGAGTTTGGAAGGTAGGCCCTGCCCTTGCAGAGCCAGTGGGCAGAACATACCAGGACACTCTCGTACAATTGTCTGCAAGCATAACTAACTGCACATTCGTTCTGCTTCCATCCGCTGTGTGGATATTTTTCTGTCTGCTCAACATTCATTCCCTACTCTTCCAGTTAAAGCACCCTGAGTTTCCTCAGGAACCAGCCCTTCCCCATCCACAGCCCATGTGGTTCCGGTGGGACTGCCCACAGCCCTCTGATTCAAGAGTGGACATTGACAGGTTTGGGTCACTGACATGCATGTGACCAGCCAATGCAGTCAGTCAGCTGGGGGCCTGTGTGCTGGAACTTTGGAAAAGCCGGCTCTCTTTTTCCATCAGGGTTGCTAAGCTATCAGGATGTGAGTAGGGACTGTGCAGAGTCCCCATATGGGAAGAGTCTAAATGAGAAACCAAAAAGCTAAAACGGAAGAAAACAATAGGGAGAGATAGAGAAAAAGGACAAGCAGGAGAAAGAAAACAATCCAGTGATGTCATTTGTGGTCCTGGATCCAGCTGAGCCTGAAGTTAGCCCTACCCCTGTGCTTTTCATTGACATGAGTCAATACATCTCCTTATTTCTGAGTCAGTTTGTGTTGGGTTGCTGTCACTTGCCACCCAAAAAGTTCTGATTGATAGACCCACTCCTCACTTTGGCTTAGCTATTGAGCAGCTTGTGATGTGTTCAGAGGTTAAGAACACTAGAGAGAAATTACTCTTTACTGAAATTACTATTTACTGAAGTGTTATGGTTTCTCAAGCCTTCACCAGGATCATCTCTAACCTCCCCACTCCAAAACCCTAGGAGCTAGAGGTTATTATCTTGGCATAACTGATGGAGGTACTGCTGCTCCAAGAAGTGATTTCCAGAGCTGGGTTGCAAATCTGAGGCTCAAAACCCATGCGTTTTCCTCCATTGATTAAAGAGGCAGATCCTGTAAAAGAAGGGTCTTTTGAGGATGGGCAGGAAAGACAAACGTATTCCTAACAAGCCAAGATGGGTTAGGAAGGGCATACTAAGCAGAGGGAACAACACTAGCCAGCGCAGTAGTGGGAACCCTGAGGATGAATTTAGAAAACAGCACATCGTCCAGATCAGATGATGTAGGGATGAGGTGGAAGAGGAGAATGGGAAGACAGGCAGCAACGCCTTGAGTGCCTCCTTGAAGCATCTGCCTGTAACTTCTGACTTTGGGGAGCTTGCTGGGTGGAGGATGGCTGGGTGGAGCAAGGCAGGAAGACCAGTGTGGAAGCTTATGCCTGGGCCCAGGAGAGAAATCATGAGACCCAGATAGGGCAGGGCAAAGAGGATGCAAGTGGAGAGATAAAGGGGAAGAAAGTACAAAACACACGCGCACACATACATCAGTATAACCTGACAACTGATAGAATTGGAGAGTGGAATCAGGAAGTTCTCAAAGTTTGGAGTTATTTACAGGACAAAGAGCAGGCCCATTTTTCAGACACTGGGAAGTCAGGCAGAGGCAGAATCAGGCAGCAGCGAGGGCGCCCTCCTGGCAGTGCTTTGAGCCTGGGGAGGAAGATGTCAGGTGGGGCTTGCTTGTCCACTGATCCCTCGGTGAGCAGCTGGAACTCAGGAAGGAGGGTCAGGGCTGTGGGGAGAATTCTGGGAGGCCAACAAAGCGAGTGTGTTTTCACATTCGTCACACATCACCCCCAGACTCCCAGAGTACAGGATGGGGAAGGAACCTGGGGTACCCTCCCCTGGGGACCAGTGGGCAAGTCAAAGGCTCCATCCCTCCCAGTAACTGGTAAAGTTCCATCCTGGTTTTGCTACGTCCCAGCTGTGTGATCTTGAACAAGAGACTTCCCCTCCCTCAGCCTCAGTTTATTCATCTGCAAAATGGGAATCAGATCCCCCACAACCGCAGGGTTGTAAGGAAGAGATGAGCACCTAGTACATTCACAGCTCTTTAAAGAGGTTTTGTTTTGTTTTGTTTTGTATTTTTCTCACCATTGTCCCTGATGAAAGAGAGAATGTTTATTCAGGGACTGAAATTCACCTGCAGACCTGGCTGGAACAGCATTTTTATGGCCTCATTCCTTTTGCCACTCCGACAGGAAAGGTGTTTTATGGTGCAAAAACGTTTTCATCGAGTTCTTTTTTTTTTTTTTTTTTTTTTGAGATGGAGTCTCGCTCTGTTGCCCAGGCCGGACTGCGGACTGCAGTGGCGCAATCTCCGCTCACTGCAAGCTCCGCTTCCCGGGTTCACGCCATTCTCCTGCCTCAGCCTCCCGAGTAGCTGGGACTACAGGCCCCCGCCACCGCGCCCGGCTAATTTTTTGTATTTTTAGTAGAGACGGGGTTTCACCTTGTTAGCCAGGATGGTCTCGATCTCCTGACCTCATGATCCACCTGCCTCGGCCTCCCAAAGTGCTGGGATTACAGGCGTGAGCCACCGCGCCCGGCCCATCGAGTTCTTTTAAATCTTCTTTGCAAGGCTCTGCACAAAATCACTTGGACCATAAACAGAACTGAACAGATGACCGAGGCGACTTCCCCTGACACCTCAGTCCTCTCCCCTGTTTTTGTACGGTGTTCATATTTGCTCTGACAGCCCACAGAGTGCTGTTCCCGGGAGCTCAAGGTCATGGATGGTCCAGGCCACAGGGGTTGCTGCTTATCTGGTTGGAAATCGTCACCAATTTGCACTAGGGTTTTTTCCTGATCAAAAGGTTGCCAGTCGATATGGCTTTGACCTCCCAAGGAGCTGCTGTATTTTGCCAGCTATGCCCATTTACGATGCCTGTTTCAAAATGCATCTATTATTGTTCTTGCAATTTAAGCCCTAAAGCAATTGTTGCAAACTCCATTTCCTACAGGTGCCTACTGGGAAAAGTGAACAGTGACGCTTGCTGGGTGCAAGATGACAGGGCATGGTAGGGCCTGTGGTAAACTGCTGGGCCTGCACCTTTTCTCATGGAGAGTGTCTCCTCGGCTCCAGCTGGTTGCTCTTCCTGCGACATGCGTAAGTGATTCTAGTGTTGCTAGGGCTTTCAAGTATTCTAGAGAAACTAGAAATAAGCAATTTTACACAAAATTCTCTGAGTTTCAGGCAGGCCAACAACATCTTCAGGCCACCCATTTTCCAAACTGGTCTCAGACAATTGTATTGTTATTTGAATAAAGAATAAGAATAGCTAGCACTAGTCTGATAATCCTCAGATTACAAAACACTTCCCTCGCTGACAATTTGGCTTTTAATTTTACTAAACGTCTGCTCTGGGCCAAGCCCAGTGCTGGGGCTGGGGGTGCAGAGACAAATCACACACATCACTGCCCCCAGGGAGCTCATGTCCCACCAAGAGAGCCGCAGAGCCACTCCCACCAGTGGTATCATCAGGATCTCTCTTCCTCCTAGGCAGGGTCCCAGGTGGGAACACAGAGTAGTCATCCTTGTTTCCCTGCCTCAGTTTCCTCATCTGTACATTGGGGACAATGTTATCTGCCTCAGTTTCCTCATCTGTGCATTGGGGACAATGTCATCTCATTGGCAGGGTTGTTGTGAGGACTAAATAAGGCACTGTATGTAAAGTACCAACTCAGAGTAGCATACAAATATCAGCCTTTACTAAGGAGCTCTCTTCATTTTTACTGAAAATAGAATGAGTTATTCAGAATGCCTGCATCTAACTCCCATGTTCTGAAACCTAAGGCTCATGACCCAAGGAAGGAGACAAGCATTTGTATAGAGGATAGAATCAGAGTCCTGGATCCAAATTCTGGCTCTACTATTCACTGTGGCCCTGGACAAGTCCCTTCACCTCTCTGACCCTCAGTTTCTTTTTCTATAAAATAGGAATGAAATCTACCTCCTAGAACAAGCATGAAATGAGGTCACACGTAGATCTAGCTCTTAGTAAACGCACAATAAATATTTCCTCGTATCCCAGGTCCCAGGGGAGAATACCTTAATCCCCAGACTTCATCAATAGTTCAACCCCACCTTCTTGATTCTCAGATCTTGCTGGAGCTCAGCTTGCACCATCAGGGAAGGAGGTTTATATCAGCAAAAAGGCTCCCAGGTCAGGATTTAGAAGGGTGCAAATGAAACTGACTTCCTCTAAGCCACTGCGGTGGAGCGGGGAAACACCTTCAGCCCTGGCAGAAAGTCAAGAAGTAGAAACCAGCCTGGGTGCGTCCTGCATGCCATTGTCACTGAGATGCCAAAGGCCCATGAGAAACATTGATTGGCACCTGTTGGGACAGGGTTTTATTTGTTTAGAAGCCAGGAAGCTTGATTTCATCTCTGCATATGGTAGGAAAGGGTAGAAATTTGACTTGGAGCAGGGAGTTTTAAGCACTACTGATGCCTGGGTCCAGCCCCAGAGATCCTGCTGTGGTCCATCTGGGTGCAGATGGCACATGAGGGTTTTTTAACTCTAATGCACAGCCTGGTGAGTCTCCCGTGCAGTCAGGGCTGCGAACCACTAGAGAGGAGAGATGAGCGAGACCTCAGTTTCTCATCCTCTAACTATTCCTAATGTTAAATTTCATTGATGCCAAGATGCAATTTTCTTTTCACATTTTAGCATCTCTGAAATAAGAATGTCTTTAGAATCATGATGATAAGACAGGACTGCATTATAATTTAGTTGACAGTGTTCTTCCTGTCTTAGCGGAATATGAAATAATGGTGTGTCTCATAATCAGTGATGTATTTGTTCTTCTACTCAGGCAGGAAAAGCAGTGTTCCCAAACCTGAACGCGTGTCAGAATCACCTTGAGGGCTCTTAGAATGCAGATCGCTGGGCTCCGCCCCCAGAATTTCTGATTCAGCAAGTTTGGGCTGGGTCCCAAGAATTGGTGTTTCTGGTAAGTTCCCCAGGGCTGCCAAGCGGCTGGTTGGAGCCCTCACTTTGAGAAGCACTGGTTGATGAGCAGACCTGGGTAGAGAAAAGGTGGCAGTTGACACAACTTTTGAGGGATGGGGCTGTGCTAAGCACTGGACACTTTATCCTCACAGTAAGTCCATGAAACTGGTGCCACGGTTCTCCCATTTTTCAGAAGAGTAAACTAAGTCAGTGAGGGGCTAGGACAGCTAACACGCGGCAGAGGAGGAGTGCCAGGAAAGAAATAAACAGTCTGGTTGCCAGAAGGTCTGGCAAGGCCAATTGAGACAGGGTGATCAAGAAAGGCTTCTCTGAAGAGGTGGCATGTCAGTTGAAAATTGAAATAAGTGTGTGAATGAACTCGCAATGAGAGAAGACTATCTTTTTACCATTTATGTGTGCTGAATACCGTGCTAAGTTAAACTAATGCTTACAACAGCCTTTGAAGTAATTACTTTTATTATGTCTATTTTCTACATAAGGGAATTGAGGCTTGCTATAGACTGAATGTTTGTGTTTCTCCCAAATTTGTATGTTGAAATCCTAACCCCCAAAGTGAGGGTATTCAGAGATGGACTTCCGGGAGGTGATTAGGTCACAAGGGTGGAGCCCTCATGAATGGGGTTAGTGCCTTTTTGAAAAGAGGCTCCAGAGAGCCCCTTTGCCCCTTCCACCACGTGAGGATGCAATGAGAAGACCGCCATCCATGAGCCAGAAAGCAGGCCCTCAACAGACACTGACTCTTCTGGCCCCTTGACCTTGGACTTCTCAGCCTCCAGAACTGTGAGAAATATCTGTGGTATAAGCCACCCAGTCTGTGGTATTCAGTTATAGCAGCCTGAACCAACTAAGACATGGCATAAAGAGGTGAAGCAACCACCCCACTAGAAAGTCAAGGGGCCAGGATACAAAGCCAGGAGGTCTGATGCAATAGTGCCTGCCTTCAGCCACTGCATTTTACAAACTCCCAGGCAGTAGAAGACGGGAGTGGTCACGGGAGGCACTGCACTGTGGGGATGGTGTTGGCTCTGGCGTCAGCCAGATCTGGGGCTGAATCCCTGGCGTGGGACCTTGAACAAGCCACTGTGCTTCTCTGATGTTCCGATTCCTTGCAGAAAGGAACAGCAACTCTGTGCACTGTTTTAAAGACTTAGTCAGTTGATATGTAGTTAGTCCAGTTTCTGGCACATATGGAGCACTCAGAAAGTGGCAGTCATTGTCACTATTGCTTTGTGTTGTGATGGCTTCCACTGTAGCCTTTCAGCCAGAAACTGGAAGGCCTCCAGGGTCGTCAGAATTGCCCATCTGATATAAATCCAGGTTTCCCCACCAGGATATCAGCCTCCAGCAATTTCACTAACACTCACTCCATCTTTCACAACCTTAGAGGAATATCAAACCGATCCATCCTCTACCAATGGCTTCCTGTCCCTCAGCCATGAAGTCTTTCCTTCCTTGTGACTCTGTTTGAGTGATGGGGAGTGGATGAGGGGCTGGGCTGTTCCATGTGGGAAAAGGAAACTGAACGCGTCTCTGTTCTCGTCTTCCTTAAACCGAAACTTTCTCTGCTCAATTGGGAATTGCCTTACTGAGGAAAACACACATTTTCTTTTCATCCTGTAGCTGTTTATTTTTGGCTTTGGTCAGAGTTGGCAGAATTGCCGTAGGTTTCCAGCCAGAATCACAAGGCAGTTATCACACATGAACACACACACCCGGCTTTGTTTCTAAATCGTTTCAGCCACTCTGCTTATACATTCCACATCCTCTAACTTCGCACCACCTGCCCTCTTCTTACCCACAAGGAAACCCAAATCCAGTTCCGTTCGACAGATATTCACTAAATGAGTGAGTTTCCAGACCCAGGCCTGGAGCTGCTGCAGGGAGACTCAGGGACAGTTCCAGATGAGTCCCTGCACCTGAGAAACGCAGTCTCGTGCAGGTCACACCTGGTCACTCTGCTTTCAACCTTCCATGGTGTGATGGAGACAGCTAGCTGCTCATCAAACGTGTCCTCCTCCTCCAGGCACACAGCTGAGACATATCCCCAGCCTCCTTCACAATTAGGCATGACCCTGTGTTATAGGATTACATTCTGGGCCACAAAAATTTATATGTTGAAGTCTTAACCCTCAGGACTTCAGAATGTGACTTAAGTGGAAATAGAGTCTTTGTAGATGTAATTAGCTAAAATGAGGTCAAACTGGAGGAGAGTGGGCCCCTGAACCAATATGACTGGTATCCTTATAAAAAGGGGAAGCTTTTTATACACCCAGAGAATGCCATGTGAATATGAAGGCAGAGATGGGGTGATGTTTCTCCAAGCCAAACCACGCCTAAGATCACTGGCAAACCACCTGACACTGGGGGAGAGGCATGGGACAGATTCTACCCCAGCACCCTCACGAGGAACCAATCTTGCCAACACCCTGATCCTGAACTCTCTAGCCTCCAGAACCATGAGACAATAAATTTCTGTTGTTTAAGACATCCAGTTTAGGTGACGTGGAAGCCATATGTTGAAGAGGCCATGGCCTCCATCAGCCTGGGTCTCTGCGTGACTGCATGGAGCAGAGCCACCCACCCCCAATACCAACTGGATTCAAATAACAGACATGGACTTCTATTCAGTAAGCCACTGAGACCTGGGGATTTTTCTGACAATCCTGTTTAAAGTGGCCAGCCCTTATTTCCTTTCATAGCATTTATCACAATTTATAATAATGTTTTTGATTCGGTTACCTACTTATTTTCTGCCTCTGCCACTAAGTAGTAAGTTTTACAAAGTTGGGGGGCACTCCTATTTGTTAACTGCTGCTAGGCCAGTGCACAGCAAATGGCCTAATGCCTAGAAAGGCCTCCTTCCATATTTCTGGATGGGATATTCCTTCTGGTTCGAGAAATGGTCAGGGAAGCAGGCAATGGCTACTCACTGTGACATAAAATGACCAGGTTGTGAGCTTGGGGACCACTGTCTTTGAGGGGAAGAAAAGAAGAGCAGAAAACCTCAGCAAGGAAATGATCCCCAATCAGAGTTTGAGAAGAGAAACTGGAGTTTCAGTGGGGCAGAGCAAGCGTGGGAAGGCGTGTGGATAACATCGCACGGATAAGATCGCATTCCAGCAAAGGACGTGTCTCAGACAGGGGCAGGAAGGAGTGGAGGACCCTGTGTGTTCTGAGAACAGTAGGGCAGATTATGTGGCCATGTTCAGGGAGAGGTAATACCAAGAAATGCAGCTGGAGAAAGTTGGAGAAGCTGGACCTCGAGCGTCCTGAAAGCTCAGATGAATTTTCACTTAATCCACCAACTGTTGAACCTTTGAGCTCACACCTCATAGAAAGAAACACATTGTACATCACAATCCAGCGCACACCCATTCGTGTCTTAATAGAAGAGAAACAGCAGTCTCAATAAATGGCACAGGCTCCTATCATTAGAAAACAACCAGTTTGGCATTTTCTATTCTAATCCACACTCCATATTTTTAAATGCTGATCTTCACTAAGTGGATTTCACTATAACTATGGGTTATCACCCAGAATTGGAAAAATCACTGCTGCTGGCCATGGAACTGAGTGCTAAAGCTTTAAAGGACTGAAGAGTCCTTTGGGTGGACTCTGAGCCAGGGAGGAAGCCAAAGAGACCATGGACTGAGGGCAGTGGGGCCAGCCCAAGGGAGGCGAGCCTGGCACAGTGCAGTGGTTACGGAAGGCAGATCCCAGAGTGACATCCTGTGAGCAGGGGTAGGCCCGGGGATTGGCAGGAACTCAAGTGCGGCAAATAGCTGTCTCTTTCTAAGGGTTTGGCTGAGCAATGTGAGGGAGTCCTAGGCCAGGCTGCAGGTAACTGTGTGCCCTCCTGGGGGAACTTGCTGATGGACGCTTGGCCGGCATCTTTGGAAAAGAGGGTTTGCTGAGGTGACGGGTAGGACCAGAGGTGTAGAAGGGAGGTGTGTGAGCACATCAGCCTCAGGGGTGGCCAGTGTCTCAGCACTACCCTCAAGAGGACTGGCAAACCCTCAACACAAAGAAGGGCTGTGTGTGTGTGTGTGTGTGTGTGTCTGTGCACACGTGTGCACGTATGTATCTGTGCATGTATGCGTTATGTGTGTGGGTGTGTAAATGTGTGAGTATGCATGTGACAGTGTAAGTGCATGTGTGTACATGTGAGTGTGTGTGTCTGCATAGGGATGACACATATGATGGCGGCACTCCCTCCCACCACAGGTGTGACATCTTCAGGAAAATATGCCCTCCCTTAATTACCCCTCAGGTGGTGGCCTGGCCCCAGAGCACAGTGGGAGGCTTTGGAGTCAGACAGAATCATGAGATCAACCCCTGAGCTTGCTCTTTACTCACATGTGACGAGCCAAGTTACTTCTTTCTGAGCCTCAGTTTCCATATCTGCAAAGTGAGTGTAGCAATGCCTTCACTGCAAGGTGGTTTTGTGAGGCCCTTCACAGTAAGGTATGGAGGCTTCCTGGCACCTGGCTGGCTTCCTGGAGGCCATTTCAGAAGGAAGAAGGTTCTGAACTTGACTTAATTCCCACTGGGGCCGCTTGAGATGATCTGCCTCCTTCTAAGCCTCTCTCACTTGTGGACACTGCTGTGGTAGCCATTCACTGCCCTACAGGTCTTTCCTCAGTCTCCCCTGTGACTCTCTTTCTACCCTGGCTACTGACAGATTTTTGAATGACAGAACTAGGAACTAAAGTTCACCTCTGCTCTTCCAAACATAGCCCCTCTGAGCCTTCACATCTGCATCTGTGCAGTGGGCACAAGACTCATCACGCCTCCCTTGGCAGGGTTGTTGTGAGAAGCTGGAGAATTAACACACTTGGAAGGGCATGGTCATCTGCAAAGAAGCTCGAGTAGTGACAGGATAATGGGGAACTGCATGGATGTTGGTGACTCAGGCAAGATGCTGGCAAACTCCCTGCAAAGAATTGGGCACCCAGGACAGCTGGGACAGCTCAGGACATCGGGTGTGGATGCAGGCTGCCAGTAGCTATAGAGAGAGTTCTCTCTTTCCTTCACTCCTTCCTGCTCCTCTCCCATCTCTTGCCCATATTTGGATTTGGACGTGATTCAAAAAAAGGGGAAGAGAGATTGCCCCAAAGAGGGCCCTAGATGCTCCCAGACAATAGCCCTGTAGACTATGCACCTCATGGCTTCCTATCACCTCCTCTGCCTCCAGACAGGGCCCATGGTAACACCTAAAGCAGGGTCTCCACCATCCCCACACCCTAATCTTTGCAGCCAGCTCTGCTCCCTGAGCAACGGGGAATAAATACACAGCCTTCAAGGGTTAGAATTCTCTTGGATTCTTGCTGGCACCCAGTTTCCATGGCAACCTGAAACTCTCCTTCGCCATCTTCAGGAATGTCATTAGGCTGCGAGGGGGAGGCTGCAAACAAAGCCACGATGTGTCAGGCTGCAGCAGATGCTGAGGAGGGCAGCACTGGGGGGCAGAAGCCCTTTTCGTGGCAGGTATTTTTTTTTTTCTTTAAAATAAAATACATAAACCATTCCATTACATCAAACCAACTAAAGCTTCTGTTTTTCTAAGGAAAAAAGCAACAAAACTAATAACATGTGCCTCAATGCCAGTTAAGGGATTGGAAAATATATGCTCATGTTTCAACATAGACACGATAATAACAATAACGATCCTGCTTGCTTTGTCACATTAAACCCTCCCAACCACCTATTCTATGGATGAGAAAACTGAGTTTATGAGACGCAAAGCAACCTGTCTAAGGTCACAGATCAATGTGCAGGGCATAGGGATTTGCAGTCTCTTTCTAACACTGAGTTTCATCCTCAGAGCCTGCTCAGCACTATGGTACACTCACCAGCATGGCGCTTACAGGAGACGGTGGCCATGTCATAAGCACCTGATTCAGGACCCAGGTGGGGAGAAGGGAAGGGGTGCTGGATGCCTTGTTCACTTTCCATCCTCAGGCTGTGGTGCTGATGCAAACCTTCAGCCTGTGCCACTTCCCTTGTGAGGTCTTTCCTCTCCACCTCCATGCAGATGTAAGAGCACCCTCCTCTCAGCCTTTAAAATATTTAGACTTATAGCACTTACCTCATTTACTGAAATTATTTACTAACATATTTGTCCTCCACTAGACTGGGAATGCTCTGAGGGCAGAGACTGCATCTGGTTCACTACTGTGATTCAAGCATGTAGCAGGTGCTCGGGAATTTGTGAATGGTTGACTGGCACATGCACCCACACACATGCAGATGGACAGTGAGAAAAAGAAAGCATGCAAATGTGAGCAAAAGTTGTTTAAAGCTAAGCCAATGAGAGATGGTACTGGGATGAGTTATTTTTCTATTTGAAAATCTCTTTGGAGTTTTTGGAACACGATTTGCATGATATAAACAAGTCTGATCTGTTGTTGCACCAGTGACCAGGCTCATAGCATGGCTATCTAGGCATGCTCAAGGACTGGAGGCATCTTGTCTTATCTTGTTAAGCACCATTAACATCTCTGGATAGTCTACCCACTTAGAGAAAAATCTATGGCCTTAAATGCATTTATTAGAAAACCACAGAGGTTGACAAGAAGGGGCCTTAGCATGCATCTTTTTAAAAAAAGGCAGAAAGAACAAAATAACCCACTGTCTAAAGCAGGGGTCCCCAACGCTGGGTCCACTAGGAACGAGGCCGCAGAGCAGGAAGTGAGTGGCAGGTGAACAAGCGTTACAGCCTGATCTCTACCTCTTGTGAGATCAGCAGCAGTATTAGATTCTTATAGGGGTGCAAACCCTATTATGAACTGTGCTTGTGAGGGATCCAGGTTGCACACTCCTTACCAGAATCTAATGCTTGATGATCTGAGGTGAAACAGTTTCATCCCAAAACCATTCTTCCCCCCACTCCCCACCCTATCTATGGAAAAATTGTCTTCCATGAAACTGGTCCCTGGTGCCAAAAAGGTTGGGGACCACTGCTCTAAAGGAAGCAATTTAAAAGGATGAAAGCAGAAATTAATAAAATAGAACACAAGCAAAACAAAGTCAGTAGATTTGATCAATACAACCAATGATGATTCTCTAAAAAGATTAATATAATAAACAAATTTCTGGCAATTCTTATAAAAAAAAACCCAGAAAGACCATATTAAAAAGTAGCTTAGAAATGACAGAAGGAAAGGAACCCTTACAGATAAAGGTGATATTAGAAATATATGTAAGAATGCTTGGTACAACTTACTGTCAATAAATGTGAGCATCTAGATAAAATGAATTATTTCTTAGGAAAATATAAATTATTAAAATAATTTCAAGAAGAGTTAGAAAACCTAAATAGATTAATAAACATAGAAGAAATTAGAAAGTTAGCCAAAGATCTACTCCTTAAAAAGGAAGTAAACTAAGATAATTTATGGCAAGTCTTACCAAATTTTCAAAAAAACTTGTAATTTATGATACATAAACTGAACATCAAATAAGGTGAAATCATTTCTCCTTCATCTCTGAGAAAAACTCTTGACATCAAAACTGGAAAAGGAAATAGTAGGCTATATTCACCAAGAAACATAGATATAACATGACCAATCAAATATTAGCAAATTAAACCTAGCAATATATTAAAATAATAATGCCAAGGATATTTTACTATGTAATACTTTTAAAATATTAATATTAACACAAATGTTAATATTAATACAAATTCCTAACATACTAGCTTAGAAAATACCCAAATTAATAAAAATATTAATATTAATATTAATACTATTATATTAATAAAAATATTAATATTTTTATTAATTTGAGTATTAATATTATATATTAATTATATAGTTAATATATAATAAATTAATACTAATACCATTAATATTAATATTAATACAATTAATATCAATATTAATACAATTGATATCGATATTAATACAATTAATATTAATACAAATATTAATATTAATACAAATAATACAAATATTAATATTAATACAAATATTAATATTAATACAAATATTAATACAATTAATATTAACACAAATATTAATACAAATAATATTAATATTAATACAAATTGCCAGCTTAATAGATTAGAGAAGAAAATACCCAAAAACACTTGGTCAAATTAAACACCTAAATAAAAACCATAACCTAGTAGTTAATGCTTAACAAACATCAGATGTACTGGTGAAATATAGAAGCATTCTCTCTTAGGACTTGAACAAGTAATGATGCTTTCTGTATCATTCTTGCTATACAACATTGTTATCAGTATCTCAGCCAATGCAATAAAGCAAGAAAAAATAAAAGTAATAAAACTTCAAACATGGAAAATTGTCATTATTTGTAGGCAATAGTATTATCTCCCCAGAAAATCAGCTAACAAAATAACAAGACTAATAAGAGAAATCAGTAAACAGGGAGTAGATACATGCACAACATTCAAAAATCAGTAGTTTCTATTACTACATAATAATCAATTAGAAAATCAAATTAAATTTTCCATTCATAATAAAAATAAAGAAACATACATATAGTATCTAGGAATAAACCTAATAAGAACTATGCAAGAAGAAAATTATTAAGCCTTATGAAACAAATGTCACAACCATTTTAAAAACCTTAAATAATGAAGATTCATGGCATAATCCTAGATGAGAAGACAAGTTGTAAAAATGTAAAAATTATCTCCACATAATCTTCACATTCAATGTAACCCTAATCATAATTTGAGCATGATTTTTAATAAACTTAAGAAGTTGATTCTAAACTTACCATAAGATGCATACAAATTATTAGGGAAATTGTCAAAAGGAACAATGACATGGAACTTGCTATACCAACATATAAAACCATACTACAGGCCGAGCACAGTGTCTCAAGCCTGTAATCCCAGCAATTTCAGACACTGAGGCAGGCAGATCACCTGAGGTCAGGAGTTCCAGACCACCCTGATCAACATGGAGGAACCTCGTCTATACTAAAAATACAAAATTAGCTAGGCATGGTGGCGCTTGCCTGTAATCCCAGCTACTCAGGGGGCTGAGGCAGGAGAATCGCTTGAACCCAAGAGGCGGAGGTTGTGGTGAGCTGAGATCTCACCATTGCACTCCAGCCTGGGCAACAAGAATGAAACTACATTAAAAAACAACAAAAAACAAACAAACAAACAAAAAACATACTACAAAGCTGTAGTAATTAAAAGTGTGTTTACTGACTCAGAAATAGACAACTGATTAAAAGAACAAAATAGTATAGAAACAGATAAATACATTTAAGAATTTATTTTATGATAAGATATGGCCTACTCAATCAACAATATTTCTCAGCAGAAAAAAATGAGGGTGATAATAAAAAATGTATGGCTATATCATGTGAAAAATAATGAAATGGTTAGTGACATAGATAGATTTCCAATACAAATTGTAAAATGAAAAAAAGGAAAATCATGGAGCAAGGTGCATACTGTAATTCCATTTCTGATTTAAGATGCAAGCATATTTGCACAGGTTTGAACGTAAATGCATAGAAAAGAGTCCAGAAGATGGATGCGAAACTGTTTACAGTGGATACATTTGGGGTGGAAATTGGGATGGAAAGGGAGATGTAAAAAAAAAATCTCACTCTGCTTTGTATTCTTTTAGATTATTTTAACCTCTCACACTGAAAATGAATTCAGTCATGATTTGTTTATATTATGCATTAAGTAACAATTTTTCAGGAAAAGAAAAAAAAAGAACAACAATTCCATCATATACGATGGGAAAGTGGGAAAGACCCCGGTGCCTACAGAACAGGGCTGGAGCTGTGAGGGCCCAGGAAGTTTTCTGAGCTGACCCTCTTCCTCCTCCTCACCTGTCCGGCTGTGCAGAGGCACAGTCCTTCCTCTCTAAAGCCAGTTCTGCC
The DNA here is from genome assembly GCF_000001405.40 of Homo sapiens. NCBI lineage: Eukaryota > Metazoa > Chordata > Mammalia > Primates > Hominidae > Homo > Homo sapiens. Next base: position 174,167,800 of record NC_000005.10, on the reverse strand, counting down.
TCTCTGGCTGTCCCCGCTGGAAGTGGCCTCGGACGCCCATGCAGTTAACAAGCCTGCCTTCTCTCCTGGACATCCCTTAGCTGCATCTGTCCCACTCCTACTCTGAGTGCTGGCTCAACCAGGCCAAGGGGGGTTCAGGCCCTCCCATCTGAAACGCGCAGAAATCGGATGCCAGGGCCCCTGTGTCAGTGCCCCTGAGCAAGGAGCCTTCCTCCCCAGAAGGCAAGATGCCACGTGGCCACCTCCCGACCACCAGCTTCTGTCATCTTTCCTCATCATTCCCTGGCCTTCTGTGTCGTAATTATCTTCGCACATCAAGCTGTCTGTTTGCCACTAGAATGAAGAAGAGCAGGGAATTGATTTTTGTTTTTGGTTTGTTCTATCTCCGGCCCCTAGAAGTGTGCCTGGCCCCTGGTAGGCGCTCAGTAAATAGTTACAGGCTGAGTTCAGGAAGTCACATGACCTATTTTACATTCACCAAAATGGGGTCAATTTTATTCTCTTTTGGGAATGTTGGTATGGAGTAAATAGAAGGAAAGCAGCTTCCTCGGCCCAGCCCAGCTCTGAGTAACTGTGCCCCAGAGGGGCTGAACCCCTCATGTGTAGGGCCCCGCTGTGGACACACCTCTCTGATTTCTGACTCCTCAGGGCTGGGTACAGGATGCCCTTCTCACTCATGGTAGGCCCTGTCTCGCTTCTTCTCTCCAGAACAACCTATCTTGTGGGCTTCGGGCCTCTAAGCCATAGTTTCCACTTCCCGAATAATGTAATCCCCAAATTCTCACGTCAAGACAAGTCAGGAGTAGGGCAGCCAGCGCCGTGAATGGCTTCCAGGACAGCAGTCACAGGATTTGCATTTTTTTTGCAAGCTTCATCTCATAAATTTCCCCTGTACACCCTGGCCAAGGATTCATCAGACTAAAAAGATTTTCTGTATCTCCTTTCCACAACCAAACTCAAGGAGAATTTCTAATTTTCTGCCCATCCCCTGTGCTCCATGGCTTTCTTTCCCAGAGTTTTGTGTCACCAAAAGTATTGATTCCTAGAGGAAAAAACCACAATAGATCCAGCCTTTCCAGAGGTCTTAATGAGGAGAGTGCCTGCCAGCCGGAGCCACTGTCATCTGAGTCTCAGTAGGAGTCCAGAAGGACTTTGTCAGAGGACACAGCCAAACACAACCCCCCGGGGGAGAGTCTGACAGGCACCTCAGGAACTGGCCCACCTGGCTCTGAGTCAAAAGCTCTAAGCAGGGCAGCCTGCAGCGTGGAAAAGCCAGCAAGCTTGTGTAGGGAGGAGAAAAGCAGTCACTTTGAAATCTAAGACTTGGGGAAAGAGAACAAACTCCACTGGGCCTCAGTCATCCCATCTATGCAATGGGCATAATCACCCTTCTGTCGTGAAGTTCTGGGCCTATCATCTAAGACAATAATAATCATGAGTGTGACCAGCACAGACAGGGAGCCTCAGAACTACTTCTTTTCCCTCTAGACTTTTCCTATAACCCGGACACTCATCCCTCCACCAAGAAAATGAGCCTCACACACAGCTTTGGTTGTTTGTTTTGCTTTTTGGTTTTTGGAGGTTTTTTTTTTTTCTTTTTTGGTAATCCTTGGAAAGTGTCCATTCAAAGGTCAATTTTGAGCACAGACTGTGTGCTTAGCACTGGGCCAAAGCAGCTTGGGAGATGATAAAGAAACCTAAGAGATGTTTGCTGCCTTGTCAGAGTTTACAATTTGCTTGAGGACATAAAAGTGAGTATTTGCCAGCGATAAGTGTTCGATCAAGGCAGCTTTTACTCAGAAGCCCTGGGAACAGAGTCCAGTGCTGCCTACCACCAGCCATGTCATATGGCTGATAACAACCTCACAATGCCTGGTCCTGTATCCGTAGAAAAGGCATTTTAACATCCACCCTCTTGGATCGTCATGTGACTTTAAAAAAGCATCCATAAAATGATGTTGGTGAAACATTTAATAATGTGCTGGGCGTGGGGCAAACACACACTTTTGCTTTTTGAAATTTATGACCATTGATAATCAGGGAATAATTATGTGCCCCCACAGTCAACATACAGTGGAGCCGTACTGGAGGGAAGCGAATGTGAAATGCTGAGAAACCCGGCCACTGCTGCACCGTCCTCACGTCTCCATTCACCTTGGCTTTTACAACTGTCCTAGATTCCTCCACGGCCAGGAGGCAGGGAGCGCAGTTAGGCCAATGGAGGTGTGCAGGGAGCTAGAGACATTTGGGTTCTAAATCCAGTTTCACAAGCAGCCTGCGGTGTGACCTTGGCTGGTGGCTGACCTTCTCCATCTCTACACCTTCCTTGTCTATAAGACGCCAATAATGACAGTCCCTTCATCACAGGGTGGTGTCAAGGATGAAATCATGTAGGATGTGTAAGACTAGAATGCAATGGGGATCCAGAGATGGCAGCTAATTTTGTCGGGAGAGCTCCAGTCCCCAGCCACATGGTGAGAATGCCAGTTCTGTTCCTCCTTAGAAATGGGAGTTCCCTGGGGTGCTGGGGAGGGGCAGGGAAGAGAAGCAGGGGAGGGAAGGAAGCAAGCGAGATGAAAGACGCTCACACATGCCATGTGAAGGGGTCTGGAAGTGGGAATCAGCATCACACTAAGAAGAGGAAAAAGAGAAACGGGATCCGGGAGCATCCCAGAAATCCCTCAGTCCCTGGCAAGCTGGAACAGCCAGTCACTCCAAAGGCACGATTGCAGTAGCAGCAATGGCACACAGAGAAGCTGGGCTCGGCCAAGAAGACAATGCAGGAGAAGCAAGGGGAGCATTGGAGGGTCCTGGAGAAGAGAGCAAAGTCCCAAGGAAAGCTTTTCACAGATCCTGAGCCATGACTCAGAGAGGAGCTCAAGGCATGGGCATTTGCTTGTGGGACAGCTGGTCAACCACCTCCATAGCCCTACACAACCCTAGCATCATGCGTTGCTGGTGGTGTTGCACAGACATTTTCCAAATCAGTGAAATAGGCACAGCACTGTCACCAAGAGAAGAGATGCTGGAAGAGACACTTGCCATTCAGCCCAACTCATGAGAGTCTGGAAGAAAACTGAGAAGCTCAGAAGAAGGCAGGGCATAAACACTAGAGGACAGGCATGAAGATTAGAGGACAGGGCAAGAAAACTGAGGCATGTGCCCAGCTGCCAGGCAAGGAGGGACTGATGGTTGAAATCCTCAGAGGGATTTGTAATAACTCACATGTGCTTAACTTCACAGTTTAAAGAATGTGACTGTGGGCCGGGCGTGGTGGCTCACGCCTGTAATCCCAGCACTTTGGGAGGCTGAGGTATGTGGATCACAAGGTCAGGAGTTCGAGACCAGCTTGGCCAATATGGTGAAACACTGTCTCTACTAAAAATACAAAAATTAGCCAGGCATGGTGGCGTGCACCTGTAGTCCCAGCTACTTGGGAGGCTGAGGCAGAAGAATTGCTTGAACCCGGGAGGCGGAAGTTGCAGTGAGCCAAGATCGCGCCACCGCACTCCAGCCTGGGTGACAGAGCAAGACTCTGTCTCAAAAAACAAAACAAACAAACCAAACGACAACAACAACAACAACAACAAGCAAAACAGAAAAAGAATATGACTGTGATGCCGTGAAATATATATTTGGGCTTCGACCCAGTTTCCTGGTATACAACTCCTAAAATCCTTAGAAACTCCAAAGTGGTATGTTTTGTTTGCTAATGAGTTGACTCTTGGCTGGGCACCCCTAGGTAACTTCAGGATGGAGCTGGTCACCAGAAAAACCAAGGCAAGACTAGAGGGTTGGGACTTTCAGCCCCACCCTCCATCCTCCACAATGACCATTGGTTTAATCAATCCTGCCCACATAATGAAGCCTCCATAAAAATCCAAAAGGACTGGGTTTTGAGAACTTCTGGATAGATAGACATGTGGAGGCTGACAGGACATTGAACAAGAACTCATCCATGTGCCAGGAAGTTGGTGCACCCCAGCTCCATGGGGACAGAAGCTCCTGTACTTGGGACCCTTCCAGATTTTGCCCTATGTATCTCCTCATTTAGCTGTTTATTCATATCCTTTAAATTATCTTTTGTGATAAACTGGTAAATGTAAGATTTCCCCTGAGTTCTGTGAGCAGTTCTAGCAAGTTAATGGAACCCAAAGAGGGGGTTGTGGGAACCCAACTTGAAGCCAGTCTGTCGGAAGTTCCAGAGGCCCAGACTTGCAGCTGGTGTCTGTAGGGGGACAGTCTTGGAGACTGAGCCCTCAACCCGTGGGATCTGATGCTGTCTCCAGGTTGATAGTGTCGGAATTGAATTAGAGGACACCCAGCTGGTGTCTGCAGCAGAACTGATTGCTTGTTCGCTGATGGGGAGAAATACACACACACACACACTGGGTCTCAGAGGTCTTCTGTGTTGATAATCATTTTGGTGTGAGAGCAGAGGAGAAAGTTTGAGGGTTTATAATTATTAATATTATTATTTGAGACAGAGTCTTGCTCTGTTGTCCAGGCTGGAGTGCAGTGGTGCTATATCAGCTCACTGCGGCCTTCACCTCCTGAGGTCAAGCAATTCTCCTGCCTCAGCCTCCCGAGTAGCTGGGACTACAGGCATGTGCCACCACTCCTGGCTAATTTTTGTATTTTTAGTAGAGACAGGGTTTCACCATGTTGGCCAGGCTGGTCTCGAATTCCTGACCTCAGGTGATCTGCCTTCCTCAGCCTCCCAAAGTGCTGGGATTATAGACGAGCCACAGTACCCTGCCAAAGTTTGAGTTTTTCCACTTTCAGAGACTGTAACTTCCTAAACCGTGACGAGCAGTTACAGTTATGACAATAGCTAACATTTCCAAGCACTTCTATAAAACACTGACAGCTTTTATCTTATTTAAGGCTCACAGCAATCTTATTGTACAGGTACGATCTCTATGCCTATTGTACAGATTAGGAACCCGAGGCTTAGAAATGTCAGGTCACTTGCCCAGATATCCAGGAGCAACAGAAGAGCTCAATAGTTGGTTATGTCCCAGGTTCCCCTCTTTATGTCCAAGGGGGGTGTGTCCCACATGAAGATCCGTCTATTGGCTAAAGAAGGGGGAGTCAATGTTGGGGAGATCAACACCCAAGTCCACACCCCAGGGCACCTCCAGGTACATGCTGTAATCAAACACTTGCCTTTAGCATCAGCTGCATTCAATGAAATCCAATCTAAAATTAAGCCTTGCCTAAATCTTTTCTCATTTTGGTTATAGAGTCATGAAACGTAAAAACTCTTCTAGATGCAAAGTCATTGGCCATACACTCCATATGCCCCAGCTCCCAAAGGCATGTTTTTACATTTCACATTTTCCCCAGTTCTGCTAAAATAGCCACTTCTGACCATTGGTAAAGAACTCTCTCTCTAACTCACAAAACCAATTTTTTCTTTCTATCTCTGAGAAAATGGGGTGTGTAATTATAAGAACCTAATTATCAGCTCTTTCAAAAGAGTCAGGACGCTTGGGCTATGTTTGTGGCATTGCACCCAACAGCGGTAAAAACTCTATTGCACAGTATTATAATTATTGTAATCAATCATGCTATCCTCGCAGTACTAAATGGTGACCTTTCTTCTGGAAACAAAACAAAGTAAACCCCTTTTCTTTTTTATTTTATTTTTTAAGTTCCAGGGTACATGTGCAGGATGTGTAGGTTTGTTACACAGGTAAACATGTGCCATGGTGGTTTGCTGCACCTGTCAATCCAGTACCTATAGGTATTAAGCCCTGCATGCATTAGCAATTTTTCCCAATGCTCTCTCCCACCCAACAGGCCCCAGTGTGTGTTGTTCCCCTCCCTGTGTCCATGTGTTCTCATTGGTGAAGCCCTTTTCAATGACAAATAAGTAGCAGGATGGGAGCCAGTTAATTTAGTGGTCTGAGTCATACAGATGAGAGTTCCCCATTTTGCCCTGACTAGCTGTGTGACCTTGGGCAAGTCACTCAACATTTCAGAGTCTTAGTTTCCTCATCTGTAAAATGGGGTTAAAATGATTTCCCTCACACGGCCATGTGAAGTTAGCAAAATAACACATGTCAAAGCAAGTCCCAGGGTGTCTGGCACAAAAGAAGCACTCACTAAATGGTAGCGTTATTCACATTTAATATATTTAGATTATTTTATTGAATGAGGATGATGGATTGAGAATGCTCTTAGTAAATTGTAAGCTCCTCTCCTTATGTTATAACTGATTGTCCAGCTAAGAAGTTCACTTCTTAGACTTGAGGAATTCACCTCCTCTTCCCCCTTCATCTTGGGAGAAGCCCAGATCATAAAGCTCAAAGAGACATGAAAAGGCCATCAGCATAACTTCCTGGGCCTGTTTCTCAGCTGTAAAACTGGCTGGTCTCTACCTCACTGGCTTGTTGTGAATATTGGTTCAGGGATGTAAAACGTCCTCCTCCGTGCCCAGCACATTGTTGTTGCCCTATAAATGACAGTTTTCTTCCTTTTGGTGCCTTCTGTGCCAGCAAGAACCCTGTCCCTGTTGGAGCAGAGGTGAGCTGACCTCTATGAGGTCACTCTGCTGGATAAAGCTGGAATCTAAACTCCGCCTTGGGCTCCACTCCTGTGGTTCCACTCCTGTACTCCTTCTGATGGTCCACAGCCATCTCATGCATTCACTCAACACAAATCTGCTGAGTGCTTCCCACATGCCAAGCTGTCAGCTGGGCTACTGCAAAGGTCCAGGCTTGACTTAATGAGGGCCTGACCAAGGCCAGTGGCACCAGAAAAAGCTAAGGAGGCAGCTTCTGTCTCTTCTTTCTGTGCCTCCTCTCCCCTCTTCCCTGCTTATTCTCCCTCTCATTTCTTTTCTCCAGGGCTTCACCACCCACCCACACAGCCAGCCACAATCAGATGAAGTTAATAATCAGGGTGTCAGCTTTAAATATAAGTTAGCTCAAGGGGGAGAGAGCCAACCTACTCCCCCTCCCCACCCCCCAAAAAAAACTAACAAGAGGAATATTCCAATTGAGCTAACGCATTACCACAGTCCATGACACAGTTGTGCGGCACCTATTCATCTGCTGGTTCTTGGAAGAAGTATTTATGAACATCTATTAGGTGTTAGATTGTTCTTCTTCTGTAAATGACAAGAGACTGAATATTTAAGGCTTGAGAGCTCTACAGCGTCTATTGCAACAACTCAAGGCTGCTCTTGTGACATAGACAACATGGAAACAAGTGGGGTGGCCGTGTTCTAGCACAAAGTTGTTCATAAAAACAGAAGGTGGGCTGCAGCTTGCTCACCTCTCTGTAAACTCCAGGACACAAAAGAAAACAGGGCCCAGGCCCCTTCCTCATGGAGGTCAGAGTCTGGAAATGAAGATAGACAAGGAGCCCGCACTGGCATCAGAAGAAGATAAAGGCACGATGATAATGGTAATTAGTAGTTCGTGGCATGTCAAGCACCTACTCTGTACCAGACCCTGTACCTAAGTCATTTCATGTATCTTTCCAACAACACTTTGAAGATGGTATTCTCTATCGGCATTTACAGAAGAGAAAAATCAGAGTGACAAGATTTACCTGAACCACATGGCAGTGATCAGTGTTCACTGATTTGAACAGGTGTGTCTGACTCCAAAGCTCACGCTCTGAAATGCCGCCTCTCTATGGAGGCGCAAAGGAGGGAGGTCTCTAACCAGGTCACTTGGCTGGAGCAGGTCACTAATCAAGGTGGTGATTCTTAAGCTGAAACTTCAAGTTTTTATTGAACTTTCCCAGGCAGGAAGCAGGAGGCGAGACAGCTTTCAGAGGCTGGGGAGGGAGAGCAGGCAGGGGAGCCCCCCACACCTCCCTTCTGGCCCCTGGACAAAGCCACCATTGACAGGAGGAAGCCCAGCTAAACTGGGAGAGCCTGAGGGCAGGGCCTGGGTTTTGTCCACTTTGTCTCCCTGGTGCCCTGGAGAAGGTTCTAGAAAGCCTGCTGAGTTGCTGGCCAGTTGCCTCACCAAAGGACACACAGGATGTGTGACTAATGGGGCAGGACTCTTCAAATTCCTGTCCACGCCCTGCCCCTCCCACCTTCCTAAAAGCATCGCAGCTTGGACACTCACTCTCACTGTGATCCTCTACTTTTCAGTACGTTCCAGCCCATGCTCCGCCCCCAGCTGCCACCCAGCCTCTTGGTCACTGAGGCCCCAGGACTGGGAGCCCTCCACAAACCAGAAAGCCCCATTCTGCAGACTTTATGGGCAGAGGACATTAGCATCCCTGGGGTCATGTGGCTGAGGACAATTCCTCTCCAGGGGACTCCCACTCCAAGAGACAAATTTTGAGGGAGGTAACAATCCCCGGAGCCAGTACAACCTCACTGAACAAACGGCTGCCTTGTCGGTTAGCCCAGGCCTGGAGTTGGCCCTGGGCAACATTGCATGGGGTCTCCAGTCCCTGTGTTGAAGCTTCACACCCATCTGGCTGCTGCCACCAGCTGCCGCTCTGGGACCCACCCTCCTGCCCTGCTCTGGCCTCCAAGACAGAGCACTTGTCACCACCTGACGTAATATGTTTTTACTTGTTCATCATGTGTTTCTCAAGAAGAATGTGAGCTCCATGAGGGAAGAAACTTCATTTTGTTCTCTGCTATATTCTTTAAATACTGCCTGGTACATGGTAGGTATTCAAAAAATATTTGTTGAATGAAGGATGGATGGGTAGATGGATGGATGGATGGATGGATGGATGGATGGATGGATGGATGGATGGTTGGGTGGATGGATGGTTGGATGGATGGATGGTTGGGTGGATGGATGGATGGGTCGGTGGGTGGATGGATGGATGGTTGGGTGGATGGACGGATGGATGGGTGGGTGGGTGGGTGGATGGATGGATGGATGGATGGATGGAGTGTGATGGAGCTGCTTTAAACCCTGACTCCACACCGGATTTACTATGTAACAGAGAGTGAGGCAGTTCACCTCTGAGTCTCCTCAATTATCAAACTCAGGGGTTAATAGCATTTAGCTCCTTCACAGGACTGGAGATAAATACTTCACAGCTCATTTTCAGTAGGACCTTCAACTAATCAGGATGGCTGTTGGGCCGATCGGAACTGGCCCTGAGTAGGCCAGCTGAGGGCCAGTGTTGCTCACAGATAAGACCATCCACATAAGATGCCAGCACCCTTTCCATTGCACGGCGAGTGCACAGTAAAATGCATCTGTAACACAGCGATGCCCAGCACATATATTCACTCAAAGAGTTAAAGCTGTTTTACTCATATTATTTGTTTTATGGAATTCTCCCCATTCTATATAGTAACATAACTCATATTCCCATAACAACTTGTGAGGTAAGTGCCACTAATCCCATTTTATTTTTTTAACTTTTTTTTAGGTTTGGGGGTACATGTGAAGGTCTGTTACATAGGTAAACTCATGTCACAAGGGTTTGTTGTATAGATTATTTCATCACCCAGGTATTAAGCCCAGTACCCAATAGTTATCTTTTTTTCTCCTCTCTCTTCTCCCACCCTCCACCCTCAACCCTCAAGTAGACTCCAATCTCTGTTGTTCCCTTCTTTGTGTCCATGTGTTCTCATCATTTAGCTACCACTTATAAGTGAGAACATGTCATATTTGGTTTTCTGTTCCTGCGTTAGTTGGCTAAGAATAATATCCTCCAGCTCCATCCATGTTCCTGCAAAAGACATGATCTCATTCTTTTTAACAACTGCATAGTATTCCATGGTGTATATTTACCACAATTTCTTTATCCAGTCTGCCACCGATGGGCATTTAGGTTAATTTCATGTCTTTTCTATTGTGAATAGTGCTGCAGTGACCATTTGTGTGCAAGTGTCTTTATGGTGGAATGATGTATATTCTTTTGGGTATCTACCCAGTAATGGGAATGCTGGGTTGAATGGTAGTTCTGCTTTTAGCTCCTTGAGGAACTGCCATACTGCTTTCTACAATGGTTGAACTAATTTACACTGTTCCCATTTTAAAGATGAGGAAACTAAGAACGAGAGCAATCAAGACACATGGCAAGTCACACTTTATTCATTCATTCAACAAATTTTTTGAATGCTTGTCATGTACCAGGCACTGTTCAAAAGGCAAGGGATATAGCAGTGAACAAAACAAAGTCCCTATTCTCAGGTAGCTGGCATTCCCGTGGGGAGGGATACACAACGAACAAACAAAAATATAAAATGTCAGGAGATGCTCAGAGGTAAATAAAGCTGGGAAGGGCAGAGACTGTGGCCAGAGAGGACTTCTCTAAGGACCCGACAGTAGATGGAAGGAAACGAGGGAGTGAGACATGTGGTCCAGCCAGAGAAAACAGCACATGCAAAGGTCCTGAGGTCCAGGTGTGTTTGGGTGATGTAGGAGCAAGAGTAGTGATACAAGAGCTCTAGAAGGTCGCTGGGAGCCAGATTGTGGAGGGGCCCTGGCATCCTGTCCAAGGACCTGCTGGCTCAGATGGGCACAGCTGAGAATGCGAGTGGCCCCAGTATCCCCATGCTCATCCCTCCACTGCCCATAGGGTGCGCTTTCCTGAGTGGAGCAACCTCCACAGAGGCCCAAAGCAGAGGAAAGGCAGGTCTGAGTGTCCTGCCCTCAGGACTAGAGACCACCTCCTCCCTCCCACTGAAGGAGCAGGGGCAAAAGCGGAGCTTCTCACCCACACAGGCCACTGCAGCCTCAGCGTCAGCTGTCCCAGAAAGAGGTTAAAGAAGGAAAAGAGCTTCCTTTAAAAGAAGCAACTCACAAAGAAACATTTGTTTCCTGGTCAATCCTAATTGGTAAAAGCAATATCAGGCAATTCTTCCATAAATAAAGCATCATATTCATCTTTTGTGAATCCATTCTGATTTCACTCTTTGCCAATACTGCGGGTAGATGTGTGTAGCGGGGAAAAACCATCTAGGTTTACTTATTCTTTTACTTTTTTAAGTGAGCATAAATAATAGTTAAGTTTTTGCCCATTAAAAATGTAGTTTTCAGAAATTATTTTAACTGATGTCAGAAAAAAAATGCATGGCTCAGATGGAATACATTATCGTGTATTTCTTCTTTTCACTCCGCAATGGCACATTTATGAGCTTCCTAGGAATCAAATGTAGTAGCCTTTGACCACAGTGTAGACAGTCCCGGCCCACAGCATTGATTCACGTGCAGATTGCTTTCCTGACACATGTGCCATGCCGGGGTGGGCGAAGAGATGAGCAAAAGAGGGGTCCAAAGGGGCACACATTCTAAATAATTGACACTGAGCTTGCTGCCAATCTGTTTCTAGATAAATTTATGGATGTGTCACAAAAATCGGCAAGGCATTTTAAAGAGACAGGAAAAGATATATTCCTTTTGACAATATCCAAATGCCAGAAATAAGTTTCCTGACCTCATCTCCAACAATGGGTCCAAAGTGTGTCATTGCCCTTCAGGGCTTCTAGCTGAGGGACTGTGTGGAAGACAACATAGGCAGTAAGATTTGGTCTATATTCAGAAAGATGAATTTAAAGCCCTCATTATCTCAGTTCTTCTCTCAAGGGGAAAAGGCAGGCTGTTGAGATGCCAGAAACTGTAGCTGTATCTGTTTGCAAGCATTTTCTCTTGTATATTTATTTGAAGGAAAGATATCATAAGAGAAGCCTGAGCTTATCACACTGTTTTCATGCCTTTGTCATGCTGATCTTTTTGCCTTAGAGGCCCTTGCCCATACTTTCTGCAAAAAGAACTACTTTTTCTTTAAGAATGAGCGTGGAATTTTGCTTACAGTATGGTGAGTTAAGTCCTAGCAGACATCAATCCTCCCAGAAATAATAACTATAAACTATGGACAGAATATAAAAAGCAACTACATTAAAGACTCTAGAGAGTAATTAAAAGCAGGCAAATTTTGGAGGGAAGCCAAAATGCTGAAAGGACTGGAATCGGGTGAGTTCCCAGTTTTGCAGCTTTGTCTGAGGGAGGGCTGTAATCTCAGAGTGGTGTAAGGCGCTGAAGCTCTGATAGGAAACATATAATCTTTCTGCAGTAAAAGAGGATAGAGGTTAGCATGGCCACAGCCACCAGAAACTAAGGAAGGGATTGAGGATCCAGGAAAGGAAAGACATAGAGAATGGGGAGACCCAGGTTCAATGTATAAACTTTGTCCAAGTATCTGGCCAACCCCCTGAACCATGTATGCATGGGACACACTCAAAGTAGCCCAAATAAGGATTAAATCCAGATCTGGGAATTTATCTGGGAATTTATCTTGGGAATCCAGCTACCATCCACTGCATGCAAGCGAGAGACCACAGTTGGAATCTAACTGTCTGCTAAAACAAAAACATTAACATTCTTGGGGGGAGTATAAAAGAAAGCCAGAGTTCCTGTTATATTCCAGAGTTTATTATTCCATAATAATCAAAATGTTCAGGATAAAATCAAAATAACTCACCATATGAAGAACTAGGAAAATTTGACTCTTTTGCAATAGAAAAGAAAAATCAACAATGGTAAACCACAAGATGACTCTGATGTTTTCATTATTTTTTAAAATTCTAATTTTGCTCAGGGAGGTGAAGAAAATATACCAATGAATAAAAAGATAGGGAACACGATCAGAGAAATAGATGTGTCTGTATGTGCGTGTTTACCAAATGGAAAATCAACACCTGAAAAATAGCATGTCTGAAATCTAAAATACACTTGTTAGGTAATGATGAACTTATAGCTTTAGCTTAGAATTCATAAAGCTAGAAAGAACATTTCTCTCACCTTTATAAAAACAACAAAATTTTAGGCAACCTGAAAAAAAAATGTTTTTCTTGAATTTATCACATCCAGACACTAGGCATACTGTATTCAAACTGCTAAAAACTTAAGAAAAAGACAATGTGTATTCTGAGAAAAACCTGAGTAACCAAATTAAACAAGTAAACAAAACTAAACAAATGAACAAGAAAAAGGCAATTTATGTATGGTAGCTAGAGAGGAAAGAGATAAGAATAACTCATTGCAGACTTCTCAATAGAAACTATGCAATCCAGAAGATAATGGGGTGGTGTTAAAAAGAGCTGAAATAAAAATGCTGTCAACACAGAATTTTATACCCAGCAAATATATTTTTCAAAAATGAAAGAAAAATAAGGTTTTTCAGACAAACAAAAGGAGAGAGAACTCACAGCTGGGTGACTTACATTACCAAAAAATAGTTAAAAGAACTTCATCAGGCAGAAGAAATACGATACCAGACAGAAATTTGGAGCTACAACAAAACAAAATGAACAAACACTGGAAGTAGAAACAAAGTTAAATATAAAAATCAGGTTTTTTTTTTATTTTTACCTGCATCAAATGACAACTGACTAGAGCAACAAGAGTAGCAATGTATTGTGTGTTTATAATATGTATAAAAGTAAAATTTACAGCAACAGTAGCACAAAGGATGGGAGAGAAGAATTGGGAGTATACTGTAGTAAGGTCCTTCTACTACAAACAATTTAATATTGAGAATTGAGCAACATAATTTTAGAAGATAGATACTTCTACTCTTTAAAACTATTAAAAGAATTAAAAGACAAGCCACAGATTGGAAAAAATTATTTGCAAATCACATATCTGATGAGGAACTTGTATTCAGAATATCTAAACAACTCTCAAAATTCACTGATAAGAAAACAAATAATCCAAGAAAAAGCATGTAAGAATTTACATAAGGGGAATGCAAATTAAAGCCAAAATGAGATACCACCACACACCTATTAGAATATAACATTAAAAATATTGTGAACTTACAATAATACTAAATATTGGTGCAGATGAGGAACAACTGGAATTCTTACATATTACTGATAAGAATGTGAAATGTCACAGTCACTGTGAAAATAGGTCGGTAGCTTCCTATAAAGTCAAACATACACTCATCACAGGACCCAGCCAATTTATTTCTAGGTATTTACATAAGTGAAATGAAATGTGTGTGTAAATGCCTTAGTGGCTTTATTTTCAATCAACAAAATCTAGACACAACCCTAAATATTCTTCAACTGGTGAGTGAATGAACAAACTCTGAGATGTCCATACAGTGAAATACTACTCAGAAATAAAAAACAGCTAACTATTGATAGATGGTTGAGATTCCACAGCATGAATGAATCTTAAATTTATAATGCTAACTGAAAGAAGCTAGACTCATAAGGCTATATACCGTATAATTCTATTTACATGTTATCCTGGAAAATACAAAACCTATAAGGACAGAAAACACATTCATAGTTTCCAGGGGCTGAGGGTGGGACACAGATTGACTACAAGAAGGATGGAGGAATTTGAGGAGTGATTAATGGAACTGTTCTATATCTTGCTTGTCTATCTTGATAATCTTAGCAGCATTATATAATTATATACATTTGTTAAAATTTGCAGAACTGTGTACTAAAACAGGTGAATGTTACTGTATGTATATTCATGGCTGTATAATTCTGTCAAAACTCATTGAATTTTACATTTTTTAATGGGTGCAATGTATTGTACATAAATTATAACTCACTAAAGTTTTTTTGTAATCCAGCTCAAATTTTTTGTCTTCTGTAAGGCCCTGCAAGATCCCCCCTGACATCGTGAATCTTTCCCTCTCTGGACTCCATTGATATGTTATACAGGTTCCTTTTACAGTACTGGCTGTGTGGTTCTGAGACCATTTTTCTCTCTTCCTAAGCCTGTCATGTCTCATTTTTCTCCAACTCTCCCACAGAGCCTGGAATTCATTCTTTCAACAAATATGTGATCTGCACCTATTGTGGGCTAGTCAACAGCTGTGCCTTCATGAAGATTACAGTATAGCTGGAAAGAAGAATAATAATCTCGTAAACAAATGAATGAAGGTAAGTTCTCAGAGCCTCATTTCTTCCTCTATAAAATGGAGATGATAATAACCATCAGGCTGTTATGAGGTCTACATGGAGTAACCAACAGTGTCTGACACACAGCAAGCACTCAGTAAGTGTTCATTCATATTGTTATTACTGAATATTAAATTATTAAACTTAATTGCTGCTGTGACAATAGCTGGGAAGAAAGTTAACCTGATTTGGTGACAGAAATAATGAGAAAGCACCTACTTTAGAAAGGGTAATCAGGGTGGCCTCTCTGAGAGTGGACACGGAAGCTGGAACCTGAAATAGGAGAAGCCATCAGCTAGGTGAAGTGTGCTTCTGTCAGGCAGCACAGCCTAGATGAAGTCTCTGAGACAGGGAATTGAGGGGCCCCTTGGAGGAACCAGAAAGAAGCTGAGCAGCTTTAGCCCAAGAAGGAAAGGTACGAGTGGAGGAGGTGAGGGAGAAACAGAGGCCCCTTCACCAAGGGTTTATGGGCACTGGCATGGCTTTGGTTAATGTTGGATGGATGGAGGATGGATGGATGGATGGATGGATGGATGGATGGATGGATGGATGGAAGGGTGGATGGATGGATGGATGGACATATGGATAGATAGATGGATAACCCCGCAATTCAGAAGCCACACAGATGTGGGTGTCAACTCTCTTTGTCTCTTGGCAGCTGTGTGATTAAAGGCAAGTAGCTTTCCCTAGCACAGTTTCAGCTTCCACATCTATTAATAAAACAGTGTTAATAATAGTAGCAACCCCACATGATTATTGTAAGAATCAAGTAAGATCATGTACAGAGTCTACCACTTAGTAAATAATCTCACTTTTCTCTCTCCCCACTGTATGTAAGCATGTGTGTATTTCTCTCTGCCATTCCCATGTGTGTATGTACACATGTGTATGTGGGTGCACGTGTGTATCTCCCTCCATGCTTGATGTAACCACCGTGGTCAAGAGCTATGCCTCAGCTTGGCCAGACCAGAAATACAACTTGGCGAGGGCCCCTGGAGTTGACTGGGCTCAGAATCTGTCAGACTTGCCAGAGATGGATGCATGAACCAGAAGTCACATTCTGTCATTCCCTGAAACAGAGAGAGGCTGGGTCATTTGGTGAGGGCACTCTTGGGAGTCATCAGCAGCTGACTGAAGGCAGAGCAGGGCAGGAAATGGACTGGTTTCAGTAGCAAAGCAAGGGGAGAGAATAGACAAGAAGAATAGTGAATGTGCATTGAGTTCTTCTTATGGAGGAAGCACTTGGCATCAATTTTCTCTCTCTCTCTCTTTCTTTCTTTTTTTTTTTTTTTTTTTTTTGAGACAGATTCTTGCTCTGTAACCCAGGCTGGAGTGCAGTAGCACGATCTCTGCTCACTGCAACCTCCACCTCCTGGGTGCAAACAATTCTCCTGCCTCAGCCTCCTGAGTAGCTGGAATTATAGTTGTGTTTCACCACGCCTGGCTAATTTTTGTATTTTTAGTAGAGACGGGGTTTCACTATGTTGGTCAGGCTGGTCTCGAACTGCTGACCTCGTGATCCACCCACCTCGACCTCCCAGAGTGCTGGGATTATAGGCATAAGCCACCATGCCAGGCCTGATTTTCTCATTTTATCCCCACCACAACTCTAGAATAGTGCTATTTTTATCATCATCTCCATTATACAGATAAGAAAATTGGGGCTCACAGAGGTTATGTTATGCTTCCCCGCAAGGTGCTCCTATTGGATGAGGTGTGTGCTGAGATAGCCTTGATGCCCTCAGCACTGGACATAGTCAGTCCCCAACTATGAGCAAACTCATCTTCTTTCCCTAGGGTGACTAATAAATTTGATCATTTGCTGTATATGACTTGACAAATGGTGGGGCACATCAGGATAATCAATTCACCTGAGGGCCCCACTAGTCAATGGTGGGAGGGATTCGAGTCCCAGCAGTCAGACTCCCAAGCCCACCACCCCCCCCACGGTAGGGAAAGCCTGCTATACATACACCCTGGCCCTGAGTTCTAGCTCTGTCCCCTCCCTGTCCTCCCCTCCCATGGCAGGCTGCAGTCAGCCATGACCCTAATTAACCCTCTCACAGATCTGATGGGGAGGGTGATTCCATCCACTGTACAGATGCAAAAATTGGAGCATCCCTCATCCCCTCTTCCCTTTTGTCAAGCCCTATTCAGACTGTGCCATCTCTGCCTGCCCAGGGCAAAGGCATTGAGTTGGGGTAGATGGCACCTGGGATGGGGTCGGTTCTGTTTGTAGAACTGAACACTAAAAGGTCCGTTGGAAAACTGCCCTTCCAGAGCCCCTGAGCACATTCCAGAACTTCCTGAGGCCCTTGGTCAGCAGTTCTTTTGTAGGCTTTGTGACCACCTCCTCAGCCAGCCTTCTAGGCTCAGCTCCAATGTCACCCTTTTGTCCCAGTCCAGAAAGAGCTAGTGGTTCTCTCCTCCTCACACCCACAGCTCCCTTACAGAAGTGCCCTCCTGGAATTACAGCTAGCTGTGTATCAGCTGCATCACATGCTGGAAAAAACCTTGTGGGTAGGCACACCTGGGAAGTGGAGGGCCGTGCACAGGCCTGGGATTTATGGGGAGACAGAATTAACAGAACTTGGTGATTAGGCGGATGCGGGGAATATGCTGGATGAAAGAGACGTGAATACTCCCAGCTCCCGGTTATAAGCAAAAGGGGGAAGATGGTGCCATTTGTTGAGACGGATGGAGGAAGGCAGCTGGGGCTTCTGTGGAGGGGATGATTAAAAATCTCATTAGGGGAGGAATCCCAGCATGAAACCTACAATCTCTCAGGAGAGCAATCTTGACATGCAGTTAAGACCTTTGGAGGCTGAGTCTTCCAAGTAACCCCTTTCTCTCAAGCCACTGACATTTCAGGGATCTTCATTTAGATGATGGAACATCTAGAAAAACTGGGTCCATTTTTGCATTTCTTTTAGTTCACCAGCAATTTTTAGTGTGGCTAAGTTCAACGGGAAAATCACCCTCCCTTTGAATTCTATCTGATGTCTAGCGAATGTCTCCGTTGGTCGTCAGGGTGGGAGAGAAGAAAGTCAAAATCATCCAGGGTTCTGGGCTAGGGAAAGGGTCAAGAGGCCAGGGTTATGGCCCCAGGGCCACTTCTGGTGATGGCCCCAAGTATGGAGTTCAGTTCTCCAGGCCCACCCTCTGAGATGCCCTGGCTTGCTGGGAACTCTTCCTGCTTCTGCTTCCAGGCCATTCTTGGTGACCCTTGTCCCTCTCTGAACAGAGCAAAACATTCTCCTCTCCCCTCCTCAGCATCCAGTTCATTCCTCAATTACAGCAGCTGCCACATTCAACTACCATCATTCCTGGTCAGTGCCATGAAGTGGAAAGAACTTGAGACTCAGACGATTTTTGGTCCCCGTCCCAGGCTCTGACTCCACATCTGCGACTCTGGGGAAGCCTCTTTTCCTCTTTGAGTCTCTATCTCCAATTGATGTGAGATTTTAAACATGAGAAGAAAAAATACACATAACTGTTTGTCATCATGATAGGCACATGCTAAGTGCACAATAAATACTAGGTCCTTGTCCCAAGAAGACAGAGAGCTCCATGGGACAGGGACCATCTGTATCATGCATCTCTGAGGACCTAGACTTTGCTACCAGATTGAAGTGTGTCTGTGTCCTGGTTCTGCCTCTTACCAGGTGGGTAAGCTTAAGGTAGATCATTTTACTTCTTTGAGCCTCAGTTTCATATTCTGTAAAATGTAAAATTTCATAATCTGTAAAATGGTGGCTTTTGTTAGGAAAAATGTGAATTGTATGACAGTATCTGGCACTTACTCTTATAAAAGGCTCAAATTGTTGAGCTAAGCCCTTGAAACCTCTGTGAGATCAGGAACTGTTTCTATCTTGCTCACAACTGTGTCCTCAGGTCTTCCATGTACAGCTACGTAAGTTGTGCGCTGCTCTATTCCAGAGCATCCTTCATGCAAACTTTGGGATGAATTGTGCTCCCTGGGGTTTGCAGTGTATCAGCCCTGCCAGCACAGTGCCTGGCATTGTTCCAGGTGCTATAAACAGGACTAATTCCTGCTTTCATAGAGATTACAGTATCATGGGGAGGAAAAATAATAAACAGGAAAATAAATGTTACCAATTAATAAAATAGGGTGATGTGACAGAGAGTGACTAGGAGAGGGGTGAACCCCACATAGATAGTGACATGAGCTGAGGCATGAATGTCAGCCATGCAAAAATGGGGAACACAAAGGACACAAAAGCAAAGGGCCTGTGACAGGTATGAGGGTGGAGAGAGGTGGGCAGAGGGCAATTCATCTCAGGCAAGTAGTATTGGGTAGGAACAGCACGTCCTTCAAGGTCCTCCAGGAAGCCATGGAAATTTTGAATCAGAAGCTGGACATGATCCAATGTGTGATTTATAAAGGGGAGAAGGGGAGCAGGGAACCAATCAGGAGACTAATGCCCACACCCTGGCACAGAAGGGCCACTGAGACCAGGGAGGGGGTAGTAGAGTTGGGAAGAAGTGAATCTGGTCTGTCCATATGTCAGAAGTGGAGGAAGTAGGAAGGCACGGAAGTGTAAGATGTGGAAGAGAATAGCGAAGGGCTGTCCTCAGGGGTGAACAGGGAGTTACCGAGGGAGATGGGAAGACTGAGAAAGGAAGAGGTTAGGGAGGTTTCAGTGCCAGTTAGGCATCCAAGTGGAGATGCCTAGTGCTTAACTGGTGCTCAATAAAACCTGTTGGATGAATGAATAAATGAATGAATGAGACTCCAGGTCCTCTGTAATGTGGAGGTAATAAGCCTCACTTTTGTGAAAAGAAAATAAGACTGCAGAGGTCATAGGTGGAGGAAGTCACTCTGTTGCTACCCTGGAGAGGGAGAGGTGGTCTCCCCTGCCTGCCCCTGAGGTGCCCTGCCCTGCCCCAATGCCTGCCCCTGCCCTCCCTGCCCACCCTCCAGTCTGTGTTTAGAGCTCTCTGCCTTCCTTCTTCAAGTGTCTCCTGCCCCTCTTCCTGAGAAGAGCTACTGCAGTCCAGAGGGGCCACAGCTCCTCTCAGCCTTGGGACACTCTGCCCAGCTCCTCGGGGTGCAGGGTCAGAGTGGCCAGCCTGCTGAGGGTGCAGAGGTGAAGGCAGTGGTGCCAGTTCCTTGACCTATGAAGGAGCAATGTATTTTGGTAGGGGCTTGGTTTGGGGTCGGTGGTCCTGCTGAGCATGGTGCAGGGAGGAGGAGGCTCCTGGTGTCCTGGGCAGAGGCCAGACCCATGCTGGGCAGGGCTACAGCTCACTCTACCTGCTTTTCCCATAACTCCTCTCCCCCATGGTTCTCCACACACCCCTGCACCCACCCTCTCATCTGGTTGGCCTTTTCATTCTCTGGCAGGTGTTGTCTCCAAACTGAAGGTGTCTGTGAACACTGTGGAAATGAGAATATGTCAAGGCTCTTATTTCTGTGCAGTTTTATTTTAACTGCCCTTCAAAGAGACCTGGGGCTTCCTAGCAGAGCCATGGCACTGGTGGACTCGGGCTTGGATCCTGGCACCATGATCACAAGCTGTGCCACCTGGGGCAAGTCACTTCCGGTCTCTGAGCCTCAGGTTCCTCACCTGCAGGATGGGCTGTTTGCACAGGATCCTAACCTGCAGGATGGGCTGTTTGCACAGACTCCTCACCTGCAGGATGGGCTGTTTGCACAGACTCCTCACCTGCAGGATGGGCTGTTTGCACAGACTCCTCACCTGCAGGTTGGGCTGTTTGCACAGATTCCTCACTGGCAGGATGGGCTGTTTGCACAGATTCCTCACCTGCAGGATGGGCTGTTTGCACAGATTCCTCACCTGCAGGATGGGCTGTTTGCAAGGCCAGAGCACTTATTTAGTAACATGCAATAAACCCTCAGCTAAATGTCTGGCCCAGAATAGAGACAGAGAAATATTAGTGAGCTGCTTCCTCTCAAATCAATGTAAGACCAAAGACCCCAGAAGGCTCACTTCACAAATTCTAACGTTCACTTTTCAGATCCTCATTCATTGAAAAAGTACTAAACGGCCTCTCCCCTCTCCTGTGTGCCAGATCCTGGGCCAGGTGTTGGGGTAGATAATGGGGCGAACAAGACTGGAACCCAGCGCCTGATAGAGGAAAGCCCTGTGAATGGCAGAGGGTGGTGGATGGGGTCCTGGGAGAAGAAATACCCCATGGCTTCAGGGTAGGAAGGTGGGCTGCGGGGATGAGGGGGATCTGAACTGACACCTGAAGGAGGGGGGAGAACGACCAAGGTCAAGGTGAGGAAGTCACCTGCTCTGAAGCAAGAAGATCATGACACTCAGAGAAAAGGAAGGAGAAACAGCAAAGAAGGAATGAGGGCATGGAGAGGAAGGAGTGTGATGCCCGAGGGTGAGCCATGGCTGGAGGACAACATGATTTGCTTCATGTTTTCCAAACAAACCCCTGGTTGTGTTGCAGAGAACGTGTTGCAGTGGACAATGGATGGAGCAGAGAAGAAATCAAAGCCAAATTCCTTGTGCTCTCTGGAGCCCTGGAATCAGACAGGCCTAGGTTTCCCTCTCAGCCTTACCACTTCATATTTAAGTGGACTTGGATAAGCCCCCTTTCCTCTCTAAGTCCTGGGTTTCTTGTCTGTAAAATGGGAAGAGTTTAGAACATGCCTCCTGAGGCTGCTATATGTTATACAAAATGAAATGTGTTAATTCATGCAGTGACTGGCACAGAACAAGCCCCCAGTAAGTGGAAGTTGTTATCGTTGCTGCCTTTCTCTCACCATCACACACATATGCACTCCTTGCCCTAACATACCCGTGGACTCTCATAAGAATGTCTCCAATTTTTCCAGCCAGTTCCAAATCAACCACTGTCAGCAGCCCTGGGTTGGGGGTGAGCGGAACAGAGGCCTCTCAGGATTCGTGCTGTAGCTCGGTTGCCTAGCAACAGCATCAGCATCTGCATCATTGCAGAGCCAGGTTGCATCAGGCACCAGTCAAAACAAAGGCAGAAGAAATGAGTCACAGCCAGGCTCTGGGAACTGGTGGGAGCAGGGCCTTGTTTTTGGCAAGAATCAGATACACCCATAATCTAGTTCTGGAGGGAAGCCCCCTAATTCTAGCTTCCTCTGCTTCCCTAGGGGAACCCACATTCCTCCCAATTCCCTGGGCGTTCTGGTATGAGGAGAGGACTCAGAATGGATCTGAGTGGTATGCTACAGCCCTCTGCATACACTATACATTCATGGTTTTCAGAATAATGCTTATCCCCAACTTACAGCTGAGAAAGATGAGGCTCAGAGAAGATTTAAAGTTCAAGTCTCTCTTTCCCCACAGACCTTGCTCAGTTCCCTAGTCCACAAGGGTACCAATGCCTCCCCAGACTTGCTCCCCAGCCCTGACTCTACTGAGCTCGAGACACAAATAGTCAAGTGCTCTGGTCCTCTCCCATGAATGAACTCCAGGCAGCTCACTTAGGAGCCTCAAAGCTGGACTCTTCATCCTCCCCCATCCAGCTCCTTCTGCTTCTAAGTCCTCTTCTCACAAGGGCACCAGCACCTGGCCATGACTTGCACCTAATGAAGCAGGTGTCACCCTGGATGCTTCTCTTCCTCGTCTACCTCAAGGCCAATTTGACCCCAAATCCCAGCAACAGTCTTCTCCATAGGCCTCCTCTCCATTCTCAGGACCAGACCTGGCCATGGTGTCCTGGACCCACCACCTGGTGCCCAGCCTCAGCTGCTCACCTCTCTCCACCCTGCAGCCCTGTCTAGAGGTTGCCTCTGACCTCGTCACTCCTTTGCTTGAATCCCTATGCTGGCTCCACCTGCCCACAGTTTGAAACCCATACTCCTTACCAAAGCCTTCAAGGTCCTGCACAGTCCCTATGCCTGCTGCCTACAACACACACACACACACACACACACACACACACACACACACACTGGGACCCCCCACCCTTCACTCCTGACACTCTGAGTGATGGTGGTCCTCAGTGTTCCCTGACAACAGGTGAGCAGAGGACAGCTGATAACCTTAGCCACTCAGGCCCCTCTCTGACCCATCAGTTTTCCAGTAAAAACACATCCTAAGTTCTAGGTCAGGTGCAGCTCATCCCTGATTCTGGATGCTCCAGTCACCCTCAGGTGATGCCTGTTTACATCTGAGACTGACCAACAATGTCACATCACTCCTGAGGGTATAAGGTGGCCTGTCGAGGCAGCAGGAGGACCCCAGGCTTCTGGACCAAGATGACTTAGCTTTAAATCCTAGCAAGAAATCTTACTAGGTCCATGACTACGGTGGTGTTAAAATGTGTCCATGCATTCTTTAACACTTCCTTCAAAAGTTAAAACTTAGTTCTCCTTCCTTTGGGTGTCTGCTGGATTTAGTGATCCACTTCTAGCAAACAGAATAAAGTGGAAATGATGGCATGTGACTCCCAAGACTAGGTCCAAAGCTTTGACTTTGCTGTCTGTCTTGGATCACGCACTCTGGGGAAAGAGTTGCCATGTCATGAGGATGCTCAAGCAAGCCCAAGGAGAGGGTCCCGTCGACAGAAAACAAAGCCCTGAGGCCTCTTGCCAGCAGCCGTGTGAGTGAACCATCCTGGACACAGGTCTTCAGCTCCACCAAGCCTCCAGATGCCTGTGGCACCAGCCGACATCCTGACGACAGCCTCATGGCAGCCCCTGGCCCAGAGCCACCCAGCGGTTCCATTCTCCAATTCCTGACCCACAGAAACTATGAGATAATAAGTGTTTGTTGTTGTAAGTTGCCAAGTTGCTATAAATTTAATACACAGCAACAGATGACTAAACAGTATCCTGGAGCACATCACTTCACCTCACCATGCCTCCATTTCCTCACCTGTAAAACAGAGTTAATAAGAACATATGTATACTGCTGTTCAAAAGATTAAAAGAATTAGTAATTAGGAAGCACTTAGCACAGTGCCTGGTGTATATTAAACTTTCAAAAAATATCAGCCTTCATTTTGTTTACTATTATTTATTATAAAGGGTTTATTATTTGTTTCCATAGACCCCAAATAAGGCCAAACTCAAGAGGCTGGTCCCCTATCCAAAAAGGTGTTCACGGGTTGTTGCATCTGCCACCAGAAGCCTAGATACTGATACTGTGATTGCTGAAAGCCGTTGCCATTATTTCTTCTCTCTCTCTCTCTTTTTTTTTTTCTTGAGACGGAGTCTCGCTCTGTTGCCCAGGCTGTTAGTGCTCGGCACCATCTCGGCTCACTGCAACCTCCACCTCCGGGGTTCCAGCGAGTCTCCTGCCTCAGCCTCCCGAGTAGCTGAGATTACAGGTGTGCACCACTATGCCTGGCTAATTTTTGTATTTTTAGTAGATACGGGGTTTCACCATGTTGGCTAGGCTGGTCTCGAACTCCTGACCTCAGAGGATCCACCCGTCTCGGCCTCCCAAAGTGCTGGGATTACAGGCATGAGCCACCGCTCCCAGCCCACTACTTCTTTGAGAAAGAATTTTAGTCTAATGGTTCCTAGCCTTTACCAAGAGCGTGATGCTTGCCTCAATAACAATAACAGCAATCATAACAAAAGAGGTAGCCGCTATCACATACCAAGCTCTTCCTCTAAGTGTCTTACATAGATAAATCCTCCCATGTGGGAGTACTGGGTCCAGTGACAGATGAGGGACTTGAAGTGCAAAGGACGGAGGGCTATGTCCAAGGTCCCGCAGTGAGTAAGCCACAGAGCCAGGACCCAAACCTGCTCTGTCTGACCTCAAAGCCACTGCTAAGAGGAACTTCAAG
This sequence comes from Homo sapiens, assembly GCF_000001405.40. NCBI lineage: Eukaryota > Metazoa > Chordata > Mammalia > Primates > Hominidae > Homo > Homo sapiens. The sequence goes on along the minus strand of NC_000005.10, from coordinate 174,143,151 downwards.
AGCAGACCCTGTTCTTACCTCCAACCTCGAGAACTCCCAGAAAGGCAAGTGTTGACTGTGGCAGGAACTGAATGCCAGCTCTGAAGTCAAAGGCACTGGTTTTTGGAGATGCCACACCTTTTGAACACCCTCCTGCCTGCACTCCAGGGACTTGGAGCCTCCAGGGGCTTTCAGAAGCCGGTGGCCCTGTTTTGCTGTGAGGAGCAAACTCCTCAGCCTGCTCTCCATCCGAGGCCCCATTTCTGTACTGAGGCCTCCAGAGCTGAGCAAGACCAAAGGCCCTGGAGAGAATGAAGCTCCGTAGCATCATCTCCAGGTCCTCTGGTGCTCCCCTCCCTGAGGTGTCACAAAGGCCCATGGTACAAGAAAGCACTTCCAATGCAGAGTGCTGCCACAAACACCTTCCCGGAACACGCTCATTGGCCAATTCCAACTTCACTTCCCCACCTGGGAGACCCCCCTAGGGGTGGCTGTCTGAGCCTGGAAACCAAATAGTGACCTTTCAAATGGTTATCAAAAACCCCATCATCTTGTTTGTTTGTTTGTTTGTTTGAGAACGAGTCTCGCTCTGTCGCCAGGCTGGAGTGCAGTGGCGCAATCTTGCCTCACTGCAAACTCTGCCTCCCGGGTTCAAGCAATTCTCCTGCCTCAGCCTCCTGAGTAGCTGGGACTACAGGCGTCCGCCACCACACCCAGCTAACTTTTGTATTTTTAGTAGAGACGTGGTTTCACCATGTTGGCCAGGATGGTCTCGATCTTTTGACCTTGTAATCCACCCGCCTCAGCCTCCCAAAGTGCTGGGATTACAGGCGTGAGCCACCGCGCCCGGCCAGAAAACTCCATCATCTTTTATAGCCCTTTGTCCTAGGTCTTATCAGTGTAGGGATGACAGAACGTGGAGGAAAGGCTCGGGCACTCACGTGAGGCTCAGCATGTTAGATTTTAAAGTTCACGCAGCAAAGCATGGGCCAGCTTTCACACACCTTTCAACCTGGCAAGCAGGCTTGCAGAGCTCTCACCGAGAAGAAGGTGGAGCTTTCTTGCCGATGTTGAGGAAGTGAAGAAATGAAAGGTCTCCCATGCACCTAAAAAATATCTTGTTCCCACGGTGTTACAATGAGGAGTCCAGAACCTAAGAGGGGACAGCAGAGCCCCACATCCTCCCTCCCATCCCTCAGTCTCCTCTGTCTCCTTGCAAGGGAGGCGAGATGCTCATCCTCTCCTCGCCTATCTGCTGATAGAGCTTACTACTTCCCAAGACAGCCCTTTCTGGAACCTAGATTTGGGAATGAGAACCTGGGGTTGGATATTGGGTTCAGTTGTGTGACCCCGGAAAGCCACTGCACTCCGTGGGTTCCAGTTGCCCTTCCTACAGACAGGGCTCGTGATCTCACAGTGCTGCAGAGACTCAAATACGGCATTGGCTACTAATATGCTTTAGAAATGGCAAAAGGTAAAGCAGCAAAAGGGAAGGCGAGGGTTATTTTTGTCATAATTACTGTTATTATGAGGATGTCACACGGCACTCATTGTTCCGGAGCTTCCCCTGATATTGAACCCACATTTGCTCCCCTCTGGCACCTACTCACCAGGTCTCTCCACCCATAGGGTAATTACAGTGGTTGTGATGAGAAAGATAAGCATTTGTCAGCTTTGTTAAGACTTGAATCCAATCTGAGAATGGCCATTCTGGAAAACATAAACCCAGGGGTACTCACTTATGACCTTGCTACCAGTCACGAGGTCACATGCATCAAGGAGAAGGAAGTACACTTCCCCTCCTCCTTTCTGTTGACAGGCATTCTAGTGTCTTCTACGACAGATACAGAGAGACCTCCTCAGACCACCCAACATGCATCCAGCACACACCCCCAGCACTCTGTCCCTGCTGATTTCCTTCTTTCTATAGCACTCATCACCAATGGATAGTTTCTCATTCACCTCTTTGTTTGCCTATCTGTACTGTCCTGCTACAGTGTGAGTCCCTTCCAAGCAGAGACTTTGTCTGTCTTGTTCTCCACTGAGTTGCCAGTGCCAGCAGGGGCCTGGCAGAAGAGATCCTGAATACATGCCTGTAGAATGAATTTATAAATAAATTATAACAAGGTGCAGCCTCTGCACCCTGAGAACCTCTGTATGGTGTAGAACAACTGACAAGCACACAGGCGATATGGATTCAGTAAGATTAATGCCATGAGACCAGCTGAATAAGAAAAAATAGAGACAAAACAAGACAAGGGAGGAACTCTGTCTCAGCAGTGGCCAAGAAGGCTTCCCTCGGGAGAGACTCGAGTTGGGCTTTGAGGGATGAATAGGGGTTAGCCAGGTGGAGGAGGACGTTGTGCATATAAACAGCCAGGGGGTCAAACAAGGAGATGTGTTTGCAATTGGACACGTCATTCCTTATGGCTGGAGCATAGGGTTTACTGGGAATCTGCTGAGTGAGAGCTGGCCCTGAAATGCAAATTCAGGATGAGTGGCCCTCATCTCAAGAGCAGCAGGAAGTTCTGAGAGCTTCTGAGCAGGAGTGTGGTGAGGTCAGATTTACAGTTGGGAAGATCACTTTGGGGCAGTGGGGAGGAGAGAGGGAAAGAGAATGCAGGCAGGAGATCAGGGTGGGAGTAGGGCAGGAGAGGGGTGGAGTGTCCTGAACTAGGGCCTGGGAAGGAAGCTAAGGAGACCTGGAAATGAGGAGGCAGGAATGAGCTTCTAGAGTCAAGGTGAGAATGAAATTAGGAAAAAGAAGAACTAAGAAAAATTTAAATGAAAAACAACTGTGTGATACTAGCACAGGCCTAGATTCCCAAGGGAAAACGGGAGGGGAGGAAACAATCACATGTGGATACCTACTATGTGCCAGGCGGTTACCATCCACTGCCTCGCTCAGTCCATGAGTGGGGCGTTCCTACCTCCATTTCATAGATGAAGAAACTGAGGCTCAGAGAAGTTGAAAAATCTATCCAAATTTTCACATGTAGGAAAGGAGAGAGCCGAGAATCAAATCTGGTTCCTTCAGACATCAAAACCCAAATTCCTTACACTATACCACCTACCTCCCAGAAAACTCAAGGGGACAAGTATGGGAAGAAAGGGAAGAGAGGAAAGTAGTGAGAGACAAAACCGTGCTGCCCCAGAACTCGGCCTCTATGGAATTCTTCCTTTCTCATTGCCAAGCTCAGTCTTGTCTAAATGTCAATAGTAAAGAGAACAAGTTGCCCTTTTTCTTCCATGCTAATTATGTTCACATTAAAATTTTTTTAATCCTTCCCCATTCCTGGATTCAGGCACTATTTTCCTTTTTGTTCATGTAAAGTGAGATTGTGGAGGCCTAAACTCTGACCTACTTTCTCTCTCTTTTTTTTTTTTTTTTTTTTTTGGCACCAATTGTTGGCAAACCTTGGCTTCAAAAGTGAGAATTTCTGAACAGATAGTCTGAGCTCTTAAAAGGGAAGAGAAAGCTGTCCACAGTGGCTCACGCCTGTAATCCCAGCAACTCGGGAGGCTGAGGTGGGAGGATTGATTGAGGCCAAGAGTTTGAGACCATCCTGGGCAACATAGTGAGACCTCATTTCTGAAATAATTTAAAAATTAGCCACATGCATTGACTCATGGATTTAGTCCCAGCTACTTGGGAGACTGAGGTGGGAAGTTCACTTGAGCCCAGAAATTCAAAATTACAGCGACCTATGATTGTACAACTCCACTTCAGCCTGAACCACAGAGTGAGACCTGTCTCTGTTAAAAAAAAAAAAAAAAAAAAAAAAAAGGTGACCGGGAGCGGGGAGGTGGAGTGGAAGAAAGAGCTCAGATATTAAAACCCAAGAAAAGGCTATTCTTCCAGGCACCTTCTGTGCAACATTGTTGAATCATAATTTATCACCATTCCCATTTTACAGATGAGAAAACTGAGAGTCAGAGGTGAAATTATTCACACAGGATCACACTAGTAAGTGAAGACCAAGCCTGTCACATCCATCATGAAATACGGCTCACGTGGGCTTTTCATGTGGCACGGGCTATGACTGTTGAGCACAATATGGGGACTCAATAAATGTTTGCAAAATGCAGTAGATGGATGAGTGTAATCTTTTTCACTCTAATGACAACTTTTTATTTGTATCTTCATTTCCAAGTATAGCTCATGATACCTAATTGTTATTTCATCAAAATTTTTTGAGAAGACTGACAAATCATGTTGTAACTGGTGCAGAAAGGTGGAATAGTTGAATATTGTACCCCAACATTACACCCACAAAACAGGGCCATTCCAACCCTGCAGACCTCAATTGACAAAGGGTGGATGTCATGAAGGTGGGCGGGCACAGAGCCACCGTGGAGAAGACAGGCTGCTCGCTCATCAAAGCCATCTCTCTCCCCAGCTAGGCACATAGGAAGACTCCATTTGCACCCAGCTGGGGCCACGTGCCTGATAAAGGGAATGACAAGGACAAAGTCCTTGAGGCAGAAATGAGCAGGGTGAGCATTTGATGAATGATAAGAAGGATGTGGTATAAACACACCGTGAAATATTATGTAGCCATAAAAAGGAAGGAAGTCCTGCCATTTGCAACAACATGGATGAATCTGGAGGACATTATGTTAAGTGAAATAAGCCAGACACAGAAGGACCAATAATTTATAATTCCACTTATATCTATATCTAAAATAGACAAACTCATAGAAGTGGAGAATACCATAGTGGTTGCCGGGGGTTGGGGGAGTGGAAAATGGAGAGTTAGTTGTTCAATGGGTAAAAAGGTTCAGTTATGCAAGATGAACAGTTCTAGAGCTCTGCTGTGCAATGTTGTGCCTCTAGTTAGCAATATGGTATTGGGCCCTTCCGAATTTGTTAAGAGGGTAGATCTCATGTGAAGTGTTCTTACCACAAAACAAGAAGAGCAAACAAAAACAAAGCAACACATGAAAGCTTCGGGGGGTAGGCTGACTATGTCAGTCACCTTGATTGTGGGGATGGTATCACAGGTGTTTGAAGATGCCCCAAACTCATGAAATCATACACATTAACTATGTGCAATTCTTTATCAAGAACACCCCAATAAAGCTGTTTTTGAAATGCATATTTTTGTGTTTTGGATCCAAAACAAACTGCTCCTTTTGCTTTGGAGGTAGGATAATCTTTGCAAATTACAACTGGTATTCTACACCCATGTTACTTTCTCTGCTCTCTCTCCCCCCTTACCCCTCCCCCTCAGGACTGTTCTGGAGCTTAAAGCAGAGAAAAGGGAAAAACCTAAATTCTTAGCGGAGGGAAACCCCTTACAGCACACAAAACATTTAGGAGAAAACATGAGGCTATACAAACAAGGCCTTCCCCTCCTTCATAGCTCGACCCCTCAAGTCTGAGCAGATTTCTCCAGACTTGGAGCAAGAAGGTATCAGAGGAGAATCAAGATACTTCAGGGGAGTCTTAGAGAAAGTGCATTGATCTCTGCTCCAGGCAGCCCCAGGAAGGGATAAATACCTTCAAGAGGTTTGAGGGATCCCAGGGCAGAGACCTCACAGGAGTATAAGGAGGGTGAAAGAAACCACAAAAGCCAAAATGCATGGTATGTCTTGGAAACAAGGCCCCAGACAGGCTCACACAGATGTGCTGGTGGCCAGGGGCTGCAGAAGCAATGAAACGGCATCCGAGCACCCAGCCAGCACCCAGCACAGCCCGCACATCTGAGAGGGCGGCCTTGACCCATTCTCTCTGAAGAATGAGCAGATACTAGGCTGGCCCTTCAAAACCTAAGTACAAGGGAGATGCCCCACTAGTGTAGCTCTTTCTACTTTTATGTTTCTCGCCATCCTCATACCCTGGACCTAGCCACCACCTCTCCTCTGAATTGCCACAGCAGCCTCCTAACTTACTCCCACCCTCACCCTGTTACAGCTGTTTCTTCCCACAGCAGCCAGAGTGATCCTTTCAAAACATAGGTTAGGTTGTGTCACTCCTCCTCTGCTCAGAATCCCCCAGCATCCCCTCGTCTCACTGAGCCCAAAAGGCCAATCCCCTCTGTGACCTACAAGGCCCTACCTGCCCACCCCTCGGGCCTTGTCTCCCCCTTGCTCACTCAGTTCCAGCCACCCCACCCTCCGGGCTGTCCCTCCAACATACGGAGCTCACACTGGGGCCTTTGCACATGCCCTGGAGTGCTCCTAGGCAGAACCGGGACTCACTCCTTCAATTCTTTCAGGTGTTGGCTTAAACACCACCTTAGCGTCCTGTCCATCATCGCCCCCACTCATTCACTCTCCACACTCTGATCGCCATAACTCATCACCTGACAGATGTTTACTGGATTATTTTCTATCCTCCATCTTCATCCCTATTAGAATGCAGCTCCAAGAGCATGATTTTGTCTGTTTCTTTTATGTCTGTATCTCAAACACCTAGGACAGCACCTGATGCTTCAGATGTGATCAATGAGTTTTTATTGAATGAGCAAATGGCCCACGTCGACAGATAACCAAGGGCCAGTGGACTGGAATCCTGAGTCTTGAATGGATGTTACCAAAAACTGGAGAAGCCAGATCCTCAAGGTGTGCGTAGTATTTGAGACCTCTAGATCTTAGATGTCACCCTGGGAGAAAGTAGGGGAACATTTGATTGTGTCCACCACCCTAACATGGAGGCTAGAAGTAGAAGTCATGTAAGTTATAGAAAATGAGGCTATGTTTCTTGCACTGTCTGTGGCCTGGGAGCCATAGCAGGTGCTCTTTCCTGGAAGCACAACCCCCAGCCAGTTGGTGATGACCCATCGACAGTCCTGATGGCCTTGCTCTTGGACGAGCTCACCTGTTTCTCTCCTTCCTGCACACTGGAAACAGGACTCAATCCTTTCTATGTGTTGGCCCCTGGGCTGGGTGGGCAGTAGGTCACTATCAATAATAATTATTAGACTTTGCGGAGCATTTACAGTTTCAGAAATTGTACTAAAGGCCTTTCCTAGATCATCACCTTTAATCTTCCCAACTACCTTGTAAGGTTTGTAAGGCTTTCACTGTTATTAGCCACACATTACAGACCATCCCTGACCTTGAAGCATGCCGAGTTCCATGGAGGACACAAAGACATGAATCCATAATAACCCATAATAACCATATGGTGGGAGCTCAAATAGAAGGAAGCACAATGCTGCAGGAACACAGATGGAAAGCTGATTAATTCTCTTTAGGGTGGGGGTCAACAATTCTACATCCCGCAGCTACCACAGCTCTCCCAGCTCCTTGTTTTTAAGGGCCTCTGAGCCTGCTGTTCCCTCTCTTGAAGACACTCCGTCCTTGGTTTTTCAAATGGCCAGCTCCTCCCCTTTCATCTCCAATCACTCTCTCACACCTCCACCAAAAGTAAAGCCCCTTCTCCCCATCTCCATTATTTCCTAGGACAGTAGTTGGTCCATTTCCTTATCTTGTTTGTGTGTTTCCCATCTCCTTCACTAGAATGTGAGCTCCCTGGGGCAGAGAAACCGCCTGCCTTATTCATCACTGTATCCTCAAAACCTGAATGAGTGATTGACACAACATAGGTGCTCACTAAACATGTATTGAACAAAGGCCTGCATAAGCACATAAGCAAGTTAAGTAACTGAAATTATAAGAGGCTCAATAGGCTGGGGGAAGGCAGAGAGGGAAGAGGAGAACATTCCAGATAGAAGAGAATGCTTAGGCAAAGCTGGAGAGAGTTTGCCAGAACTCTGCAGAGGGGGCCTAAGGCCTTTCAGAGGTATCCTCTGCATCACTCCATTCAGGGAACCTCATGGTCAGTATCTCATAACCCTCCTGGCGAACACATCTTAGTGGAGTTCTTAAAACACTCTAGATTCTCCTTGATGTGTGATGAATGAATTAATGAATGGGAATCATCCCAGCAGAGCAAATGAGCAGCTGCATAGGGTGGTGCTGCCTCTCCAGGCATTCCCTTCTCAACAACCAGTCTCAGTAACTGGTTAGTTCATTCTTTTTCTCAGTAGCCTGTTCACTGGAGATTCTAATGCCAGGCAGACCTGGTTTGGAACCCCAGCTTTGCTACCATGGGCAAGGTGCTCAGCCCCTAAGCCCCCATTTCTGTACCTGCAAATGGAGTTAACAATACCTCAATGGTTGCTATGAGGATTAGGTGAGATGAGGTCTGTGAAGTCCTCTGAATAATGGTTGGTACAGAATGAGGGCTTAATAAATAAGAGATGGATGGATGGCTGGATGGACGGATGGATGGATGGAAGGATGATGAATGGATGGATGGATGATGAATGGATGGATTGATGGATGGATGGAAAATGGATGATGAATGGATGACTGGATGAATGGATGGATGGATGGATGATGGCTTGATAGATGATTAATGGATGGATGGATGGATATTGATGGATGTATGATGAATGGATGGATGGATGGATAATGAATGGATTGATGGATGGATGGGTGGATGGATGGATGATGGATTGATGGATGATGAATGGATGGATGGATGGATAATGGATGTATGTATGATGAATAGATGGATGGATAATGAATGGATGGATGGGTGGGTGGATGATGGGTGAATGGATGGATGATGGATGGGTGGATAATGGATGGATGGATGGATGGATGGATGATGGGTGAATGAATGGATAATGAGTGGATGGATGGATATATGATGAATGAATTGATGAATGGAAGATGGATGATGGGTAAATAATAAATGAATAGTTATTTTTGATGAGATTTTGGGATTTAGCAAATTTAGGACAGCTAGATGCAAGACAGGGTGCACATCCTCCTCCCCAAGCATCCTGAGAGGTAGTGCTTTTTAAAAGCATAGATGTGAGCTGAGAAGGAGCCTTACCCTCATACCTACCCTCTGGGCAGAACTAGAGCAGGAGTTTGGAGGGCACAGGCCAGGGATGAGGATGTGATGATCTCCATCCCCCTGTCCTGTCCTCACCCCAAAGTGGAAATAGCCAACACAGCCAGAGGGCTGCCTCTGCCCCACAGGGGCAGGGGGCTTGAGGCTGGCCCTCAGAGAGCTTGTTATACCTTTGCAGATATAGTTTAGTAGATGAGAGAGTGGGCTCTGGAGCCCAAATGTCAGGGTTTGAAAGTCAACTCTGCTTCTTACTGAGTGTCCTTGAGCAAGTGGCATGACCCCCCAACATGCCTTGGTTTCTGAATCTGTAAATTGAGAATAATAACAGCACCTGCCTTATTGGGTTGTTTTACGGATTATTGAGTTCACATATAGAAAGCATGAGAATGATACCTGGCACACTGTAGATACCCAATAGATGTTGGCCAAGAGTAAAAATGAAAAAAATGTGCCATTGGCTGGGCGCAGTGGCTCACACCTGTAATCCCAGCACTTTGGGAGGCTGAGGCAGACAGATCACAAAGTCAAGAGATCAAGACCATCCTGGCCAACATGGTGAAACCTCGTCTCTACTAAAAAATACAAAAATTAGCTGGGCGTGGTGGCACGCACCTGTAGTCCCAGCTACTCAGGAGGCTGAGGCAGGAGAATCACTTGAACCTGGGAGGTGGAGGTTGCAGTGAGCCGAGATCGCGCTACTGCACTCCAGCCTGGAGACAGAGCGAGACTCCATCTAAAAAATAAAAATAAAAAGATGTGGTATTATACACCTAGCCCTTACTTAGCATCCACTCTCTTCTAGGTCCTGAATGTGGGAGATAGAGAGATAACCAAGAAGTGATTGGAGCCCCCATGTGGCTGCAGCATAGTGTGAGAGGCAGCTGGGTAAACAGACAGTTGGCCCCCACTCACGTGGCTGCCATGATGGGAGAACTATTAACAGGCTGTGAGCACCCGTGGCAAGGGCACCCAACTCAACCACACAACCCAGAGACCCTTCCTGGAGGAGGCGATGTACCTCAAATGGCAAGGGGGCTGAACCAGGAGGAGGAGAGGGGAAAAGCATTCCAGGCAAAGGCAATGTATGCGCAACAGCCCGGAGGCAAGAGAGAACTTGGCACAACCAGGACCTGGGAGGATGAGAAATACACAGACAAGTTGGGAAGTGATCATTGATAGGACTTTGAAGACACACCCCATGGAGGACAGGAAAGCAGACAGCAGCAGGTGTCAAGGAGTATAGTAAGAGAGATGGAAGCCTAGATAAGCAATAATAATACCTGGGAGGCAGTGGGAGGAGGCTGTGGCCGAGGTACACCCAGCAGCTGGAGGGTACCCTGCGTGAGCATGTGAGAAGAGTTGGCGAGAATTCTGAGCAGACACAATGACTGCAACAGCTTTCTTTCCTTCCACCAAGAGGTAGCATGGCATGGTGGCATGGCAGTTAACAGTGCTGGCTCTCAATTCAAATCTTAACTCTGCTGCTTAGCAGCTGTGTGACCTTGGCCAAGCACTAAACCTCTCTGTGTTTCTCATGCAATTGCAAAAAAGATTTAGAAAACCGTTAGCATATTTAATGCACTTAAACCAGACCTAGCACAATGCTCTACCTGTTATGTGTGACTATCCATTTATTTAGCATACCTGTGTCAGGCTCTCCTGGCTGCCAGACCCAGTTCTGATCACTGGAGACATCGTAAAAACCTAAACAGACAAGATTCTTGCCTTTATGCACCTTGTATCCTAGTGAGGGAAGACAAGCAATAGGCATATAGACAAATAAACGAACATGATAGATGATATGTGCTAGCAATAATTGCCATGATAGAAATGAAACAGGGTGGCAGGGTGGTGAGTGACCCGGGAAGAGTGGCCTGTATGGCATGCACAGCAAAGCCCCTTTAGAGGTGACATCTGAACTAACTCCTTGAGTGTGAGGAGAAACCAACTGGGGACAGAGAGTTTTGAAGGTTGTCAATGGCAGGCACAGTGACCCCAGGGCAGTGCATGAAAACTCAGCCCAAGGCTTCCTGTAAGGAAGTCTTCCAAGACCCTCCCTAAGCTGGGAACCCACTTGGCAAGTTCAAAGAGGAGAAAGAAGATAAGTGTGGCTGGAGCACAGTTCACACAGAAAACAAGGCAGGAGAGAATGTTGGAGAGAAACGGTATTTGAGCTCTATCCCATATGCAGTAGGAGCCACGACAGGTTCTGCTTTGGGGAGTGACATAGTCAGATGCAGTGTATTAGAAAGACCACTCTCCCATGCAGCTGTTCAGTTGAGCACTGCGTGGGTTTCTAAGGCTGCCGTGACAGGGCACCACAAACTGGGTGGTTTAAAACAAGAACGTATTGCCTCACAGCACCAGAGGCTGGAAGACAGAAATCAAGGTGCCTGCAGGGCTCTGGGGAAATCCTTCTGAAACCTGCAGAGAAAGTTTCTTCCTGGCCTCTTCCAGCTCCTGGCTAATTGCTAACAACCTTTGTCATTCAGTGGCTTGCAGCTGCCACCCTTCAATCCTCACCCCCAATTCTCACGTGGAGTTCTCCCCTCCCAGGCCTGTGGCTTCCCATGGCATTTTCCCCTTCTTATAAGGACACCAGCCCTTTTGGATTACGGCCATCCTAATGACTTCATTTTAACTTGATCATGCGTAAAGACCCTCTTGTCAAATAAGATGATATTCACAGGTGCCAGGGATAAGGACCTCTGCAAATCTTTTTGGCCAGGGTTGGGGAGGGGGTCACAATTCAACCTATGACGTGTGTGTCTAATATCAGAGTTGTTTTTGACCCAAATTAGCAGGAATCTGTAGGCCAAAAGATACAGCCTTGATGCTGGCCAGGAAGAAAAGTTAAAGACCTGTGAGAGCTGTTTTTGACATATTCTAAGCACAAGCATTCGCCTTTAAGGCCTCGTCAAAACAGTACCTGGTGGGGTTTGTTGCCTGACTCCAAAGAGCTGCCACCTTCCTGCTGATTCTTATGAATCAATGATCTTTACTCAAGGACTGTAAAACCCCTGAGACTGCACCTTCCTAGGATGCCCAATGGTCCCAAACTGAGGGAAGGGTTTCATGGAATGTGGTACTTCCGGTGTTCAAACTGGGACAGTCCCAGGCAGGCTGAGACAGCTGATCACACTGATTTTTACCTGTGCAGTCTCGGGAATTGCTTTCTTTCTGAGCACCACTTCCTTCACTGAGAAAGTGGGGCCCAGCCCTGTACGTGCTGCCTGCCGATTGCAAATAAGGCTCCTTGGGACAGCCCGTCACCTTCCTGATCTGTTTCCCAACTACCAGACCAAAAGGTAATATCGGTGCCTTCGAACGCTACTGTTATCTCAGCCGTATCATTGAGCATATCTACTACCATTTACTTCATACTTTTTTAAAATGGACCAGAGAGGTTTACTTAAAACTTTTTAAGTAAAAAGTTTTATTTTATTTAAAGAGTTTATTTAAAGAGGAAAACATGAAGGACATAATGATGAGGGGTCCATAGTGATCAGGAGTGGGAACATCTTTGGTAAAAAACAGAACATAAGTGAGCCTGTTTGTTTTAGAACATGGTTGTAGAAACAGAGGGTTGGGACAGAGCAGAGTATTGGAATCAAATAGGGAAAGAACTCAGAGATCCTATCATTGGACAGGCTTATTTTTATCCATGAAGCAACAGAAGAACCCAAGGGAGGTACACAGAGGTGACTCGTCCAAGGCCCCCCGACGAGTCTGTGGCAGAACTGGAACCCAGGCTTTTTGGCTGTGAGTTCAGTGCCCTGCCCCACCTTTCATCTCATTTTCACTCTTTTCTGCTCAGACCTCTAGTGAGACCTTGTGGAGTTCAGTATAACATCTAAAGATGAGTCTTATTCCTCTCTGAGCCTTTGTGTAGGTCAAATAGATACATTCCCAGGCCTTGGTCCTTGCAGTGGCCAACTGCTACATGAATTGAGAGTTTGGGAAATGAAATCTTTGTCGCTGTCATGAGTATTTATTTTCCTCAATAAACTCTGGTATTGTATTACGAAAGCCCTAAAGTATTGATATTCATCACGATTTGGAGTCCACAGGGAATCAAATTGTTTGCACAAATCCCAGTTTATAACTCAGAGATTAAAAATAAACTGCCGTATTTCGGTTCAAACTTCAAACGAAAACCTTTTATTCAGTCTGGGTCAGCCCGAATTCTGGCCTTCACTGAGATATAAATATTATTCGCTTTCTTCTTGGGTCCAGAAATTCATTTCATTAAGTCATCTTAGCCATTTTGTAAAGGCTAATTTAGCATGGCAGCATGTGGAATATTAGGGAACCTGCTCAAGTGTGTTGCCCAAATGTTTATTTGCAGTAAAACATTCACACACTTCGTCATGGACACACCAATAATTTTATCCTCTATGGACAATCCAAAGGAAGCTCATTATTTTCACACCAAATCTGGTGCTCCTCATGGGTTCCCGGTCCTGGTAATGCCGGCACAGTCCACTTAGGTGTGCAGAAACACAAGAAGTATTCTAGATGCATCCCTCTCCTTCACCCTCCACATTCAATCCATCACTCATCCCGTCATTTCTGCCTCCTCCCACGTGTCCCTTAAATCTGTTGGAATCACGTTATTTCTAGACTTGGCTCAAGTCTTATCTTTTTTCTTTTTCTTTTTCTTTTTCTTTTTCTTTTGTGTGTGTTTGTTTGTTTGTTTTGAGACAGGTCTCACTCTGTCACCCAGGCTGGAGTGCAGTGGTGTGATCTCGGCTCACTGCAACCTCCGCCTCCCAGGCTTGTGCGATCCTCCCCTCCCACCTCAGCCTCCTGAGTAGCAGAGACTACAGGCATACCCCACCATGCTTGGCTAATTTTTTGTGTATTTTTTGTAGGTACAGGATCTCACCATGTTGCCCAGGCTGGTCTTGAACTCCTGATCTCAAGCGATCTGCCCACCTCAGCCTCCCAAAGTGCTGGGATTACAGACGTGAGCCACTTATCTTTTTGCACCCAGGCTTTTCTAGTAGCCCCTCACTGGGTTCTCTGTCCCAGTCCACTCCTGTCTCTACTACCTAGACTTGTGGTCAGACATCTTCCAAGTGTCTGCCTAGACGCTCTGTTTCTTTATTTTAAATTTCTCTCCTTCCTCCCTGATTCTTTTTTTTGTTTTTGTTTTTTGTTTTTTGTTTTTTGAGATGGAATCTCACTCTGTTGCCCATGCTGGAGTGCAGTGGTGCAATCTCAGCTCACTGCAACCTCCACCTCCTGGGTTTAAGCAACTCTTCTGCCTCAGCCTCCAAAGTAGTTGGGGCTACAGGTGCCTGCCACCACACCCGGCTAATTTTTGTATTTTTAGTAAAGATGGGGTTTCACTATGTTGGCCAGGCTGTTCTCAAACTCCTGACCTCAGGTGATCTGCCCGCCTCGGCCTCCCAAAGTGCTGGGATTACAGGCATGAGCCGCTGCACCCAGCCTTCCCTGATTCTTTATTAGACTGAACTCTCTTAGCACCCAGCCTACTATGTCTCATACACATCTTTAAATATGCATTGATTCTAATGAAATAGGTAATATAGCTTTGTGTGTGATGTATTTAATTTAGATACATTGTGCCATGGGGTTAATTTCATTGGATTTCCTACTTGCTTCCCAGTTTTGTTGAATGGAGACCTTTCCATGCAGCTGTGTGTACACCTAATTTATGGTTTCTGGCTGTTACATAGTATCCCACACAGTGTGTATCCACCACATTGTACTTGTCCTTGCCCCTAATGACAGACACCCAGGTTGACTTCAACGCTCTCCTCCACTTCCACACAGAGCCTAGCAACACCTACCGTAGTACATCTTCCTTTGCAGACATTGGAAAGAATTGATCCGGATTGTATACCTAGGAATGTGCTAACTGGGACATAGGGCACAGGTGTGCTTAATTTTGCTAAGTGTTACAGGTCACCTTCTAGAAGGGATAGCATTAGGAGATATAGCTAATGTAAATGATGAGTTAATGGGTGCAGCACACCAACATGGCACATGTATACATATGTAAAAAACCTGCATGTTTTGCACATGTACCCTAGAATTTAAAGTGTAATAATTAAAAAAATATATATATATAGAAAAATCAAAAAAACAAAAAAAAGAAAGACTCTGCCAAATTATATTCCAGCTTCAGAGTAGGAGAGCTCTGGTCTCCCCACATCCCCACCAGCACTTGGTGTTGTTCACATGCTAATGTTTGTCAAACTCATAGATCCAAATGGATTATCTCATTGCCGTTCGCATTTTTGTGCCCTTCATTACTAGTGAGTTTGGGCCTCTCTTCACATATTGTTTAGCCAGTTGGATTTTCCTTTCAGTGAAGGAACGGTCCATCTTCTTTGCCTAATTTCTTATTGAGTTCTTTTCTTTTTAATTGATTTGTAGGGGTTTTATATATATCAGAGGTATCAGTAATTTGTTGATATGAGATATTGCAAATACCTTTACTCAGTCTGTCATTTATCGGTTAACATTTCTGATGGGTTTTTTTATTAAGAGAGAATCTTCTGTTTTAATGTCAAAATCATCCACTTTTTTCTCTCTGGCTTGTCAGGATCTCTGTTTCTCTCCAAACTTACCCCAGGTCCTAAGCACATGACTGTAGCACAGACAGTCATGTGCCTCCAATGTCTTCTTGCTTTCATGGATATAAGTGATTGTGCACAGATGGGCCCCTGACCCCACTGGGACAAGGACCCCATTTCTATGGAATGTGAAATTGAGAATCAGAGCAAGCCAATCAATCATGCCCCAAGTGGCTATAAGATTTGGGAGCTATTGATGACCATTTTCTACTGTGATAAAGCTGGTCTGCAGAGAAACACCAAGATACAGTAGGCGTGTGAAGAGAAACAGAGATAGAACAGAATTGGAGGGTTTCATGAACTCTCTTTCCATTCTCTGGTCCCTAAGGCCCTGCTCCTAGAAACAGTGCAGCATCTTCCTGACCTGTATTTCTCAACCACTTTTCCAAAAGGTAATATTTGGGCATTCAAATACTACCCCTATCTTAGCCATATCCTCGCACCGCACTGCACTGCACCAACAATTTGCTTAATACTCTTCTTTAAATTGAACAGATATGTTTGCTTAAAACTTTTCATTTAAAGAAGAAACTGCATATCAAGTCTGTAAACAGAAAATTAGTAGCATTTGCTATACCTACAGGTAATGACAAAAGTAAATATAACTAAAACAGTGTAAATATTAGCTAGGTATCATTACGCATTGAAGATGGAGACACAGAGAAATGTACTAATAAAAATAGATCTAAATTGAGACCATCTCTTTAACATATCCAGATGTATAAAGATTTAGGATAAGAATAACCTTTTCTTTGTGTGACTCAATATTACTTAATGCTTTTTCCCCAACCTCCCAAGAGCATCTCCCTATCTTAGGGGTACCTTTAAAAGCTAGTGTTCTAACAAGTCCCCTCATTTCTTCCCCGATAGCCTTTTTATTTTCCTTCTCTTTAACCTACTAAAAGGTTTCTGGTCACCACAACCAAAAACATTTCACAACAAAGTGAGGTATCCGCAGGTAAATGGACCAAGTTTTCTGATTTATCATGAAGAATCAGGCTGCTGGGAAAATGGCCTACATTCCCTCCCACACTCCATTGGCCAGAATTCAGTCATCTGAGCCCATCTAGGAAGAGGTGGGAAATGTAGTCCAAAGCTCAACCACTGCTTTCTGCAACAATTCTACCCCATGGAAGACATGCATGAATCTTTTGTGAACCATGTCTGCCGCACATTGTCACTAGCAGCTAGCACACATGCTATAGGACATGTTATAGGAGCTCAGGTGAGGGAGAAAAGGAAGGAAGAGAGACAGAGGAAGAGAAGGTGCCCCATTATTTCCCTTTAAGTGGGAAAAATGCTATTCACCTTGAGTCTTCACTCTTTTAAATGAGTGTGAGCTACTTTTTCCATAGACATAGTGATGTTAGCATAACTCAGTGAAAATATAATGGTTTTACTGAACAGTCTCACTTTCACTCCCAGCATCTCTATGGCAGTATATGACATATAGATAATTCCTGAAAGGTCACCTGAAAAATAGATTTGTATAAATTAAGTCCTGTCTTCTTCTGGCCTTCATTGTGCTATCAAAGTCACTTTTCTCTGGGGACATCTTTCCAAGGCACGTCGTATTGAAGAAATCAGCTAAACATACTTAAGTGTGTGTGTGTGGATGGGAGATGGGTGTCAAAACAAACCACAGCATAAAATGTCCTAGGACTAAGAATTACGTTGGTGTTGCATGATTTCCTAAGGCTGCCTTAACAAAGTGCCACATACTGGATGGCTTATACAACAGAAATGGATTGTCTGACATTCTGGAGCCTAGAAGTTCATGATCAAGATGTTAATGGGATTGGCTTCTTCCGTTGGCTGAGAAAGAATCTGCTCTATGCGCATCCTCTAGCTTCTGCCGGCCTGCCATCAATCTTCTGAATTTCTTGACTTGTAGATACATCATCCCATCTCTGCCCTCATGTCTATGTGGTATTCTCCCCATGTGTGTGTCTATCTCTGTGTTCAAATTGGATTAGGGCCCACCCTTAACTTCATCATTTTTATAGTTCCTATCTCCGAATAAGGTCACGTTCAAAGGTACTAGGGGTTAGGCCTTCACCATATGAATTTGGGGAGGATTCAACCCATAACAGTCTTTGTCTCAAAATCAAAATGCTCAAAGGAAAAACAGTTGGGGCCATGTAAGAGAGTCAAATGCACAGCGCCAAAGTCAACCAGCCTCTGTCATGTCTGTCGCTAGAGAATAGCTGACACTTGATGGTTTCTTCAACCTTACTTCCCAAGATTTTAAATAACTACTGGCCTCTAAAAGGGCAGCCTTTGATCTTGGTGAGATTATCAAAGTTGGGTGTCAGAAGTGGGATTCCTGGGTTCTAATCCAGACTTAAGTCTAAACAATGGTGTGAATTTGCGCATGTTATTTGAGCCTCTCTGAACCAGTGTTTTCTCATCTGTAACCCAGGATGATGCATGCCTCATAAGATTAGTAAGAAAACCCAGTGAGCAAAATGCCTGATAAGTAGCTCACAGCAGGCATAATGCTAAACTCATACTGCTATCAAGTGGTGTTTAAGATGGACCAAACAAACTAGGCATAGAAGGGACATACCTCAAAATAATAAAAGCCATATGTGGCAAACCCACAGCCAACATCATACTGAATGGGGAAAAGTTGAAAGCATTCTCCCTAGGAACTGGAACAAAACAAAGATCCCCACTTTCACCACTTCTATTCAACATAGTACCGGAAGTCCTATCCAGCACAGTCAGGCAAGAGAAGGAAATAAAAGGCATCCAAATTGGAAAAGAGGAAGTCAAACTATTGCTGTTTGCCGATGATATGATTGTATGCCTAGAAAACCCTAAAGAGTCCCCCTAAAGACTCTTAGATTTGATAAACAAAATCAGTAAAGTCTTAGGTTACAAAATCAATGTACATAAATTAGTAGCACTTCTATATACCAACAACAACCAAGCTGAGGATCAAATCAAAAACTTAATCTCCTTTCTACAGCTGCAAAAAAAAAAAAAAAAAAAATGCCTTGGAATATACTTAACCAAGGAGGTGAAAGATCTCTATAAGGAGAACTACAAAACACTGCTGAAAGAAATCATAGATGACACAAACAAATAGAAACACATCCCCAGGCTCTTGGACTGAAGAATCAATATCATGAAAATGACCATACTACCCAAAGCAATCTACAGATTCAATGCAATTCCTTTCAAATACCAGCATCATTTTTCACGTAATTAGGAAAAACAATCCTAAAATTCATATGGACCCAAAAAAAGGGCTAAATAGCCAGAGCAATCTTAAGAAAAAAAGAACAAATCTGGAGGCATCACATTACCCAATTTCAAATTATACCACAAGGCTATAGTTACCAAAACAGCATGGTACTGGTATAAAAGTCAGCACATAGACCAACAGAACAGAATAGACAACCCAGAAATAAAGCCAAATGCTTACAGCCAACTGATCTTTATCAAAGCAAACAAAAACATAAATTGGGGAAAAGACACTCTATTTAATAAATGGTGCTGGGAAAACTAGATAGCCCCATGTAGAAGAATAAAGCAGGATCCTCATCTCTTACCTTATACAAAAATCAACTCAAGATGGATCAAAGGCTTAAATCTAAGAGCTGAAACCATAAAAATTCTAGAGGGTAACCAAGGAAAAACTCTTCTGGACATTAGCCTAGGCAAAGAATTTATGACTAAAACCCCAAAAACAAATGCAACAAAAACAAAAATAAATAAATGGGGCCTAATTAAACTAAAATACTTCTGTACGGCAAAAGAAATATCATCAGAGTAAAGAAACAAGTCTACAGAATGGAAGAAAATATTGGCAAACTGTGCATCTGACAAAGGACTGATATCCAGAATCTACAAGGAACTCAAATAAATCAGCAAGAAAAAAAAAAACAATAATCCCATCAAAAAGTGGGCAAATGACTTGAGTAGACATTTCTCAAAAGAAGATATACAAATGGCTAACAAACATATGAGAAAATGCTCAACATCACCAATGATTAAGGAAATGCATATCAAAACCACAATGAGATACCACCTTACTCAGCAAGAATAGCCATTGTTAAAAAGTCAAAAAACAATAGATGTTGGTATGGATGTAGTGAAAATGGAACGCTTATACACTGCTGGTGGGAACGTAAATTAGTAAAACCTCTATGGAAACAGTATGGAGGTTTCTTAAAGAACTAAAAGTAGATCTCCCATTCCCTGCAGCAATCCCACTACTGGGTATCTGCCCAAAGAAAAATAAGTCACTATATCAAAAAGACACCTGCACACATATGTTTATTGCAGCACAATTCACAATCGCAAGGACATGGAACCAACCTCAGTGCCCATCAACCAATGAGTGGATAAAGAAAATGTGAGATATATACACCACAGAATACTACTCAGCCATAAAAACAAAATAATGTCTTTTGCAGCAACTTGGATGGAGCTGGAGGCCATTATTCTAAGTGAAGTAACTCAGGAATGGAAAACTAAATACAGTATGTTCTCACTTATAAATGGAAGCTAAGCCATGGGTACGCAGAAGCATACAGAGTGGTATAATGGACTTTGGAGACTCAGGAGGAGCGGTGGCGGACGCCTGTAGTCCCAGCTACTCGAGAGGCTGAGGCAGGAGAATGGCCTGAATGCGGGAGGCGGAGCTTGCAGTGAGCGGAGATCGCGCCACCGCACTCCAGCCTGGGGACAGAGCAAGACTCTGTCTCAAAAAAAAAAAAAAAGAAAGAAAGGTGAGGGATAAAAACTAAATATCTACATATTGGGTATAATGTAAACTACTTGGGTGATGGGTGCACTAAAATCTCAGGCTTGGCAGGGCGCCGTGGCTCACGCCTGTAATTCCAGCAGTTTGGGAGGCTGAGGCGGGCGGATCACCTGCGGTCAGGAGTTCAAGACTAGCCTGAACCAACATGGAGAAACCCTGTCTCTACTAAAAATACAAAATTAGCCAGGCGTGGTGGCACATGCCTGTAATACCAGCTACTTGGGAGGCTGAGGCAGGGGAATCTCTTGAATCTGGGAGGCGGAGGTTGCAGTGAGCCGAGATCCTCCAGCCTGGGCAACAAGAGTGAAACTCCATCTCAAACAAAAAAAATATATATATCAGGCTCAAACCACTATACAGCTCATCCAGGTAATCAAAAACCGCTTGTATTCTAAAAACTACAGAAATTTTTCAAAATATTTAAAAAAAAAATAAGACAGGCCTACTTTAAAAGAGTAGTGCTGTGAACAGCCATGCCCCCAACCACCGACATATAACTAAGATTTGGCTGCGTTTCCTTTATCACATATCTTTCCATCTATCCATCCCCTCCATCCATTTCTCCCTTGTCACTTTTATGCATTTCAAAGTAAGTTGCAGGCATTGACACACTTCCTTTTAAACATTTCAGCATGCATCCCATTAACCAGTGTTCAATATTTGTTTACAGTGCCTTTTGTAGTTTGGGGTGAAATTTAATACAGTGAAATGCACAAGTCTTTGACAAATGATATCCCTGTAAAACACAAACACCTCTCAAGATACAGAACATTTCCATCACCCTAGAACCTTCCCAGTTAATTCCTCTCACCCATCCACCATCAGAGGCAGCCATTGTCCTAATTCCTATCATTCAAGACTAGTTTGGCTGTTACAAAACTTCATGTAAATGGAATGAGACAGTATGTATTCTTTGGAGTAAGGATTCTTTCACTCAGCAGAATGCGTTTGTGAATCATCCACGGTATTATGTAATCAGGGGCTCGTTCCTTCTGTTGCTGAGTACTATTCCATTATATGGATGTATCACACTTCTTTTACCCATCCTCCCACTGATGGAGGCCTGGGCTGCTTCCACTGTTTTGGCTAGTGTGGAAACACTGCTATGGATATTCTTATACAAGTCTTTGTGCAGACATGAGCTTTCCTATTTCTTTTTTTTTTTTTTTTTTTTTTTGAGACGGAGTCTCACTCTGTCTCCCAGGCTGGAGTGCAGTCGTGCAATCTCGGTTCACTGCAAGCTCTGCCTCCCGGGTTCACGCCATTCTCCTGCCTCAGCCTCCCGAGTAGCTGGGACTACAGGTGCCCACCACCACGCCCGGATAATTTTTTTTGTATTTTTGGTAGAGATGGGGTTTTATCATGTCAGCCAGGATGGTCTGTATCTCCTGACCTCATGATCCACCCGCCTTTGCCTCCCAAAGTGCTGGGATTGCAGGCATGAGCCACCATGCCCAGCCGTGCTTTCCTATTTCTTGGGAGTGCAAATGCTTGGTCATAGGGTAGGAATATGTTTGGTTCATATATATAGGTACAAACTTCCAGAAACGTTTTCCAAAATAGCTGTGTCATTCTACACTCCCACCAACAATTTTCTAAGATTTTTAAAAAGGAAGATCACTCTGGTGCCCTCTGAGGAAGACAGACCTGAAAAAAAGTGCCCAACCAGGCGGGTGACTGGCTGAAGCTTTTGCAATATTCTGGAGAAGGATGACAGAAGCTTGACAGGTACCTTCGAAGTCACAAAGACGTCGCTCATCTTTTTAAAAAGTTGATAACACAGCAGGATTTTTTTTTCTCTGTGTGCTCCGAATAATCCCAAACTACTACCAAGACACCTAACAGAGTTTAGAGAGAAAAGACCATTCTTAATTTAGACGATAATTTATTGGGACAATAAAGACCTATAAATGTAGAATATTTTAATATCCACACCACTGTACTGTTTTATTAAATCTAAAAAGGCTTGACCTATTTAATACCAGAGGGGAATCATCTGGGCTGAGAGAGATGAGGCTATTTTAGTGCTGTTTCTCTGTTCTTTCACCCTGCAGCTGCTGCAGGGAACACTGGCCTCCTTAGCAGGCCTCTCTGCAGCATGCATTTGGGCTCAGGAAGCTGAGCCTGGGGGTGGGTTCCAGCCCTCTCAATGAATCTGTGAACCTCTTAGCAAGCTTTCCTCATTCCCCTTTCCACTTATGTATCTGAGAATCATCAAATAGGTGGAGCAGACCCCAGGATGGCACACAAAGACTTAGGTTTGTTTTAGGGAATCAGTTTTCAGATCTTCAGCTTCCAAAAGCCTGGCTTCCAACACAGGGCCTCTGGCCATTACCAAGGCCTGCCTGCACTTCATTCTCACCCCGCCCCTGCTTCCCAGTCACCCTTCTCCCACTTAGCAAAAGTGAGAACTGCTTCTCATTATTATGACAGTGCTTTGGCACAGGGGGCAATGTCTCCAGGCCCAAAAAGGGGGAAAGATTTGAGAATGGACAGCTCCACCACAAAGCAAAATCAGTGAGTGAGGAATACTGAAGCAAACTGCTTGCGGGACTCCTGGCCGACTTTATTCAACCATCTATCTATCTCTGTCTGTCCGTCTGTCTGTCCAACTTAAAATTTGGAAATGGGATACTTGTCTCAAGGTCAAATATATATGAACTTGGCAATGAGGTCAGATGTCTTCCAGCAGACGGTTTGATTTGGCTGATGGTTTAAATAGACAGCCTTGCCATTTGCGCTACGTGGCAGACATTTTTTGAAATTGAAAGAGCTAAATGTGCTGCTTCAAGGTTTCAAAGAAAGTATATTTAAAGCCCATACTTAAATGCAATAAATTGTAAGTTTTATCGTTTACAACTGTTTAAATGTGTGATTGAAAAACTTCACATATCATCCTAAAAACGTGTTAAGGGAAAATGTAGTTTTTAAAATTACTGTTGTTTTAGGGGGACTTTGAGTACAATTTTTTTAAGACCACTGCCTGAGCTTATCTCCCTTCATCCAACTGGCTTCTCAAAGCATTTCTTCCAAATAAATACAGTGCTCTTCTCAGGAGGAAATCTGGCGAAATGAATTCTCACCATCTCATTGAGTGGGAGGAGGGGTGTGTAATAAAGCTGTCCCTTTGCTTTCAGGAAAGGAAATTCATTTGCAAAGAGTTCGATCAGCCACAATAAAGCTGTCTGATGGGCCCGGATGAAAGATAGGCATTTCAGGGCACCCCAGAATCACATGGTGTGCTTCTCAGCTGTCCATATTTTCCAGGCCTCAGCTGAAAGACGCTTTCTTCCCACAGCTGCAGGAAGGGATTGCAGGCCAAAGCCCAAGCAAAAAGTACCGCTTGTTGCTTTTCAACGATGCAGAATCTGAAGCCCCTTTGCCTTCTTCACTTGGAGGGCAGCACTCTCTCCAATGAGAAGGCGTCTGTCTACACCAGCAACCGCCCCCTCCGCTTACTTAAGGAATGTGGCAGGGGATGGAAGTGAACTTCGGGTTGGCTTGAGCCCAGCTTGACCAGCTTGCATCTGGGTTACTGAGAAAAGGGTCAAAGAACAACTAATTAAAAGCACCACTTCTCACACTGGAAAAAATACAATAATGACTTTAAAAGACGTTCCTCTGTTTTTCGTTCCAAATGCAATTAAATGTCAACTACCTTTGCTGATTTCCAGCTCAAATTGCTGATGCTATTTTATCTCACGCTCATGATTACAAAACAGGAGTTTGAGAGCTACCAGCAAATATGTAAGAAAGAGAGGTTGTTTTCCAGCTCATCGAGTCCAAACGAAGTTTCTCTCCTCTTCTTTTGTTCCTGGCTGGCTAACGGTTGGGTTGCTGTTGTGGGTGTGACCGTGAGCATGATGATGTTATTATTGTCTGTGGACTGTCCTCTCTGTCACCACACTGCAAAACCCCCAGCATTAGATGCTGTGGTATACTTCCTTAATAGGGTCCTCTCCAAGCTTTTTGTAACCCTATGTCCAGCCACACCAGTGTTCACTTGGTAGCTTCCTAAGGGCAGGGCCAGGCCCTCCCATCTTTTATGTCCCCACCAGCCAATCCAGGCAGTATGGGCACTGCCTGAATGACTGTGGGACATTTATAAGAATGAAAAGACTCCATTTTTGGACTGTGTTTGGCATCTGTCACTATTGCCTTGAAGGTGGGGGTCTGCATTTTGGTCATGGCTGGCTTCTCCATTCCTAGAGGCCCTGCATGTGGCTGGAGGTCAGTGGATGCTGAATTGAATAGATCCGCTCAGCTTTGTATTTATTTTATTATAATGACTACACAGTAAACAGTCATCATGTGCGGTTTAGAGAAACGGCACAGGCCGGGCGTGGTGGCTTACACCTGTAATTCCAGCACTTTGGGAGTCCAAGGTGGGGGGATCATCTGAGGTCAGGAGTTCGAGACCAGCCTGGCCAACATGGTAAAACTCCATCTCTACTAAAAATACAAAAATTAGCCAGGCGTGGTGGCATGCATCTTTAATCCCAGCTATTTGGGAGGCTGAAGCAGGAGAATTGCTGGAACCTGGGGGTCGGAGGCTGCAGTGAGCTGAGATGGCACCACCGCACTCCAGCCTGGATGACAGAGCAAGACTCCAGAAAAAAAGAAAGGAGAAAGAAAGAAAGAGAGAAAGAGAGAGGAAAGAAAGAAGGAAGGAAGGAAGGAAGGAAGGAAGGAGGGAGGGAGGGAAGGAAGGAAGGAGGGAGGGAAGGAAGGAAGGAAGGAAGGAAGGAAGGAAGGAAGGAGGGAGGGAGGGAGGGAGGGAAGGAAGGAAGGAAGGAAGGAAGGAAGGAAGGAAGGAAGGAGGGAAGGAAGGAAGGAAGGAAGGAGGGAAGGAAGGAAGGAAGGAAGGAAGGAGGGAAGGAAGGAAGGAGGGAAGGAAGGAAGGAAGGAAGGAGGGAAGGAAGGAAGGAGGGAAGGAAGGAAGGAAGGAAGGAGGGAAGGAAGGAAGGAGGGAAGGAAGGAAGGAAGGAAGGGGTACAGGGTTTGGAGTCTGTATAAAAAGTACCACAAATGGTAGCTTAAAAGGTATTTCAGCCAGAAACTAATTGTCTCGCAGTTCTGGAGGCTGAAAGTATGAAATGAAGGTGTCAGCAGGATTGGTTCTTCCTGAGGGCTGCAAGGAAGAATCTGTTCCATGCCTCGCTTCCCCCGCCCTGCCCAGCTTCTGGTGGTTTCCTGGCAATCTTTGGGGCCCTGGCTTGTAGATGCATCACCCCAAACCTCTGTCTTCATGGGGCATCTACCCTGTGTCTTTGTCTCTGCACCCAATTTCCCCGTTTCATAAGAACACCCGTCAGAGTGGATCAGAGCCCTCCCAGTGGCCTTATTTGAACTTGAGTATGTCTGTCAAGACCCTACCTCCAAATAAAGTCACATTTTGAGGAACTGAGAGATGAAGGCTGGAGCACATCTTTTGTGGGGGGCACAATCAACCCATAATAGATTTAGACATCCCTGAGTCACATCACGACTCCATGAGTTTCTAGCAGGGTGACCACGTACTCTCGTGTCCTCAGGAGGATACCTGGGCCACTTGTTTGTTTTTGTGCAATCAAATGTAAAGGAATATTATTCTTCTACTTCTACTGCATCTTAAAGTTTCAAAAAGACCTGGATCCTTTCTCAAATGATCTTCACAGCTACCCTGTGAAGATCAAGGTATCCACAGGGTTGGTCCTTTCAGAGCCTTGCAAGGAAGCATCTTGGGATTCTTATCCTCATTTTGCAGATGGAGAAAGTGAAGCTGGAAGGGTGATATGACCTGCCCATGGTCTCACAGCCAGAAAGCAGTGGAGCTGGATTCAGACCCAGTATCTGTCCGACTCGAGGCCCGGGATCCTCTACATGCTACCAATTTGCTGATAGCATCTTCATTTTCTCTCTCAAGAGCTCACTGGTCTAAATTGTGTTGGTTTTTTTTTTCCTTTTTAATTAGTTGGACAATTTGCATAGAAGGGAATAAATTACCAACATTGGAAGGCACATCTTCCTAATCAGATGTGTTTATTTAAAGCGGCGGGGGGGAAAGCCAGCCGGTGGAGATGTCAGTGATGCTGTAGTCCGGCAGGAGACTGAGACTGGGAGAGGGCTGCGAGGAGGCTGGAGGAGGCCAAGAAGGGCACAAAGGGGCCCCACACCAAGGTGCAGGGGCATTTGCCTGGCACTGGACTGCAAGTCAGGTTCACCACTCCCTGCAGGTAACCTCTCTGAGCATCCATTTCTTCATCTATTCAATGAAATAATCATGACACTCAGGTTTCCTGTCTGGAAACCCAAGTGGTTGGTGAAGTCATCATCCAATTTAAGGAACACAGGAAATGGAGCATATTTGGGGGAGACATGACAAAGGTTTTGGGGGACATGTTGAGTTTGAAGTTCCTGAAAGGATATTCAATTAGAAATAGCCAGAAGGAAGAGGTGTCTATTGGTATGAATCTCAACAGAAAGATCAGAGCTGGAGATAGATGTTTTGGAGTCATTGGCATAGAGATCATTTTTTCATCTATTGATTCAAACATCCATCCAGCAATTCACAGACAAGTAATCAGAAGATAAAAATAGGTTGTGGTAATTCTGCTAAAGAGGGATATACAGGATTCGAGGAAACTACAGTGGAGGATACTACCTAGTTTGCGAAGATCAGGGAAGACTTCCTGGAAAAAGTGATGCTTGAACTGAGTCCTGAAGTATGAACTGGAACACAGTTGATGGATGAGAAAGCTTGGAGGCCAAGGCACTTTCTGGAGAGAGCTCACCTACGGGAGAGCCAGGTTAAGCATCATGAGCCCAGCCATAGTTATAACCGATCTTAAACCAGGTATGGTGTCCACATGGAAAATGGGTTTCATTTGTGTATGGGGCAGGGCAATTCCACTGTAACAAACCCCAACATTTCACTAATAATACTGTAAAAGTTATATTTTACTCAGGCAACGGCCCAACGTGGGCAGCTTTATGTGGCTCTCGTCCACCCAGAGATTCAGGGATCCAGGCTCCTTCCAGCCTGTAGCTCCATCATCCCCTAAGGCCTGAGAGGCCTCAGCTTCCAGATATTACAGGGTAGGGAGGGTTGGTGTAGAAGAGAGACTAGAGAAGCACCTACCACTTGCTTAAAAATGACATCCTAGAAGTGACACACGTCACTTCCACTCACATTCGAGTGGTGATTCCTAGTATGTCACCAAGCTTGAAGCAAGAGGGGCCAAGAAAGAAAATCCCCCACCAGTCATGTCCTTCCTGGAAACAACTCCATGCTATGAACAGGGGTCATGAAACACTCTAGAGAGCCAGAAATCTCTGTCACTATCAGCATCAAATTGAGTAGCAGAGGGAGCACAGAGAGCTGTGCAGGGAAAGATTACTTGGCTGCAACAGGGCTCAGTGGGAAAGAGCGATGCGACTGATTTGCAGAGCCTGCCATGGGTATAGATAGGAACAGGTATAGTGTGTGTCAAGCATGACAGCCATTACTCAGATTTGTCTTCAGTGCAGCCCCCGTGGAGTCATGCGTGGGACCCACGTGGAGTAGCACAAAGGTAAGGGTGCTGTGGATAAAACAGAAAGAACAAAGAACCATTTTGGTTAAAATTCTGTGGGATACTGGAAGCAAAAGCAATCCTGCAGTGGGCCGCTGATAATGGAACGAAGTTCAAAAGAAAAAGAACACCTCTGGCCGAAGTGGAAGCATCTCCTGCGCCCAGGAGTTCAAGGCCGTATGAGCTAAAGTCATGCCACTGCATTCCAGCCTGGGTGGCAGAGCAAGACCCTGTCTCTAAAAAAATAATAAATAGAATAAATAAAATAAGAATGCCATCTTCACTTACTCCACTGGATCCTGAGGCAACTGGAAACTGCAAGAACTCCTGGGCATCTGTGGAGCTGTCCATCAGAGCCTGAGAACATCTGGGCATCCATGGAGCTCAGAGGAGCAGCCAAGTCCAGCAGGTACACACCTGTTCTTGGGCACATGTGAGAGTCCACCTGGGAGCTCCCAGAAATATCTGTAGCGGGCTGATGAGTGAGATCTTTACAAGGGGGTCAGGATCCTGCATGAGCAGATGGGAGTAGGTGTCTATGACGTGTAAGAGATTATTGTTAATAAGTCCTCATTGTTACTCTAAGTGATGAGGCCTTGGGAAACTCAGCTTAAATATAATACAACACATTGCCCCTTGCAAAAATGTTAGCCTTCAGAAAACATGAAGTGGCTTTATATATGAGCCCTTACAATTAAACACAAAGATGCTGTACTCTCAAACGCAATGTTAGTGACTCAGAAAATGTCTCTAACAATGTCAGTTCTAAATGCCAAAAAACATGTGTCTGAAGTGACTTCACATGTACACTAGAGATGAATGAATAAGTAAATATATTGTAAATAATAGAGACATATTTCCCACTGTCAGAGAAAGAAATTACAAGCAAGTGAAGAGGGAATCCTAGAAAAAACCTTATGGTTTTGCATTAGAGTAAGAGGGATTAAAATACTCATGTTTGTGAGACATAGATAGATAGATAGATAGATAGATAGATAGATTGATAGATAGATAGCTAGATAGATAGATAGATAGATAGATTGATTGATAGATAGATTGATAGATAGATAGATAGATAGATAGATTGATAGATTGATAGATAGATAGCAGACAGACAAATAGACAGATGTATACACAGGCTAGTATACATCCATAACTTCCTAGCTCTGTATACCAAGAAAGCGTGGAAGCAATGACACCCTGCAGCAGTGAGCACAGCTAACATCCAGAACTGGGTTTCTAAATGTCATTCCCTCATCAAAGGAACCAGGGCTCCCTGGGGACACAATCGATTCCAGGACTGAAAAGGGGAAAATATAAGATGAGCCTGGAGTATCTTGTGGTGCCAGAAAATTAGGAACTGTTAAAGGGATGCATCAAAAAGACACGTGAGCTAACCTGAAACAGCACTCAATGACTAATCAGAAACAATTTGAGAAACAAAATAAAAATCATATTAGATTTTAATCCAAAGAATAAGTAAATATTTATGAGTCTATACTAATATAAATAAATGATTGAATAAATAAATGTGGAGATGGGACAACTCTTCCTTATAGAGGAATTCCAGTTTATAAATGTACAAGAAATGGGGGAAATATAAAATTGCTATGAGAACACTATAACGGTAATTGCTGCAGGTAAGATCCATTGATGAACACTAAAATTAATGTGTGAAAGAAGAAATAGAATATTCGCATTGTCCTCAAAGGAACTTCCCTCAAATTTTTACTAATTACAAAGAAAAAAATGTAACTTGTAATAGAGAAACCTGGCAAATACCACCTAAACCAAGGGGTCAAGGTTAACTTTGCCAGTAATAAGACACATCAATATCTTGTACTCCTGATATGACGCTCTAAGAAGGGCACCTCCGTGAATTCTTCCTCCAAAATCCATATCTTCAGTGTGATCATGGAAAAATGTCAGACAAAATTGAGAGATAGGCTACAAAGTACCTGATCAGCACATCCAAAGTGTCAAGGTTGTGAAAGACTAGGTAAGGCAGGAATTGTCACAAATCTGAAAAGACTGAAGAGACAACTAAATGCAGTCCAAGGGCTTGGATCAGATCCTGAAACAGAGAAAGGATTTTAGTGGAAAGACTGGTGAGATTTGAATAAAGTCTGTAATCTTGTTTTATTTCATTTATTTATGTATTTATTGCTTGTTTTGAAGTGCATGTAAATAATTTAATCAAAATGGTTTTGGAAAATGTGACAGAGACCTCAAAGCAACACTTTATTTGTAATCTAAAAATGATGTATTTGTGCCCATCAATGATAGACTGGTTACAGAAAATGTGATGCATACACACCATGGAATACTATGCAGCCATAAAAAGGAATGAGATCATGTCCTTTGCAGGGACATGAATGGAGCTGGAGGCCATCATTCTCGGCAAGCTAATACAGAAACAGAAAACCAAACATGGCATGTTCTAAGTGGGAGCTGCACACCGAGAACCACGTGGACACAGGGAGGGAAACAACACACACTGGGGCCTGTCTGGGGGTGGGTGGGGTTGGGGGAGGGAGAGCATCGGGATAAATAGCTAATGCTTGCTGGGCTTAATACCTAAGTGATGGGTATGGGTCGATAGGTGCAGCAAATCAGCACGACACACATTTACCTATGTAACAAACCTGCACATCCTGTACCTGGACCCCAGAACTTAAGATAAAATGAATTTTTTTTAAGATGATGTATTTGTGTAACTAAATGTAGCAATTAAAAACTGTGAGTAGACATGAAGAAAATGGGGCAGCCTGTGGCTTTGTGTGGTAGATGTGGCATATGTGGTAGGTGACATGAGGCTGCCCTGCGAGGAATGGGACAGGGCCTGGGAGCTTCCTGAGGGCAGGCAGGAGGTAATCCGTTTCTCTGTTATAGTCACTTCAAGGCCATTGCCTTATTTTAACCCACAGCAACCCTATTGGTGGTGGGGGGGCAGTATTTACAAGTAATTCCAATTTACAAATAAGGAAGCTGAGGCAGAGAGATTGATCCACAGTAGCTACAATTTGTCCAGTTCCTGCTCTAGGTAAATCTTTAAACACTATGTCATGGAATTCTCACAAAATGAGGTAGGAACAATTCTTATTCCCATTTTAAAGATGAGGAAGCTGCGGTGTGAAGAGACGAAGGGAACTGGCAGAGGCAGGTGCAGGAGTCGCACCGGGTCCCAGGGCTGCCTACTCTCCTCCCGGGTCCAACCTCTCCTTGTGCCACCGGCCACACCCCCAACACCTGGCCCAAACCCAGCGAGGCTCTCACCAAGGGCCTGGAATTGAAAAATAAATTATGTAAGCTCAGTCCACAGCCTCTAGACAACATTCCCTCAGGAGATAGTGAGGCAGAGACAGAAAAAGAGAAAGATTAAGAGAAAGAGAGGAGACAGTGAGGAGAGAGAGGAGCGGGGAGTGTCCAGAGAGAGAGGTGCAACCACCTTTGGGGGCTACTTTGACTAATTGAACTCTAGATCTGTGTTTCCAGAAACAGGTCATTTCTGACAAAAGGACAGACTCAGATAAACAGCCTGCTGTTCTAGACTGAGTCTGATCTATGGGAAACGGCATTGACGTTGCCATGGAAACGAGTCCTTTTCTCTCCACTGTCCAGGAGTGCTATTTTTTAAAGAGATGGTATTGTGTGCTTCTTGGAAGAATTATTGGGGATCAATTTCTTCTTCTTCCACATGACTCCCCGTTTGGATTAGAGCACATTGCAGGAGTTGAGGGAAGATAAATTGACCAACAGCAGTTCTGACAGGTGGCCTTTCAATTTTCCAGAAAAAATGTGTATCTCGCTAAATACCTTCTGATCCGACCGGCCGCTGGGATGACTCCGGGCGCCATCACTGCTTCTCCCCAGTATGCAGCCATGGGCTGCTCTTTCATCTCACTCCTCCTCTCCCCCAGCCTGGACTGTGAGCCCAGGGGTACGGACTTGAATCTTTGCCTCTGGCACTGGCTTGGGGGAGGCACCCCAGCAGCCTTATGAGCAGAAGCCCCGAGCTTTCCCTCCTCCAAACCTTTACAATGCTGTCCCCATTACCTGGGAGGATGGCTCTGTGGTGTCTCTCCTCCACCCTCCCGAATTCTTCCTGTCATAGTGCAGCCCGTCCTTCAAGGCCCAGTTCCAAGGCCAGGTCCTCCCAGAACCCAGTCTGACACCCACACAGACATGCCCTCCCGCCTCAGAACTTCTTGCCACACACAGGCCCAGCCCAGCCACCCTCTCTGCACAGCCTTCATCCTGTCTTATCTGGGGGGATCTCTGGGGAGGTTCCCAATGTTGGTGAATAGATTAAAAAGCAGGCAAAACACACAAATAGAGCTTGATCTACAAACCAAGGTGCTGTTTTTAGGATCATTGCCTGGCTCCCCTGACCCTCCATCAGCCAGCAGGGCTCTGTAACACCCCATCCTGCAAAATGCAGAGGAGATGTCCCTGGCCAAACCCCCTTTGGTTAAACTCTTCTAACTGATGCCACACTCCTTGGATATATTCATGGGAAGAGTTAGGCATCATCGTCTGTTCCAATAAGGATAGCACTTGGCCCCAGAGTCACTCCTAAACCAGAAATATCTGCACCCATCTCCTGGCCCTCTCATTCTCCCTCGTTTCTACTCATACACCCATAGCCTGTTCATTCCAGAGAAGTGATAGCTTTCTTACTTTTTGAGGCACTGGAGTGGCAAATCCACTTATGACAGAGTGTTTGTACATGTGTTCATTAAGCCTTTCACTGATTCTGTGTAATTGAAAGACATGTTGGGTGTTTCTGTGCTGGCTTTGTGGATCAGCCAGGCTTTGTGGGTAGGATGCCAGCTCCGATCCCTGCACTCTCCCACTCACCATCTCCCAAAGCCGGGCTGGAAACCCGAGGCTGTATGGGAGTGGGTAGG
Organism: Homo sapiens; assembly: GCF_000001405.40. Classification (NCBI taxonomy): domain Eukaryota; kingdom Metazoa; phylum Chordata; class Mammalia; order Primates; family Hominidae; genus Homo; species Homo sapiens. Next base: position 174,110,449 of record NC_000005.10, on the reverse strand, counting down.
GTTGTCTGAGGCCCTGTGTTCAGCAGCCTGTGCAGCCCCAGCTGGGAGGTGCTGCGTCGTCTCCCTTCTCTCTCCCACCCACCATGCATGTTCAGCCCCAACCCCTAGCGCAGCAACCCGCTTGGAGACTCAGCTTCCAACTCTGCCCAAAGTCAACCCTGGTCTCTTCCTCAGATGGCCTGCCATCCACGTTAGAGAAGATGTGTGAGCACAAACTATAACCTACAAAGCAAGATGCAGAGATGCATGGTCACTGCTGCATGGCACAGTGCTTAAGACCCTGGTACCAAAAAGGTGTGGGCTTCAGTCACAGCTCTGCTGCTCACTGACTGCGTGACCTCGAGCAAGCTGCTTCACCGCTCTGTTCCTCCAGTTCTTCGTCTCCAAACGGGGATGATGATGACAAAGCGGATGGTAGTGGTGCTGAAGGTGGAGCACCTACTTCACAGAACTGGTAGGAGGGTTGTAGGAACTAAGATACATGCGGCATTTAGTACTTGGCATGGAGCACAGGGCATTTAAGTGTTGGCTTTTCTTCACAGTCACCATTGATACCGAGTTCTGGCTGAGAATCAGCTAATTCACTCTTACAGCTGCAACTTGACTTTCTGGAAAAGTAACTAGGCAGTGTTGCTCAGGGTCTGACATGGAACAGAAGTAGTGTGGGGGTGCAACGGAGTCCCACAAGCCTGGGATTGGACCCCCCACTGCTCTGTTACAGCCCTAGTACAGTCTCTTTTTCACCCTCTGAGCCTCCATGTCTTCATCTGTCTAATGGGGTCAATGACCCCTACCTGCCAAGGTCATGCTAAGTCCTAAATTAGCAATTTAAAAAGGGGTCCTCAACATCTTCCTCCTCAGTTGCAGCTAATCACCAGTTGCATTAAGTCAAAGGCATTATCACACCTTTATTTTCATATCTGACTCCATCGCCAGACCTCAGGGCAATGATTCTCTGTCATCCGTTTCTGTATCCCCCATGCCCAGCACAGCCTGGCCCTAGAAGCTGCCCAGTAGGCATCTGCTGCATGAAGGACATTGAGCTGGCAGATAAGCAGCCAGGTACACCTCTTGGTCCTTCCTTAGGACCACAACACCATCTCAGGCCCCAGTTGCCTGAGGATGGACATTCCCCTACAGTCCAATTCTAGCCCCAGCCCAACAGGACACTGTAGGGCTCACCCTGCCCTCCGGGACCCCCACCCCCAGCATCTTCCCCATCAGGCTCACTGAGCAGGAGATAAAGAACATTGCAAAGGAAGGTCAAGACTCTCAGACACATCTATCTTTATTTGTTTCCTGTCAGAAAATTTCAAGAATTACACCAAAAAATACTTCCGCCTCTGCTACCTACTGACAAAAATACACCACAAAATTATAAAGCGCTCAGCGGTTTTGCTAGGGACAACTTGTTATTCCGCTTTGAATGACAAATGAATTTACAGGTGACTCAGGGTGATTGGAGGTTGGGGGAGAAGGGAGGAAAAATCAGATGAGAGCGTTTGGCAGGATAGTTTGAGCTATGCTAGTCTTATTACCCAGCTGTTGCATACGATGATCTCAGCAACACAGCAAGCCACAAAAAAATACCCTTTACATGGCCTGTGGGAGACTTGTGAGGAAGCAGTACCACATCTCAAATAACCAATTCTCCCAGCTGGTTCTGGCCCTGTGGGTCCTGGAGCTGACACCCTGCAGAACTGGCCTCCCTGAAACATTTGTGAGAGGCAGGCGAATGCCTGATACGGTTCCAGGGAACTGGGAGGCCTGGTCAAGGCTGGATGCTGCCTCCTTGTCAGGAGCTTCTAGAACTCGGTTGGGGAGTTTGGACAAATGTCCCCTTTTAACACAACGAAGTGGGCAAAAGACAGTCCCATTTTTCAGCTTCCTTTAGAAACGATTTGGCATTGTGGTGGCCCCAACCTTCAGGTCTCTTCCTGGCTGTCACTTGAGGCTCCTGGTTGGAATCCTATTGTTGTTGTTATTGTTATCAGCACTTTGGGAAACAACAAACAAACAAAAACTTAAAAGTCAGGTGCCTGTGCTTATCGCTTGTGGCCTAGTGTCACATGCCTGTCCCGTGCCTTCCTTCTTGCAGCCGCACCTTCCTTCCCTCCCTCTCCCCCTGCTGCTGTCTCGTCAACATGGGCAGTATCCAGGTGTGGATCTAGAAAATGCAAGCAAAAGACAAAGAAAATCTGCCCACTCCTCAGCGTTTGCTGATGCAGAACCCACCGTCGCAGGGTGGGCATTCAGAGCCCAGGCCATGTGGGTCTGCCCAGGTCCTAGGATGGAGGCCCAGAAAGTTTGTGCTCATCTTGCAAAATGCACCAGAGGCCAGCACATTTCACTATGGGTTATGTGCGTTCTGGGCTTAGTAATGCCAAAATCAGCTCTTCTCTCCAGCTCGGCCATTCCTCATTTCCTGCGGGCCTACCCTGCAGACCACAGGCTAATGGAATAGTCCCGGTCTGTGTCACTCATACTCTGCAACCCTGGAGCCCCCACTGAAGCTACGTTTTCTTATCTAAGAAGCCCACAGAGTCTGTGCTCTTCACTGCCCTTCAACGTCTTCTGATGGAGCCAGTTTAATGCTTTTTGTTCATGTTCTTTGTTTCTTTCCTTTTCTGCTGTTACATTTTCCTAACAAAGAATAAGCAGTGGCTTTAAAAATATCTTACATGGGAACAATCAACACGAAACATGCCTTTGTACATGAGCCTGACTCGGCGACGAATCAACAATACCAAGGAACAAAAAGAAATATCGGTTCAGACAACTCCAGCACACACCACGTTTTTGGTGCGTTCTTCCCCCCACCCTGCCCTGCCCCGCCCCCGCCCCCATATCCCAGGAGTACAGTGTTGTCTTGTAACTGGAGCTTGGCTTAGCCAATGGGGGTCCTCCTCTCCACCCCGCCCCCCATTCTGGCTGGGGCAGGCCTCTAGTGGCCCTGGGTCTTGGGCGGCTTGGGCTCATGGATGACAGCGGCTGCTGACAGCCACGGCCCGATGGCCCGGGCAGTGCTCTGCTTGGCCACGCTGTAGTGGCTGATGACTGTGTAGAAGCGGCTTCTGGAATTGGGGTCCTGGGAGGAGTAGTAAGCATCCAGGGAGGCTGGGATACAGCGTTTGTGCTGGGGAAGAAAGAGACAGAGTCAGGGGTCATTCAGCAAACTGCTCCCAACCTGCCCAGCAACACAGCCACCCTGACTGGAGTGCAGCTGCATCGGGCTGTCAGCCAGAGGGCAGGTGACAGCTCCTGACCTGGGCCTGGCACGCAGCAGCCTTCCCAACACCAGCACCAGCACAAACAGCAAAGCTCCACTTAGAAGAAGCCAGACGACCTGAACCTGATATTGACACTGATTCAAGGCCAGCCTTCTCTGCATACTGACTGTCCGGCTGTAGTGGATGCTGTAGAGACCCCCACAGACTCCCTCTATCTGGCTGATTCACCTGTCCCCTTGTTGCCTCTCTGGGCTGTTGTTCACAGCCAATGACTATTTATTTCCTGTATTTTATACTTGCATCTCTTTTCTCTTATATCAAAAGTCTTGCCGGATGCGGTGGCTCACGCCTGTAATTCCAGCACTTTGGGAGGCTGAGGCAGGCAGATCATGAGGTCAGGAGTTCAACACCAGCCTGACCAACAGAGTGAAACCCCATCTCTACTAAAAATACAAAAAATAGCTGGGCATGGTGGTGCACACCTGTAATCCCAGCTACTCAGGAGGCTGAGGCAGAAGAATCGCTTGAACCCAGGAGGCAGAGATTGCAGTGAGCCGAGATGGCACCACTGCACTCCAGCGTGGGCGACAGAGTGAGACTCCGTCGCAAAAAAAAAAAAAAAAAAAAAAAAAAAAAGGCTTCATTCCTAACAACATTCATGTAATGATGTATTTGCATTATCCTACAATAAACATAGAACAGTCACAAAATAGCACCAATATGACTACTAAGAGGCAATGAACCTGGGGACTACCGGACGAACTTGGAGGTTTCTCTGCAACTCCATGTGTCCCTAGAATACACTCCACCAAAGGTGTGAGGCGAACATGCTGTCATCTACAACCGGTTGAAATATTTATTTTCTTTGCACGTTTATGTCCTTAACTTGATATAGAGCTAGGTTCTTTAAACAACGAACCTCTTGTTTTTTCTCATGTATTTATTTTTAAATATGTCAAACATTTACATATTTCAAGGACAAATATTTAAGAAGATAGATCCGAAGAAGCCTTGCGTCCATCCCTTCCTCCTGATGAACCATTTTTATTAATTTTTAAAATGTATCCTTCCTGAATTTCTTTCCAAAACAATAAGCAAATAGCACTCTCCTCCCCTTTGCCCACACATAGGCAGGACCTTCCTTCCATCACTCATCCTTACTGTCTTAATGAGCATTCTCTTTCCGTGTATGGAGGCCTGCCTTCCTCATTTTCCCAGTTGTAGTGACGTCCACTGGGTGGATGTGTCACAGTTTATTCAACTGTCCCCTACTGTTCCCATTGTTTTGAGTCTTCCAGAACCTCAGCTTCTTTTTTTTTGAGACAGAGTCTCGCTCTGTCCCCCCAGGCTGGAGTGCAATGGCGCGGCCTCGGCTCACTACAACCTCCACTTCCCAGGTTAAAGTGATTCTCCTGCCTCAGCCTCCCAAGTAGCTGGGATTACAGGCATGAGCCACCACGCCTGGCTAATTTTGTATTTTTAGTAGAGACGGGGTTTCTCCACGTTGGTCAGGATGGTCTCAGAACCTCAGCTTCTGACCACTTGGAGTGTAATCTAGGAAGGCAGATCTGAACCCCCTCCATGGAAGTCTAGGAAGTCAGATTATACCCTTGGTGGAGTGTATTCTAAGGACACATGGAGTTGCGGAGAAACCTCCACGTTCGTTCAGTAGTCTCCAGGTTCATTACCTCTTAGTAGTAACATTGGTGCTATTTTGTGACTGTTCTATGTATATTGTAGGATAAGGCAAATACATCATTACGTGAACGTTGTTAGGAGCCAAGACTTTTGATATAAGAGAAAAGAGATGCAAGTATATAATGGAGGAAATAAACAGTCATTGGCTGTGAGCAGTGGCCCAGAGAGGCAACCAGGTGATAGGTGAGTCAACCAGCTAGAGGCGGTCAGATTGGAGTGTAATCTAGGCAGTGCAGAACCGAAGTATACACATTTTCAGGCTGGCACACTTCCTATTTGATCTCCCCACATCAAAACATAATTATTGTGATGTCTTGGACAACCTTCTTAACTAAACACTCTCTACATTTAATTCCTCATATGTGAAATGGGAGCCAAAGAAACCCTATTTCTCAGAATGGTTGTACAGCTCAATTGAGATAATGTTTAAGGAAACATCTAGCAAAGGGTCTGATGTATTAGAGATACTCAGCAAATGGTAATTATAAATATTATCAGCTGTGTTCACTCTGAAACAGACTCTGTCTTTATTGCAACTAACATTTGTTGAGAGTTCATTATCTAATAGGCCCTTTGTTAACTGATTTTACTTAAATTCTCTCCTTAAGGCCTCCCAAAAATCCTGGGAAAAGGCATTATGAGCCCCCATTTTGCAGGCAAGAAAACGAGGTTCAGAGGGGCAAGAAAACTCCCAGAGGTCATGCAGCAGGTTCCGTTCTTTCAGAGAAGGAGTTTAATCAGAGTGTGGGTCAAGGGGAGACTTGGAGACAGAGCTTCAAAGAACCTCAGAGGCACCAGCCCTACCTTCACACCTCTGGAAGGCCACTGCAAGGGTAAGCAAACAGCCATTGAGCCAGGAAGACCCGCACCAAGCCGAGCTTTCCCAAAATGGAACAGTCCATGTCAAGAGGTAGTGAGCTGCTTCCCTCATTGCTGATGTGCCGTCCAAGCTGGACCACCTCCTGACCCTGGAGAGCACCATCTTGGGGGAGGAACTCTACTGCTTACTGGAGACTGAGTCCCTCAAGAAAACTTGGAAACTCCTTGCCAAACACATATTCCATTTTAAACAGTCGGTAGAGAGGTCGTCATACCCAGAATTTGGACACCAGTGAAGAGAAGACATTGATCAACCCTCTAACTGAATTTGATAGTGACCTGGGACTACTCAACCACCTCTTACCTTATAGACGAATCCCTCTGGGCAGCTGTGATCATAGGTGAAGGCTTTGTAAACCACCAGGAACACGATGCACGCAAGGAAAGCTAGGGCCAGGCTGACAAGGATGGTGACCTGGAGGAATACAAAATTAAGTCATCCAGCCTCAGTCTGCCCACCTTCAGTCCCCGTATGCAGCTTTCAGAGCCTAGAACTGGCAGGCAGCATGGTGTGCTAGAAAGGGGGACAGGCCCAAGGAACTGGCTCTGTCTTGGCTTTGTTACTAACTTGCAGTCTTTGGGCCTCTTTCCCCCTTCTGCAGGATAATCTCTGAAGCTCCATTTTTTTTGTTTTGGTTTTTTTTGTTGTTGTTTATTTGTTTGTTTTTGTGAGATGGAGTCTCACTCTGTCACCCAGGCTGGAGAGGTGGAGTGCAATGGCACCATCTCAGCTCACTGCAACCTTCACCTCCCAGGTTCAAGTGCTTCTCCCTGCCTCAGCCTTCCGAGTAGCTGGGATTACAGGTACCCACCACCACACCTGGCTAATTTTTGTATTTTTTAGTAGAGACAGGGTTTAGTAGAGACAGGGTTTCACCATGTTGGCCAGGCTGGTCTTGAACTCCTGACCTCAGGTGATCCACCTGCTTCGGCCTCTCAAAGTACTAGGATTACAGGCATGAGCCACTGCACCCGACCACTCCTTTCTGATTTAACATGTGATTTCCCCCTCATTTTCCTTTTCCTGATAACTATGTGGGATGTGGGGGAGTTGATCATTAAGCTGTCACTTCCAGTGCTTCCTGCTTTACATCCCCACCGCGCCCCAGCACTGGTGCATTGCAACCTCGGACATCAACTGCTTCTTTCGCCTCTACTTGGACATCTAATACACACTTTCAACACATTCCCAAACAGGATTCCTGCTCTCCTCCCAACTCAAACCTGCTCCACCTGCATTCTTCTTCATCTCAGAATATGTCAATTTCACATTTGCAGTCACTCAGGCCAAATATCCTGAAGTCATCCATGACTCCCTTTTTCTCAAACACCACATCCAATCTACCAGAAGAAACGATCATTTCTGCCTTCAAATACACCCATAATCTGACCACTTTTTACCACCTCAATCATGTCCAACCGGGTGGAAGCCATCATCATCTCTCACCTACAGCATCTAACAGCCTTCTAACTAGTGACGACTTCCTTGTCCTCTAGGGTGTATTCAGCACACAGCAACCAGAGAGAGCTTTGTAAAATCTAAAACAAAGCAGGGGCCAGGTGCAGTGGCTCACACCTGTAATCTCAGCACTTTGGGAGGCCGAGGTAGGAAGATCACTTGAGGTCAGGAGTTCGTGACCAGCCTGCCCAATATGGTGAAAGCCCATCTCTACTAAAAATACAAAAAAAAAAAAAAAAAAAGCCAGGGTGGTGGCAGGCACCTGTGATCCCAGCTACTGGGGAGGCTGAGGCAGGAGAATTGCTTGAACCTGGGAGGAGGAGGCTGCAGTGAGCCGAGCTTGTGCCACAGCACTCCAGGCTGGGTGACAGAGTGAGACTCCATCTAAATAAATAAATAAATAAATAAATAAATAAATAAATAAATAAAAAAAACAAAGCATGGCCCTTTTCTGCTCGAAAGCCTGCAGTGGTCTCCAGCTTAAATATAACCCAGTTCCTATCCACTATCTGAAAGCAACCTTTAAAAAAAATAATACAACACCAAACAAAGTGGGGGCACCATCAGGATTCATCTGAAACCAGTAATTGGTTAACTTCAGAGGCACCTCTAGGCTTGCACTGACCCCATCCCACCATCTATGTACAAGGGGGCAGGGAAGTCCCCATGATACCGGGGCATCTAATATTACAAGCAGAATTTGTGTGTGTGTTATTTTTTAAAGCTGGTGTCCCTTTCAGTCAGTTGGCCTAGAAATATGGCAGGATTCTTCTCATGGAGGAAAGGTTCCTTTTGATTCAGAAAAAGAGTAAAATTAACTTTGGGAGTGCCCATGCCATCTCTTTCCCACCCCAGGGCATGTTTATAAGGAAAGGAGGAGACAGGAGTTTACATTGCTCCAAAAATATGGAGTTGTCTGTTGGCAGTTTTAAATACTGGACGGGAGGAATTTGAAAAGGAAAAGAGGAAGATGGATGTCGGGAGGATTCTGTCCAAATCTCATGGGCAGACACCGTCCATGAGCAATTCCTAATGAGTGTGTATATGAAGTTTTAGGACAGTACTGTGTAACATTCAATTTTAAGCTACTGTTGACACCATGTGCTGTCCATTCTCTCCATTACCCCAAGCCAGAAGTTGAAGCCTGTTGCATGCTTATCAGCCTCCTGCCCTGGATTGGAGTGATAACAGTATGGGATGAGATGGTGCAGAGATCAGTCCGGTATCACACAGGCAAGAGGTGGAGCTGAGGTGGAGAAATCAAGAGAAGTTGGACTTAAAGCAAGAGATACCATGAAGACACATATGCACCCTAGGAAACTCCTATTTGAATAGTACAGGAAAGGAGGCCACCCAAGACCACGACTCACAAATGCTGAGGACCTAGGAACACATGATCAACATGTGTTTGGAGTAGAGATATAAAAAAATTTTAAATGCTCAGATTTCCCAATAGCCAAAAGGTAGAAACAGCCCAAATTTCCATCTGCTGATGAATGAATAAACAAATTGTGGTCTATCCATGCAGCGGAATGTTATTCAGCCATGAAAGGGAATGAAGGACCAGCTGCAGATGCAGACGGCCCTTCAAACGTGATGCTGAGCCAAAGAACCCAGACGCCAATGGCCACATGTCATGTGATTCCATCTGATGAGACTCCCAGAATGAGGAAATGCACAGAGGCAGGTGCAGACTGGAGCCCGCTAGGACTAGGGGGTCTGGGGGAATGGGGAATGACTGATAAGGGGTATAGGGTTTCCTTTTGGTGTGATGAAAACATTTTGAAACTAGACAGAGGTGATGGTTGCACAACATTATGGATGCACTAAATGCCACTGCACTGCTCACTTTAAAGTCATTATGTTTATGTTACACGAGTTTTCTCTTAGTTTTTAAAAATAAATGCCCAGAGTTCAGGCAGCATCCTGGCACCTGCAGCTCTGCCCTAGGGACAGGGAGCCAATTTCCTAAGTGGTGACCCTTTCTGTTAAAGGGATATTAAAATCCTGCTGGCATCCCCTCCCCTCAAAGAGAACACACCTGGGCCCAGCCAAGAGAGTTGCCTATAGTCGCAGGCTCATCCACAGACTACAGTGCAGCTGTCGAGCTCGTGCATGCTCAGGAGGGAGTTCAGAGCCTCAGCCCCAGCCTGCCATTGCCTCCAGCCTGATGCAGGGTCTGAGGGAGCTGCTGGAAAGCTTCCCATCCCAATGACCATGTGCAACCCCAAACCTTGCCTAGGCAGAGTCCCAGGCCTCTTGAGAGACTCAGGAGCTGGGCAAGACCTCCCAACATGGGTATGGACGTGCCCAGACAGGGCTGGATAAGGCCCCTGGCCAACAGCAGGTTAGTAAAGGGGCACTAGGAGCTGGTGCAGGACCCAGCAAGCCTGCCTGTGGGACAGGTTCCCTTTACAGGGTGAGCTCTTCCACTGCTAACGTCCCCTGAGTTAAGAAATCCCAAATAGGAACTGCAGGGGCTGATTCACCAAAGCACCACCAGGGCTAGAGAGCACGAGCACAGAGCAGGCCTCCAGCAAATGCTTCTGGAAAAAGAAAAGGGAGGGAGGGAGGTACGTTGGAGGTAGTGGTTTCAAACCCTGCTTCACATTAGAAGCAGCTGAGGAGCTCGGAAATGCTGATGCCTAGGTTGTCACCACCCCCATGGATTCTAATTCCATGGGTCCAGGACAAGGCTGTCCAGGTAATTACCGTGTGTAACCAGGAAGAGAAGCGCTGCTCTAGTAGGACTAGCTGTGAGTGGTTCTCAAGCAGCTGCACATGTTAGAATCCCCTGGGATTCAAACGTTTCAAATGATCCTGGAGCTCTAGCCCTATCTCAAACCAACTACACCAGAATCTCTGGGGGTGCAGTCCAGGCCTCAGCATGTTTCGAAGCCCCCACGTGGTTCCCCACATGCAAGCAGTCCTGTGTGCTGACACTTGCTGGGGTGTCCTCCGTGACTGTCAGAGTCAAGGGTCTAATGCTGACTGGTTGCTACGGGTGCAGCCCAGCCCATGGGATTCTGCCCAAGCAGGGCTAACTTCTGCCAGGCCACCCCACATGCTCCATGACCCCAGAATTAGGCTCAATGGAGGCTGTCTTAGCTGAAGGAGAGTTTGCCTCCCTGTCCTGAATTTTGGTAACTTCTGCAACTGAAGGCCAATCATTCCCTAAGAGTCTGGGGAGGTCAGAGAGTACGTTGTGGTGAATCAGGCACAGGCTCTTTCTTGAGACCTCACAGTCTACAGGGGGAGGAAGAGATGGACTGATGGGTGTAGACACTTGCAACGCAGAGGTGACACCATGACTGAGGCCATCAGCACAGGGGGCTGCTGGACCTAATCAACCTGGGGGCGGGGGCATCAGGGACGTCCTCCTGGGGGATGTGACATCATAAGTGACTTCATGGAAGAACATTAGGATGAGGGGAAGAAGGCTCTGAGCAGAGGAAATGGCATCAGCCCTGGAAAGAACGTGGAGAGCACACAGGCTGTTCTAGAGGCATCACAGGCCTTGGCATGGCTGGCCCAAGGGGTGTGAGTGATGGGGAAGCCTGGGGGCCTGGGCAGGGGGCAAAGAACAGATTACACTTGGACTTGATCTCAAGGACAACAGGGAGCCAGTGACAGTTCTAAGCAGGGAAGCGACAAGGTGAGAATTATGTTTTGGAGTGATGTCTCTGGGGGCAACAGGAGGCATGTTTGCAGGGGGATGGCTGAAGGCAAGGGGGCCAGTGGGAAGGCTGATGTAGTAGGGCGTGTCCCAGGTGCTGAGGCCAGACGGGGCAGTGGGGTGGAGTCAATGGCCTAAGATGGCATAAGAGGTGAGCACAGCACTGCGAGACAAGAGGAGGAAGGGCCGGCTCAGGCCGGCGAGTTCCACTGGTGAGCTTTCTGGATTCTGGATGATGCAGTTGTCAATGGTTGCTGGGGTGGGGCGGGAGCTGGAGAGTCCTGGTTTGGTTCCAGGGCGAGATTTCCTACAGGCAGGTTTCAGTTCTGCGAGGCATCCTGCTGGACCCAGCCTCCCCGGCCTCCCTTTCTGGTGGATTTGTGAAATTCAGGGGCCTACGTGCCTGATCCCTGCAACAAAGCTCCCGCCATGCCGGGTGAGCCTAAGAGGGTCGGGGAGAGAAACTCCCACCTCCCCACAAAGCACCTCTGAACATGAAAGCCGGACTCCACATCAATATTTATTGACTCGGTTTATATAACCTCCATCCTCAGAGACGTTCTAAAGCCCTTGGTTTCACTTCTTGAATTTAACAACCTGAGCCTCGCGATAAACAGCTCGCTAGTTCTCCAGCGCTACATTGGAGGGTTTCATTACAGGCACAGTCCTCACCACGGAATCACCCTCTCTGCACCCGTCTCCCCTCATCCACTCACTCAGCCACTCATCGTCCGCTCACTGAGAGTCTACTAAAGGGCCTACTGTGAGCCGGATGCTGTGCACAGCCATTGCCTCAAGGAGTTCACAGGAGGGAGAGAGTGAGACATTCAATGAGCAATTCACCAAAGAAATAACCACAAACCAAGCACTGAATGTGGTCTGAACAGAGCACACGAGGGGGGCCCTTTGACGGGGTGGTCCTGGAAGCGAGAGGGGACTGGGCTCCAGGCAACCCCGGGCCAGAGCATTGCAGCATTCTAGGACGCCCAGAGATCCTACAAGGAAGAGGAGCTCGAGGTTCCAGAGGGCCTGGAAGAAGCAGTCTGGCTGTGACGAAGGGGACAAGGAGAGAACGCTGAGGTGAGGCTGGAAGGAAAGCAGGGTCCAGCCCCCTAGGGCTTTGGAGGCCAATATCACCCTTGTCCTGCCCAAGACAGTAGCTCCCCACAGAGGCAGCCCTGGTGCTGTCGGGGTAACATCTTTGCTCAGCCTGCACCCCCTCAACCACCCTCCAGTCTCATGTACCTCTCCCCACTGGTTCACACTGTCCCCTCCAGCCCCAGCACCCTGACAGCTCCTGCAGTTGCTTCTCTGGGCCTTGGGCCAGGCCTGGAGCCCCTGTGTGCCTTTCCTCAGCAAGGAGAACATCTCCTCAGCATTCAGCTCCAGCCCTGAACCCCTAATCCATCCCTGCTGTGTAGCTGGGGCCTGCTCCAGTTCCTCCTCCATAGGAGCACACTGCATCCCCATCACCCCTCTCGCCTACCAGCCACCTTCTGCTGGGAAGGCCTCGGGCAGCAAGCGAGTCGCACCCTTTTCTCTGTGCCCAGTAGTGACTCATACAAAGTGGGGATCAGAAACATTTCCTGACCTGCAGTGTTGAGTTGAATTAAGACCAGAGAGACAGACACACAGACACTCATACACACACACACACACACACAGACACACACAAAGAGACACACTCACACACACAGTTACACACACACACAGAGACACACACACTGAGAGAAAGGTACACACACAGAGACACAGACACACACACAGACACAGAGACACACACAGAGACAAACACACACAAAAAGACACACACAGTTACACAGACAGAGACACAGATATTCACACACACACTCACTGAGAGAGAAACACACACACAGAGACACACACAGAGAGAAACACAGACACACACACAGTTACACACACACAGACACACACACAGTTACACACACAGAGACATACAGACACACACATATAGTTACACACATACAGAGACACACACACTGAGAAAGACACACACACACAGACATACACACATACACACACACAGCCTCCCCCCAGACATCCACAAGCAGACAGACGGCAACCTGGCCCAAACCGTGCCGTGTGCAGGTGTAGTGGTGCACGGAAGCACCTGCATGTCTCCTCCTGTTCTCTTCCCTCTCCTCAACCCCGCCACCCCACACATGTGCCCAACAAAAGCACCTTAACCTTGAGGAGAATCAGGGTTTGGGCTGGCACCCATGAAGATGCACCCAAGATTCCTCTTCAGGCTTGTGAGATCCAAGACAGAAGAGAGGAAGAATTCAAAATAGAGCACAGAGTTGGCGACTCTGGCAAAGATGTGCCGGGACTACAGTCACAGCGACCGCTGCCCCACCACCCTCCCTCCATCTAATCACAGTGGCAGGAGTCGTAACAATAACAACAGATGCTAAGAGTTATTGGGAACGTAGTGCACACTATCGTCACAATCATACGAAGTAGAATTATTATCCCCATTTTGCTGATGGAGAAAGTGAGGCTCTGAGAGGTGAAGTGACTTCCCCAAGGTTCCCCAGTTGGTAAGAGGTAAGTCGAGAAAAGGCACCAAGTTATATCATGGGCATCTTGACCTCACCATGCCCCTGACCAGCCTCAGCCGTGGCAGGAGGCAGCGCTGCCCACCGCATCTGGGGCCTGACTCTGCAGCGACCCCTGCCTCCACTTTTCCCCCAGAGCCATGCCTAGGCAGACACCAGCTCTGGCAGCTTCTGCCTCTGACACAGCTTATTTATCTCCCCCTGCCCCCATATTCATCATAAGCCCCCTGGCCAGACCACCATCACCTCTCCCCTGGGTGCAGCAGCCTCACTGCTCCTGGGCCTCCAGCCTCTAGGCTTCCAGTCCGCCCTAGACTCTCCAACAAGCCAGCTTGGTCACACTGCCTCCCTGATGAACGAGCCACCACACCTACAGGATGAGGGCTCATCTCTTGTCTGCCAGAGCAGACAAGGCATTTTTGGATTTAACCTCCATTCCCTTTTCAGCCCCAACCCTGGCCCTCCAAGCTCCAGGTACCCCAGTTTTCCCCACCCCCATGATCTTGCAGCTGCTGGTCTCTGCCTAGAATGCCAGTTCCCACTCCTCAGCCTGTCAAGTCCCTGCTCACCCTAGACTCAGCTCAACTATCTCCTCCTCCCCAAAGTCTCCCCAGAAGTCCTCAGGCAATGTTGAGCCGCTACGCTGTCTGATCACAGCTCTTCAAGACACTTCTCCTAGGGCACTTTAATTAACCTCACCTGTCTGCCGCCCCTCTTGGGACACAGTGTGGGGTAATACTTCTCACTTCCATTTACTAGGCACTGATTGTGCCAGGCACTGTTCTTGGCACTGTACATGGATTTGCTCTTGCAAACCTTACAACAGCCCTATGAGGTAGGTGGTATTGTATCCTCATTTTTCAGATGAGAAGACTAAGGCACAGAAAGGTTGCATAATTTTCTCAAGGTCACACAGCTCATTAAGTAATCCAGCCAGGCATCTAGTTCTATGTAGTGTGGCCTGGGCTCTTAGCCTATGCTATCCTCCTCATAAAGCTTGGGCTGAGATATTTTATTCACTAATTATTAACTGAGCACCTACAGTGTGTCAGAGATAACTGCACACATTGGGCATAAAAAGAGGACAGGGGAATCCCTGCTTGCATAAAGTCTACCTTTAATCTTTTGAGTTTCCTTTTCTGTCAAAGGGGAATTGTAACAACATCTGTCTCTCGGAGTTCTGAGGGTTACGTGGGATAATGCATGTGGGACCTGAAAGTGGGTCGAGTGGTGGCCCCTGAAATACATGCCCACATCCAAATCTCCAGAACCTGTCAATGTGATCTTATTTAGAAAAGGGGCCTTTGCAGATGTAATTTAGTTAAGAATCTTGAGATGAAATCATCCTGGATTATGCAGGCAGGCCCTGAATTCAAGCAGTGCCCCTATTAGAGACACACGGAGGGAGACAGACCCACAGAAAGAAGAGAAGCCACATGAAAACGGGAGGCGGGATTTGAGTGATGCATCCACAAGCCTGGGAACACCTGCGCTCACCACAAGCCCAAAGAGGAAAGGAGAGATTCTTCCCTGGAGACTTCAGAGGAAATGTGGCCCTGCCAGCACCTCAGCAGTGGATGTCTGACACCCTGAACTGTGAGAGAACAAGTTTCTGTTGCATTCAGCCGCACAGTTTATGGTCATTTGTTTTGGCAGCTCCAGGAAATGAATACAGCGCCCTCCCACAGTGCCTGGTATACGTGCTACAAATGCGGACTCCTCTCTTCCCCCATATTGTCTGCCATGCTCCTCAGCATGCACTTCAAAAGCTCCAACCACTCAGGAAGACTGCCGTATGAACTGCTCTTGCATATCTTTTCAGCCACTCTCCCCTTGGTGAACTCCTAGTCATGCTTCAAAGCCCAACTCACCATGTCACCTCCTCTGAGAAGCCTTCCTTTGCCTAGTTTTGCTCTCATTACACTTTGTGCATCCATCTACCACTTAGCACTCAGCCCACTGGATCACAATTGTTCATTGCGTGTGTCATGTGGACAGGGACCAAATCTTATTCCCAACTTCCAACTCATGACCTGGCATGGGATAGGGGAGAGGCTAATTCATTCCCTAGCCCACACCTTATCCTCACTTTTGGTACAAAGCACTGGCTGCAGTGAGTTTTCAGGACCCGTCTTAACTGTTCTACAGCTTGGCAGAGTGACTGAAGGGAAGAACCCAGTTGGATGAAATCACTGCATATGGTCATCTGAAGTATAGTTTGTCTGATGCTGGAAGAATCCTTAGTTGACCCTGAAGTGGCCTCTTTGTCTGCCTGCTGTGCCCCTCAAAGATGAGAAGCTTCTCTCTCACAGCTGGGAGAGCTGGACCCTGCATTCTGGAAAGTATTTAGGCAGTTCTCTGAGGTAACTATGGCCACATCGTGACAGGAGTCAATCTCGCTTCTGCTTCTGATGAGCTGTGTGACCTTGGGTAAGATGCTTCATCTCTCTGAGCCCCTTTTTCTTCATCTGTTAAATGGGGACCAGAAAAATCAATCCCACCCCATAGGATTGCTGTGAAGATTAAATGAGATGGTGCCTATAAATTGCCTGGTATTACTGGCCCAGCCTATGGGCTTACCTGATAATAACAATCACTTATTGACTATTCAATAATGAGCAAGGCATTTGGCGAGTGATTTTTATGTGTGATCTCCTTTAAACCTCATGATAGCCCTGGAAGCTGAATTATTACCCCCATTTTATAGCTGTAGAAACTGAAGCACAGAGAGGTTTAGTAACTTGTCTGAGGCCACATGGTTCCTGAAGGAGTACAGCCTGCTTAGAACTCTAGAGTATCTCATTCTAAAGCCCTCAACCCTAACCATACCTTAATTGGCGTTGTGATACATATTTTCCTGTCCTGCAGCTACATTTGCTTGTAATAGTGCAACGAAGCAAGATACCATGCACGATGCATACTGTAAACTTATTCTAGGAAGATATGTCACCACCCAGGTAGAAACCTCAGGAATTAGGAAGACAGTGGAGAAAACCAAAAACCCTTCCACTGTCAAGCCAGGATGCTGATCTAGGACCCTCATCATGTCAGGAAACATGAACTTCATTAACACTCAGGTACTGCCACATCTTAGCACCACAGTGCACCATAAACCAGTCTTTTTTATGAAGAATGCAAACCCTGGAAACTTCAAAGCAATAGAACCACTCACATCAGGGAAATTAAACTTTGTGGGGAAATAAAAACAGGGCGGCCAAACAGACATTTGCCTTCTGTATGTGGCAGCTGGAACCTCCAGAGACAGAATTAGGCCTCCCGGCACCTTGTTCCTGGCTGAGCCCCAAAGATCCTGACAATAGGGCTTGAGCAGAAAGTTCAAAGGGGTTGCAACCTCTGTAAATTCTGCCCAGATGACACCTGGGTTCTTTTTAGCCCTTCCCCTAGTACCAAGTAGTGAATGAAGCAGAGCCTTCGAAGCCAGAAGGTCTAGACTGAAAGCACAGCTCGCCACCTGCTCACCAATGAACCTGGGAAAGTTGCTTACCCTTTGGAATCCTCAGCTTACTTCTCTGAAAGGTAGGTGACACTGATGGCTGCTTCACAATAGCTGTTGGATGGCGGGGCGTGGTAGTGCATAAAAGCCCTCAGGATAGGCCTAGCCTATCCTAGTAGATGCTCAGCCTTTCCCGGGAATGCCTTTAGTTAATTAGCATACATGGAATGCTTACATACATTTCAATACTTCATGGCCCTGCAACTCCATGAAGTAGGTGCTATCAGTGTGCCCATTGTACAATGTTGTATCAGAGATAGATGGAAAGACCTTACATATGTGAGGGGCAGGGTGAGGATTATAACTCAGACCTGTCTCACTCAGAAGCCCAGCTGGTTAACCATATGTTAGACTGCCTATAAACCTACAATAACATTACAGTTCATTTTTATTAAAAATATATTGCACCATTATTATAAGAACAATATTGAAAATCCAAAAGGAAAAACACTTATTACAATCCTGCCATCAATCCCCCATATGTTTTTACAGGCTTGCTTCTTGTTCCCATCTACATGGATCCCAGCTTAAATCTTGATTCCTTCTGTTCCATCCCATTTTACACACTGTGGCCCCTCCAACTTTGTATAGTCACATAGAGCATCCTCACGTGCCGAGTCTGGGCCACCTCAGAATCAAGACAAGCCTTGACCCCACCACCTACACAATGGCTCTAAATCAGTGCGCTAATGTACGAAAAACTATCATGAGGTACAAGCAAGATGATTAATGCAAAAGGAAAGAGAGTCATGTAAATGCTAAAGTGACAAATTAATGCTTCTTGTTGTCATTGTTGTTATTTTTGTAATTATGCAGGATTTATGAATTTGGTTCGACTATCGCCTCAGCACGAAGCCACTGGGTATTACTCTGTGTTGCCTGGGTATTACACTGTATTACATCTGTGATCCGTCCTCCCCAACCAACTGACAGCCCCTCAAGGGCAGGGCCATACCCTCTGTGTTTGACCTTCCCCAGGGCCCAAGGGCCCCACCCTTTAAGGGTTTTGCTGATGATTCATATTAATGGGGCAGAAAAGCACCTTTGACAGGGATCATTTCCTCTCTGACCCCTCCTGCATCCCCGACCCTAACTATTCTCCCTATTGGCCACCAAAGCTATCTTCTTAAATTACTCTTCTGAACATTGCATGGTGGGGCTGAAAGCCCTCCCCCTGACTTCCCATCTCCTGGCACAGCAGGTCTATGACTTGACTAAGCATCAGAACCATCTAAAGAGAATGGTAAGATGCAGAGTCCTGAGTACACATAGATTCTGATCCCCCTGTTCTATGATAACACCCAGAAATCAGCATTTTCCACACAAATCCAGGAGGTTTGAATGCAAGTAGCCTGGAGACTGTCATTGGAACAAGACAATGTTCAAAATCCTTTGTCTGGCTTCTGAATAAAGGAGGGCAAGAAACTCACATCCTTAAATCATCAGCTACTCAGCACTTGACAAGTATCATCTCACTAAGTCCTACCCAGGATTCCATAAAGTGAGGACTGTTGATATTCCTGGTTTTCAGATGGCAAAACTGAGGCTTGCAGATGTTGGGTAAATTGTGGATTAAATAATGGATTATCCAGCCAATTAGTAGTAAAGCAAGACCTAGAAGCCAGGTTTGCCTGGATCCAAAACACGTATTATTTCCTTGGCACTGTGCTATTTCCATCATCTGGTCCCTGCTTACCTGTCCCACTTCACTAATTGTTCCTGCCCCAGACACACACACACACACACACACACACACACACACACACACACCAGTCCTAGTTCCTGAAAGTTCTAGGCTGTCTGCTACTGGCATGCCTCCCACGGCCTCCCACTTAGAGGGTGCTCCACACACACACCAGGAAGCCTTCCCAGACTTCCCCTTTGAGCAAGCCCCCCATCCCCCCAGGCTCCCAAGGCCATCAGTTCCAGCTGCAGCCACACATCACATGTGCTATCACAGCCACGTAACACATCAGCCTGCCCTAGCAGTCCATGAGCTCCTCAAGAGTAGGGCCTGTGCCTCGGTGGCCGCCTGCCCAGCTCTTGGCCTGGGCCTGCACAAAGGGCACACAGGTGAACTCGGAAGAAGAACTCACATCTAGTTGCTCCATCCAACCCCAAGAGACAGGCCCCATAGCAGGGCCAGACTATCCCCCTCAGCCCAGAGGGCCATCCGTGCAGATCTCGGCTCCAGTCAGAGGCGCACAACTGTCTCACTGCATCCCCGCCAACCGTCTGTCTAGACACAGCCTGCATTACCATCTCCATGGAGACATGAGCCCGGCAGCCCAAATAGCTTGTTCCATTAAGCTACTTCCATTCCTTAATCCCCTTTCTTGGCAGAAAAGTTGATGGAAAAAAAAAAAAAAAAAAAAGGAAGAAGAAGGGGAAGGAAGAAGAAAAGAAAGAATCAGATCAGCAAAGTTGGTTTGGAAAATTAAATATCATTCCCAAATTTCAATGTGTGGCACTGCTAGGCATTCCAGTGGGGGTTCCCCTGCCAGATAAACTACTCCATGTCTCCCTGTAATTCTTGCAAGGATAAGAATAATTCTGCTAATACCACAGTCTAGCACACCCAGCAGTATCTCCTCTGGACATAAGTCAGCCATGTTGGGGAAGACGGCATTTCTGCCCCCGTGCTCAATTTGCTACCTTGTCCATGAGGAGGAAGGAATCTCTACCCTGTCTTCTACCTCCCCACCCCACTGCCCTGAACAAATACACACAGACACACCTTACCTGGGAGGAGTCTTGGAGGGCGTTTTCACACAAAACAGTTCACACAGCCAGCCTGAGATTGGTACCCCTGGAAAGGTCTGCATGCAAGACTGGCCCCTTGGCTGGTGTCTGGGAAGCTGGATTTTAAGAATGTTCCCACCATCCCCAGAACTGATAGGAGTGGCTCACCCTGCCTAACTTGTACTTACAATATGGCTTATGTTGAACACCTGGAGTCTGAAACTTGGGTGGGTGCTAAGCAAACAGTGCCTATGTGACCAGCCCCCAGTGAAAACCCTGGAGACAGTCTCTAACAAGCTTCCCTGGCGGACGTTGCCCACGCGCCTCTGAAACTGCTGCGGGAATGAAGCGCATCCTCCATGACTCCACTGGGAGACGATTCTTGGAAGGTTGTGCCTGGTTTCCCCTCGACGTTGCCTCATGCTCTTTTTTTCTTTTCTTTTGCTGATTTTGCTGCGTATCCCTTTGCTGTAAGAGATCACAGCCATGCATACAGCCATATGCTGAGTGCTGTGAGTCCTCCTGGTGAATTATTGAACCTGGGGATGGTCTTGGGGACCGTCAACACAGCTGCCCCTGTGCCCAATGTGAAGGCAGGAGAAGGCATTCCATATCTTATTTTTCAGAGTCAAACTTGTAACGAGCTATGCTTTACTGGGGACCCTGTGCCTTAAAAGGCAGGCACCAGGTTCCAGCCCTTTGCCTTTCTCTTCCTGCCTCCCAGAGCCCAGGCCCCACTAACATCTCATCCTGGCTGGGTGTGGTGGCTCATGCCTATAATCCCAGCACTTTGGGAGGTCGAGGCAGGAGTATTACTTGAGGCCAGGAGTTCAAGACCAGCCTGGGCAACATAGCAAAATCCCATCTCTACAAAAAAGAAAAAAGTAAAAACTAGCCGGAGGTGGTAGTGTACACCTGTAGTCCCAGCTACTCAGGAGGCTGAGCTGGGAGGATCACTTGAGCCCAGGGAGTTTGAGGCTACAGTGAGTCGTGCACCCCAGCCTGGGCAACAAATCAAGCAAGAACTGTCTCAAACATGCAAACAACAAAATCCCCACAAACTCTTCCTTTCCTTCTTTCCTCGTGGGTCAGGATGAGGGTAGGGATCTTATTCTTCCTGCACGGAGAAGCCTGGGGTATCTTTTTTGGGCCAGGCTCCTCTGTGCAGGAAGAGTAAGACGCTCTTCCTCTCCTTCCCTGTGGCATCCTGACTTCAGCTATCTTTCAGTGAGCCTGACACTAGACATGGAAAAAAAAATACACCCTCTCCTACCTTCCACCTCATGGGTTTCCCTCTGGTGGCGGCGTACACTTTGGACTGCCTCCTTGCACTGCAGGATGAGATCCCTCTTTGGGGCGAAGGTGGGCACAACAGGACAGGAATCTGTAAATTCATTGAGGACCCCACCCTGAGCCTCAACCCCAGCTTTGCTTACTGGAGGTGCTGCCCCTCGGAGTTAGGGATGCTTGCCAGGTGAATACAGCAGTTCTTTGCCATTTGGGGCTAGTCCTTATAGACAGACCTCCTTGTCAGTGAGCCTTAGAAGGCAAGAGTGGTGGGATTCCAGAACCCAAAGCCCCTTTCTGATCCCTGTCAGTATCGGTATGCAGATGGGGGTCATGGCTGATTCCACATCCACTCAGCCCCTTCAAGGGGCTTACCAATTTCACCTTTAAATAATACCTAGAAGCCAAGTCTGCCCTCAAAGCCCACATGTTCCCAGGCCAGGAAGTATGTTTCACTGTGACTTCACCTTTGCATCCATCTGTTCTGTCCTGATAAAGAGAAAAACCAGGTCTTGACCTCAGCTTTGTCCTGAAGCCAGAAACACCCTTGCTGAGATTCCCACCCATCACTTTCTGGGTCTCTTATTACATTTCCTGGGCTCAGCTGTCTTATCTGGAAACGAGAATCCTAATAGCCACCTTGAAGCACGGATGTAAGGAGGAAATGAAATCATTGTGTGGAAATGCCAAGCCCAGCGCCTGGCATAGAGCAGGTGCCCAGAGACCAAGGATCTGGGAGAAGGAACATGCCTTAGGATCTAAAGTCTTGTTCCTCTCCCTGTCCCATAGTTCCCATGTTTCAAATGAGTTTTTTTCATGCCAAACAGACTGCATTTATTCAATACGAATGAATTCATTCTCCTGTTTTGGATTTATCAGACTCATGCACATATCTGAGAATAGGAGATAACCAGGGTGATCATGATGTTTCTGTTGGTCTATTTGGCCTAATCAGAAGAAAAGGAATCGTTTCCTTGGGGTGTTGTGAAATACTGGAATGAGGCTGAAGACAGCCTTCATTACTGGCCAGAGCTGGTCTGGAGCCAGTATAGCCTCTGGGGACAGACGGACTCTCCGCCTGCAGCTTCTCCCACTATTACCACCTGTGCGACTTTGAACAACTTTTGTGATATCTCTAAGCCTCAGTTTCTTCATTCATAAAACAGGAACTAGAATGTTCTCTCACACCCCAAAACGCCGAAAGGTGGAATGAGATTATGGAGCTCACCTGTCTGGCTTCGGTCTGAAACAGTATGTGTTCAGTAAATGGCATCTAAGTCAATATATCAGAAGAATTCCTGTAAAGATCCTCTCTTGGATAGAAATGACAACCCTAAAATGGCAAGACAGGTATGGGAGGTAACATCTGTGGAGGGCCTGTTTACTGCCCATTGTTCTGTCTAATCCCTCAATTAGACAGAATTAGAGACCTCAATTCTCTAGGGTCAATCCCTAGAGAAGGAGTTGGCTTTGTCTGTGGGCTGTGCTCTCATATCCAAGATGATTTCACTGGAAAGGCTTAAGATGCATATTAGAATTTATAAAACATGATGTAGTTATTTTAACTTCATTTCTTGTTAACAATTTTTTTTTTTTTTGACACAGGGTCTCCCTCTGTTACCCAGTCTGGAGTGCAGTGGTGCGATCTTGGCTCACTGCAGCCTCAGCCTCCCAGGCACAAGCGATCCTCCCACCTCAGCCTCCTGCAAGTAGGAGGACTTGCAGGGGTGCACCACTATGCCCAGCTATTTTTTTTTTATTATTTTTTTGTAGAGATGGAGTCTCACTGTGTTTCCCAGGCTGGTCTCAAACTCTTGGCTTCAAGTAACCCTCCTACCTCAGCCTCCCAAAGTGCTGGGATTACAAGCATGAGCCACAATGCTCAGCCTCATTTCTTGCTAATAATTTTTAAAACCAACTCTATAAGGTAGAGCCTGTCATTTTTCCTGTTTTATACATGAAGAAAATGAAACACGGAGTAGTTAAGTCACCTGCCTATAAGGAAACTCAATTAATGAATGGAGTAGCCAGGATTTGAATTCAGGTGTGACCATAAAGGCCATGTGCACCTTCTACTCACTCCACAGCCTCTGGAGTGGCTGTATGATTGTTGCAGCATGGAATACACCGGTTCTCTCCATCCGCAAACCAAAAAGATTGCATTATCATAATGTTTGGTCAGCTCCCCATGGAAGCCCCCCAAAACCCATTAAAGAAGCCCATTCTCTAGGGCCCCAATGAATCTCACTAAGTAAATTGCCTTTTGAAAGTAAAAGGAAAATGAAACATCTATGGCCTCAAACTTTATATGAGCAATAATTCAGGAATCTCTTTCAGAACCCAGAGAGGAAAGCTCCCCATGGGAAGAAGGAGGGGTGTAGAAGTGTGATTCCTGGGTGTAGAGCCAGAAACTCATTAATATTTGTGGAATCCTTGAAAGAGAAAAAGCACAGTTTGAACTGGAACATTCCAAAGCAGTAATTCATTTCCCAAATTAATGTGCTGTGGTATAATCGTTAGGAAGAAGAGCGAGGGTCCGAGGGCCCTGCCGATGTAGGAGATAAATCTCTGGGCTCCCGAAATGTTTTTCATTTTAAAAGTTCAAGTCATCACTCAACATGGGCCAGAGAATACTAAGACCTTTGACAGTGAACCTCTTACAGGATGGAGAAGCTGAGGCCTTAACTCACAAGGTTGTGCCTTTATAAGGCAACAAAGCAAAAGCAAGTGTGTCATAGATGGAAACCTGTTTACCTAGATCTCACCGACCTGTTGAGAGGAAAGGAGCCAACCTGGCCTGGTGACCTTCTCTGTGCAAGCAGGGAGCAGGCACACACCACCAATGAGTGAAGAAGGCTGCTGTGGCATGCTCGGGACCTAGAGGGAACCTGCCTCATTGACAGGGGACAGCAGCTGCACAGCTCCAGACAATCGTTGTCAAGGACGGGAATGAGATTCTAACATGGCTGATCTGATTTTTCAAGAAAGGTAGAGATCATGAAATTACATGAAGTTTCCCAGTTTTTAACTTGGGGATGGTGCTTTCATTACTTTCTTTTGTTACTTGCATTAAGCCTTTCAACAACCCTGTCTGGTTGGGCTTTTTATCCCTATTTTAGAGGAAATAAGTTTCCAGAAAGTGATTGGCCCGGGGTCAGTTAGCCAGCAATCACCCCAATCTGTTCAACAAGGCCCAGGGTGAGGCCAGGAGTGTGACTTGTCTGGGGCTGAGCCAGGAGCTGGCTTCCAGCTGGCACCATGGGCTCCTGTGGCCAGGTACTTGACAGGGCAGGGCAGGGGGTTAAACGGGTCTGAAACATGTGTCCACAAAAAATCTCCAAATATGTACAGGCCACCATCTACCACAAAGGAGGGATTTGAGAATGTAGAGGAGAAGGACCTAATATTCATTGAGCATCCCTGTAAGCCAGGAGCTGGGCTTTGCGTGCATTGCTTTAGTTTAAGTCCAAAATAACAACAACGGTTTGACGAAGATGTCATTAATCCCCATCTGACTGTGGCAAGGTGAAAGGACTTCCTAGCCTCGCACAGCCAGGTCAGGTGGAGTCTCTTCTTTCTGACATTTGCTCAATACACCTAGGCCTTCCTCTGGCCTGGGATGTGGAGCTTTCATCCGCAAACTTGTCAATCACTAGCGTTTGGGAAAAATGATCCAAACAAGAAAACCCTCACAAGTCTCACCAGGGTCATTTTGTACAAAGTGAAACTCGGGAAATTAAGATGTCATCGCACAGTCTTGCTGTTTCCACAGGCAATGATTGTAGCTACAAATTTGTCCCAAAATGCAGGCAAATGGGCTTGGAGCAGTGAGGTCATGAAGCTTATTTACTGCTGCCATGATGATAATTTTAATTTGCTATTAAGAAAATGAAGGGCTAGCAAGCGTTCAGGATACAGATGATATAGCAGTTTAGTTTTGGCTGTTCAGAGACTGGGATGCAGGAACCTGAAAGAGAACCAGTGTGAGGTGGGAAAAGGAGAATAGGCCTTACCATCAAACTAGGATTTAATCTCTGCTCCACAATTTCCTGGCTGTGTTACCTTCAGTACACGACGCCACCTCTCTGAGCCTCAGTCTCCTTATCTGCATCTCCTTATCTGAATCATAACACCTACCTACTAGGTACATTGGGTGGACTTCCAAAGATGCTGGATGTAAAGCTCCCATAAATGTTGGATATTATTACTGTCATTATTATTTAAATATACACTTATGGAGTCACCAACAGAGCCAACCATTTGACTTCCTGCCACTAAAATAGCCAGAGGCCTGGCTGCACTGCTTAATTTCATCAAGATGGTCTGGTGAGTCACAGCCTTAATTAACTTTCCCATGGTTTGATCAGAGCAGAAATCAGACTCTTGCATTTCACCCACTCTTCCTGGCTCCAAAAAAGATGGACGTGCACATCCTTATCCACCATTCTGACTGTACAAAGACAAGAAAATTATCCAGTAGACACAGGAGTGCACGCACAGCCAGCCTGCAAGGCCACAGAGACATCGCCACAGAGCATTAGAGCAAGAGCCTGGAACCTAATGAAATTATCTTCCCTCAGCCGATCTGCCTGCCGCAGCTGCAAATTGGGTCCCCTGTTTGTGTGCTTATTCAACTGTGACCCCGTAGCCCTGGCAGGATGAATGGGGCCTCACAACCGAGGGTGGGGCGTCAGCCCAGGGGTGTCTTCCTTTATGCAAAGCTCTTCTTTGAGGGGCTATGGACAAACCACATGGCTGGAGGTGAGCTTCAGATCTGGGCTGCTTCCTGGACACAGAAAATAAAGCAGGACAGGAGATGCAGAGAGCATGGAATGCTCTTCACTACAGGCTCCGTGGAAGGAACTCGCATCAGGCCAGCTGAGAAAGCCAGTTTGACATTCACCTGTGGCAGACCTGGGTTTTGACTGAACCGCTTGCTCCTTGAGGCCCGAGGCCCTGAGGACTCATCTCTATAGCCCCTGCATCTGGCCAGGACTTGGTTGCAGTAGGTGCTTGATAAACCTATGCTAAGTATAAAATGCCACCTAACTTGTTTCGCTCATCTTATCTTTATTACACTTTCCTCTTTTTCCAGAAATGACTTCTGGCAACTGACAGGCTCCACGTTGAGTGTTCACACTGTGCCCAATTCTGCCCTGAGCACTTTGCTTGGTTTCTCCACAACAATATTGTGATCAGTATAATTACTGTTATTCCCATTTTATAGATGAGAAAAATAGTAATGGAGGAAATGGAAGGAAAAAGGATGGCCATAAGTTGGAGGCAGGTATGTTAACAGTGTCCCTACTTGCAGCAGGCGGGCAAGACATATAGCTCAAGGTTTTCCAGAAACCTGACCAATGATAGGAAATGGGTCGGCGATAATATTCATAGAGTCCAGAAGATAAAAGCAAACTGATTGCTCAGAAGACACACAAATGGCCCCTATCTAACGCATGTGGCCTTGGACAAGTCACTTCTCTCTCATTCTCTATCTTCTGTACAAAGGGAGTGATTACAATAATGTCCCCATCACAGGGCACTTATGCAGGTCAAGGAAGTAGACAAATGCAGCAGTCACTGTGCCTAGAACCCAGAAGATGCTGTATCAATGTTCATTCTCCTGTCTTTCTTGCGGTCTTTTGTTCTCCCTCCATTTACTGAAGGCAGAGTCTTGGAGTGTGGGTGTTTAACTATAAAGTCATTGGCAACCAAGCAGCTGCCCAACCAGCTCATTATGACCTAAAAAGAAAAAAGGAGCTTTGCAAGGAAGCTTTGCAAGCACGCCAGCTCCTGAATTTCATGAGCAGTGGGCAGCTGAATGGTGAGTTCTCGCCTGAGCTTGGCTTGAAATGCACGTAAGAATGAAAGGGGCCTCCAGCACAGTCCACCTCTTGCCACTCTGTTATAGTGCTGTGCCCTGGGATATTCAGGAAAGTTACGCTGTTCCATCATCTCCTGCAGCCGAGAAACACAATTGATTTTCCTGGCCTCATTTCTGTTATAAAGAACAATTTCCCCCAGGGATCCCCAGAGAACTAAAATGGAGAAAATGTCATTCATATTTTACCATGCAAGCCAAAGCCTAATTGTTCACTGGACAATAGATACAAGCTGAATGCCTAGCCCTTCGCTGGCCCTGGGCCAGGCACATGGGAGTCAGGGATGACGTATACGTGGTGTCGGCTCTCAGGAAAGACTCATAGAAGGCAAGGTGAGAAGCGATGTGATGGAGATGGCACTGGGGAGTGGGGCTCCTGGGCCAGCCTGGAAGGAGAGAGTAAAAGGGGGATCCAGGTGGAGAGAACAGCCTGCCCCAGGGTGTGGACGTTGGAGTGGCCCATGACAGTGAAAGACAAGTCTTGGATGGTAAGCAGAGGAAGCCTGAGGAAGGAGCATAAGGTTCAGACTGAAGAGTTTACTGGGGGCACTAGAGAGCCAGTGGGTCTGTCATATCCGGCATTCATGGACATGGTTCCATTGGCGTTTTTAAAATCACTTTGGCAGCTTGGATGGAAATTGACTGGAAGGAGTGGATTTTGGAAGCAGGAAGACCAGTCAAGGGCTCTAAAAATAATCTAGACTTGAACAACTGTCCCATACCCCATAGTACTTCATAGCCCAGTACTCAGCTAGCTATTTTGGGAGATACCAAAACGAGGAGGTAAATGTAGATTTTCTGGGTGCCAACTGTGTTTTGATGCTTTACATATACTATCTAAGTATGACAAAGTAAGATCGGTGTCTCCATCTCACAGGTGAAAGACCCAAATTCATGGAAGAGAAGTGAGTCACACAGGGAGCCAGTGGCAGAGCCACACCCCACAGAGCAATCAACATGCTCTACTCTGCAGACCTGCAACAGGGAGGGAAGCCAGACTCTGATGCAAGAAGGAAAGACCATGTGCTGGCTCAGTGTGTGCAGCCTGGACTGAGCTACTGAACTCTAAATCCAAGGATGACTAATGTAAGCCTAAAGGGTAATCTGCAAATACTGCTCCATTAATATTCAATGATAAATGATATTGCTTTAGAATCAAATTCACATAAACAGAAGCTTCAGCTGTATGTCCGCACCCTGGGAACATTAAATTGTAAGCCACGTCTTGTACTTCCATGAATCATCCATACCATCTACCCCAAGGCTCCGGACATGGAAGCTACTGTGTAAACACTTATTGACTGAATGGGGCCACTCGAAAAAATTGCTGAAGGGAGTTACAATTAAGAGAATGGCAATGGGTGCATTTCTAAATGTAATCTTTCAAAGCTTCAGACAGGTGGTCGGGTACAAATGAAATTTATTTGTACGTTAATTCTTCACATATTTACTGAAAACTACCCACATCCTTCCAAATGCTAAGATGATTTTGTGGGTTAATTCTGTTTTTAAAAAATATATAAAGAAACAGATTATTTCTCTACTGTCAAATTTTCCAGGACATGGAGAAAGAAAAATGCATGTACATTCTCTCTCTTTTTTTTTTTTTTTTTTTTTGAGTCGGAGTCTCACTGCTGCTCAGGCTGGAGTGCAGTGGTGCCATCTTGGCTCACTGCAAGCTCTGCCTCCCGGGTTCATGCCATTCTCCTGCCTCAGCCTCCCAAGTAACTGGGACTACAGGTGCCCACCACCACATCTGGCTAATTTTTTGTATTTTTAGTAGAGATGGGGTTTCACCTTGTTAGCCAGGATGGTCTTGATCTCCTGACCTCATGATCTGCCTGCACATTCTTTTTAAAAAAATGCTCGTACATTCTTTTTACAGAGGCAGAATGACATTAATACCAGACCTGATGAAGACAGCACAAAAAGTAAATCTCAACACAACCTCACAATATTAATAAAGCAAAAATTTTAAATACAGTAATGTATTAGCAAACAGAACTCCATGGTACACCATGACCAAATGAGGACATGTAAGAATGGCTTAATATCTGAAAATATATTAGTATAATTTATCATAATGCCAAGTCAAAGAAGACAAACCATATCACCATGTCCGTAAATGCAGAAAGGGTATTTGGGGGGGAAAAAAACATCAAAATGTAAATGCTAAAACACTAGAAATAGCAAATCTGAAAGTACTGACCACTGCAATTAGACAGGAAAATGACATCAGGAGTCTAAAAATTGCAAACAGGAAATAACATAAGAAAACTAAATATCAGAAAAAGAGGAGCAATATTAGAATTACAGGCAGATGGAACAATTGTATATTCCTTATAAACATAAAGAATCAAAATTTTAAAGAAATTATTAGAAATAATAAGAGAAGTTGGTAACTGGAGGCAAATAAATATACAAAATTCAAAAGCATTTTTATTAAGTATAAATAATACCCAGTTAAAAAACAACAAAAGAAAAGATTCCTTGTACAATATCAACAACAAAAAAAAAACAGGTAAAATACTTTGGAATAAATTTAACAAGAACTGCAAAAATGATCTTACAGCTCAACTGAAAGTGATGAAAGTCTTCAACAGATGCAATCTTGCTTCTAGATAGAAAATCTCAATATTTTACGCCAGGCGTGGTGGCTCACATCTGTAATCCTAGCACTTTGGGAGACCAAGGCGGGCGGATCACCTGAGATCAGGAATTTAAGACCAGCCTGGCCAATATGGTAAAACCCCATCTTTACTAAAAAATACAAAAATTAGCCAGGTGTAGTGGCACGTGCCTGTAATCCCAGCTACTCAGGAGGCTGAGGCACAACCATCACTTGAACCCGGGAGGTGGAGGTTGCAGTGAGCCAAGATCACACCACTGTACCCCAGCCTGGACGACAGAACAGACTCTGTCAAGAAAGAAAAGAAAGAAAAGAAAGAAAAGAAAGAGAGAGAGAGAGAGAGAGAGAGAAAGAAAGAAAGAGGGAAAGAAAGAAAGAGGGAAAGAAAGAAAGAGGGAAAGAAAGAAAATCTCAATATTTTAAAGACGTAGCATCTCCTCAAATTGAAATCTATAAATTTATGTAATCCAAGTAAACAGTAACAGTAGTAAAATATCCACATACATATGGTTATATATAATAAGGTTAATTTATATATAGGGTTATATATAACATTTTATATATATATAACATATATAAATATATATATTTACCTGCAAAAGTGAAATGCAAGAATGGGTAAGGAGTGAAAGGAATGAGAGAAGAATAATTTACACAGATATAAAGATGTGTAACAAAGCTGTAACTGAAAGAATTTGGTATACAATAACAAAAAACAGTCAGTTCAATAGAAGAAAAGAGAGAACAGAAGTAGACTGAAACCCATATGGAAATGCAGTAGCTTTTTTAAAGGTTGTATGTCAAGTCAGAGAGGGAAAAGATTAATAAATGATCTTAGAACACCTGACAAACTGCCATTCAAAAACAAATAAACTTGGATTCCCAGCTTGCTCTTCACACAGAGACAAATTCCAAATGAATCAAAATTGTAACATATAAAACACAATCATAAAAGCACCAGAAGAAAACATAAATTTAGGGTGGGAGATGGCCTTAATTTTTAAAGTCAAATGTATCAATATTTTCCCTCATGCCTTGTGGAGTCCATGATTAATTTGAGTTAAAGCAAAAGTTAGAAATATTGTAGAATGAAAAAAGCAGTTACACCATAAACAAAACCAAAAGGCAAAGGACGACTGAGGAAATAACAAACAAGGGAGAAAAACTAAGTCTGTAGCTTTGGGAGGTAGCAACACAAATCAGGAGGAAGGAACAAATGGTCCAGCCAGATAAGAATTTTTCCAGAAAAGAACCAATGATCAAACAGGCAATAAGAACCCAAAAAGAAGCTCAAACTCACTGATAATGAAAGATGTGCATGGCCAGGCATGGTGGCTCACGCCTGTAATCCCAGCACTTTGGGAGGTTGAGGCAGGCTGATCACAAGGTCAGGAGTTCGAGACCAGCCTGGCCAACATGGTGAAACCCCGTCTCTACTAAAAATACAAAAATTAGCTAGGTGGGGTGGCAGGCGTCTGCATTCCCAGCTACTCAGGAAGCTGAGGCAGGAGAATCGCTTGAGCCCGGGAGGCAGAGGTTGCAGTGAGCTGAGATTGCACCACTGTACTCCAGCCTGGGCGACAGAGCAAGACTCCATCTAAAAAAAAAAAAAGAGAGAGAGAGAGAGAAAGAGAGAGAAAGACATGCAGACTTCAAGAGGAAGGGCCATTTCCTACCTATCAGATGGGTAGGACTTAGAGTTGGTTAAAACCTGGTGCCAGCACACGGGGAGGAGCAGCTCACGCTTAGGCACTGTTGGGGGAGTATAGACTGGTGGAACATATTTGGAAGGTAATTTGGCAAAATTTATTAATTAAAAGGGAAGGTGTATATACCCTCTGGCAAGGTTTTTAAGATTGAAGACTCTCATGCCCTCCACTTACACTTGCAGAACATATGAAAGGGGTGTGCGTGTGCATGTGTGTGTGTGCGTGTGTCTTAGTCCATTTGGGCTGTTATAAGAAAATACCATAGACTGGATAGCTTAGAAACAACAGACATTTATTTCTCACAGTTCTGAAAGTTGAGAGACCTAAGATGAAGGCACCAGGAGATTTGGTATCTGGGATGGGCCCACTTTCTGGTTCATAGATGGTGCCTTCTATCTGTGTCCTCACATGGTGGAAGGGTAGATCAAGCTTCTTGGGGCCTCTGTTATAAAGACACTAAGCCCATTCATGAGAGCTCCACCCCCGTGACCTAATCACTTCCCAAAGGCCCCACCTCCTAATAACTAATATGAACTTGGGGGTTAGCATTTCAACATCGGAATTTGTGGGAAAACACAAACATTCAAACTGTAGTAGTGCATGTAGTTCACTGGAAGGAGGTTCACTGCAGCTTGATTTCAGCAGCAGAAGGCTGAAAGCTAGAACAATCGTGGACTAATTGAGAAAGATGATGAAACATCCTCTGTCTACAACCATTAACAGGAAGAAAAAGGATCTCAATGTGCTGATGTGGAAAGATCTCTGAGATATATTATTAAGAGAAAGAAGCAAGGTACAAGAGAATGTGTATACAATGGTTACATTTGAAAAGATGAATGAGGAAATCAAGTTTAAGTGTGTGTGTGTGTGTCTGTGTGTGTGTGTGTGTGGTGTGTGTGCGTGTACTGTACATATAAGACCTTTAGGAAATGTCCCTGGATGAGATCATAGGAACATAGGAAGCTGCTCCTGGACTAACAGAACTTTCTGCAATGATGGAAATGTTCTCTAAATTTGAGCTGTCCCATATGGTAGTCACTAGGCTCACATGGCTACTAAGTACTTGAAATGTGGCTAGTGTGATAGAAATTAAACTTTAAATTGTATTTTGTTTTGACCAATTTAAATGTATATAGCCACAGGTGGCTAGGGGCTTCCAATTTGGACAGCACAGATGTAGACAACAGATATTTTTTGTGAGAACTATGAAGGAGGGAAAGGGAGACTTTAATTTCTCAGTGAATGCCTTTCTGTACTGTTAGAATGTTGTGCATTTGTATGTTATTCTTATTTTAAAACAAAGGTTACTGACCACCTACTGTATTCAAGGCCCCAGAATGTATAGGCATACGGGGCTATAAAACTGAATCAGGGCAGTTTCTGTCCGCAAGAGCCCAGGCTTTCATAGCACCAGAAAAACGCAGGAAAGGAAATAACTGCATGAAGGAGGGAAAGATGACCAATTCTGCCCAGTGATTAAAGTCCCAGAAAGGAAATGGTCAGTCCTTTCTGAAAATGAGGAAGAGAGGTGCAGCTACTAGGAAAGGAGGTGATGTCCCAGCCAGTTTTATGAGATGAATAGGTGGCCACCAGACTGTGGGAAGAGAAAAGCATTCGGAGTAGAAAGAACAGCTAAGCGGAGGAGTAGAGATGAAATCGGGTCCAGTGTGTCGAGAATTCGACAGGTAATTTAGCTTGTTCGGAGGAGACTGAAGAGATGAGCAAGAGACAGGCTCGAGAGACCAAGTATATAGCAGGTGAAGGAGTTCAGATTTTACCCTAATGATCAAGAGAAGCCCCAGAATGGTTTGAAGCAGGGAAAGGAAGTGATTGCCTGTGAGTTTCAGAAGAGACACACTCTGACTGTGGCTTGACATGTCAAAACCGAAGAGAGGAGCTGGAAATGAGAAGGGCAGTTGAAATATCTGCAAGATTTATTTTTATCCTCCTTTATACAAAAAAAATAAAGCTATTTATAGACCTAAAATTGCATCAAGTACATTTTGCTTTGTGCACAAAACAATCATATTGGGTCTGTTTAGGGTTGTGCAGTATCGCACTTCCTGTGGCCATCTCATTTTTTTATTGAGCTTCCTACAACCTTGAGAAGTCTTTTTGTCTTTACCTTTTCTAATTTTTCTAAGGCTTCAAATCTCTGGGAGATTGCTAGGATAAGACACTGAAATACTGAACAAATCTGACTTATCCTTGGTGGCGTGACTATGGTTTGATTTCTGGTTTTAGACCCAGCGAACATGCTGGTAAATCCTAGAGCAAGGTTTCTCAGCATTTGGGGCTGGAAAATGCTTTGTTGTAAGGAGCTGTCCTATGTATCATAGGGTGTTTAGCTGCATCTCTGGCCTCTACCCACTAGAGACCAATAGCATCCCTACCCCCAGCTGTGACAACCAAAACTGTCTCCAGATATTGCCAAGTGTCCTCTGAGAAACAAAATCACCTCTGACTGAGAACGATTGTTCCAGGCCTCTTGGGGATGAACTCACCCAACTACCTCATTTTACAGATGGGAAAACTGAGGCCCAAAGATTGAGACCAGAAACCAGGTTTCTTGACTCAGTTTGGAGATTCTTTTAGAAATTAGAAATTTTTTTTTCTTAGCCTCAGAGAAATGCAATATAAAGTAAAGTTGGAGTTTTCATTCAAGTCAGTTTCATTAGCTAAATATTCATTTATATTTAGCTTTTTTTCTCTCTCTCTTCGTCTCTCTTTTTTTCCCTGTCTCATATCTTGTACATGATTCAGCCTGGAATTTCTGTTCAGTAGCCTGGTTTTCAAGCCACAAATGCTACCCAAATTAATGACAATACTTTTTTAAAGACTATGAAAACACCTACCCTCCCTACTTGTAGCATTTTCATTTTTCATTTGCTCCCAGTGAAAGAAGTTAAGGGGAATGTGTCCCGTCTATTTTAGGGGCTACTGCATGCCGGGCGCTGTGCTAGCCACATCCCAAGCACCATCATCACAATGGCTCTCTCAATTGGTGGGCACTGGCATCCCCATTTTACAGAAGTAAAAACTGAGGCTGATGGAGGTGAGGTGACTTGCCCAAGGTCACACAGTCCAGTGAGTTATAGAACTAACATTCAAACCAGGTCTGTCAGATTGCAAAGTAAAACTGGGTTCAGGTTGTCAAGAATTAGAATGAATGAATGATGATCACCCAAGTGAGGGTTGAAACCCCTTAAAGAACCAAATTCCCTCCCAGTTACTTGGATCACAGAGCTGAGCGCTCAGCATCCCCAGGAGGAAGCGAGGCCTACATGGCAGTTGCTATAACAACTCATTTTCTTATAATTATAGAACCTACTGGCAACATGAAAAGCTGCACATACAGTCATCTTATTAGGGCCTTCTTCTGACAGTTCCAGGAGCTTAAACATCATCAATTTTTTAAGAATCACATTTAATATAATCATGCATTGCAGGAGCAAAGGCCCAGAGAGCGAGGAAGCCAGGAGATGAGCTCTCCCACCTTGTGACTGGGATTGCGGAGCAGGTGGCATGACAGACCCTGGGGAAAACGGCATCTCTTTCTTGGGAAATTGTCGCTTCTCTTTTTCCCTTTTGGATCAACACATTTCAGGACTCGGCCAAACAGTGTATTTAAAGAGAAAAAAGAGGACGAGAGAGCCAACGCAAAATTAACCTAACACTCGGCAAATAACAGGGATCTGCAGCAAAGTTTTAGTATTCTTGCAACCACATTTCAGTTTAGCTTAATTTAGCCAATTCCCCAAATGTGCAGGGTTTCCCAATTTGGAAGATGGTATAGATAAAAGAATATACGTGTATGCATGCACACACATACACATAACCACACATCGGTGCACATACCGCTCTGGGTCAGAAAACCCCGACTCTGCCCCCTTATTGGCTGTATGACCCCGAGTGGCTTAATTAATCATGCTGATCCCCAGCTTTCTCATCCGTATATTAAAAATATGCCTATTTCATGAGTTACAATAAAGATAAAATGGGAAATGACTCACAGGCTATCTGGCACATAATAGAAGTTTAATAAAATAAAGCTGTTATTATTTATTACTGCAAATAATTATTTTTAAAATGTTGTTTTACTTTCTGTATCTTCCTTTTATTACTCCAACCAAGGATTTGAGAAACCTTTAGGAAGCCCTCTTTTCAGTGGCACCTTCAGCAATCCAGCTAGGTAGCAGAACTCTAGGAAAGCCGATGTGCCATCTCAGCAGTGAGGTGCAGGAAGAGAAGGAAAAGTTGTAATGCTAGGAACCTAGGACTTCCAGGTATGAAAGTGGGGAGTCAAGGACCAGTTCCAGGGGAGATGAGCTCTAAGCGGGGTCTCCAAGCAGAAAACATGGATGGCAATGGAGGCAGAGGACACTGCATGGGCAATGCTGGAAGTATGAAAAGGCATGGCAGTTTTGCAGTGCTATGAGAGCCCCAGAACACTGGGAGTGTAGGAAGGCAGTGGCAGAGGGACAGGAATCAGCAGCAAGGCCCACCTTTGGAAGAGCCTGCAGTGCCGTACTAAGGACATCACACTGCAGCCCCTAGGAAGCAGGGAGATATCGCAGATTTCTCAAGCAGGAGAGTGATCTGATGACGTAATCTGGTTTTTCTCATATTGCGTGAAGGGGTGGGACAGAGATGGAGAGCTGGGAGCTGGCACAGTGGAAAGGGTAAGCCAAGAGGAGCAACTGAGCTACGGCAGCGTCACCTGGGATGGAGGCCCACAGGTACCAGGCGTAGCTTCCCACTGGAGACCCAAGCTAGGTGGCAGCATCCATCTAGCAAGAGACCTCCCTCCCCAGAAATAAAACTACCATGCAGCTACAAGAGGAAGCTCACGTTTATCGAGCCACAGTGGAACAACTGTGTTAGCTTACATTGCCTCACTTAGGCCTCACACTAGGTCTATGATGGAGCCTTCGCCACCCATTTTGCAGATTGGGAAACGCAGGTTCAGAGAGCTGAAATGACATGTTCCAGTTCACAAACCCATGGGATCAAACCCCTAACCCATGTGTTTCTTCCATATCGCCTTTCCACAGTGGTGTGCTGAGAGACCAGCTCTTGGGGGGAGAGGAGGAGATTTGTAGCCTTTGCTGATTTCCATGGTGTAAACACTCCCACCATGATTGATTTCAAGCTTCCAACAGTTTCACAACTGGCTTGCAAACTTGGAAGAATCAGCTCTCAGGAGTGGGTGTGAGTTACTCCAGCCCACCCCTGCAGGAGTCCCATAGGAAACAAGAGTGCTCACTATACCCTAGAAGTCTTCTTCTACACTATGTTTATTAACAAGTGACTTGCTTTATTGCAGCATTTACTTAACAATGTTTGTTTGGATCAATGAGAATGTAAAGCCGGTAATAAAAGCCCATCCTTTTGCGATGGGGTGGTCATTGAATCACCCCGTCTCTCATCAAACCCTATGCACATTCCTCCTAAGGCAGCACAATGTGTGTTTTCTGTCTCAGAGGAATGTTTCGTTAAAAAATTAAGCCACGATTGCTTTGCAACTATCAATTAATAACAGCATACATTTTTGAAGGTCATTCTAATAGTACACTCACAAAGCCAGGCGAAAGCACCTGGACAAAAACATAGGCCAGCATCTTCAGTCTGATTTTCAATAAAACCCTGGCCAGAAGTGAAATAATAAACATGAAACACTCTGGCAGCCTTTCTCCACCAAGTCCTCATGTGCAAATTCTTTCCATGCCAAATAATGACTCTGCTCCTAACCCAGCAGGCAGTGTTTTTAATAACTTGCCTAAAAATGTTCCTCAAAATTTAAAAGAAAGAGAGAGCAATAAAAACCAAGACAACAGATAATAAAGTAAAATCGCTTATCTCCATTTGCTGCTGTCAGCAAATATTAGAATCCCATGGAATGAAGGCCCTGGAGTTTTGATGAAAAATTGGTAGAAGCAAATGGTGAAGCTAGAAATGTTGTCTAACTTCTTAAGAATGTGGCATCAGGAAGAGAGTTATGAGGATGTGTTATCAGCAAGAGTTCAGAAGAAAAGATAGGGCCCTGATTTTATATAAAGATACTGGAAATGAGGCAACCAGAGCTGTTGATGTGATCGATGTGGAGTTTCTTGGTCAGCCATACGGATTTTTTTTGTTTGCTCATTCACCTCCTTATGCATTCATTCATTCATTCATTCATTTGAGACAGGATCTCACTCTGTTACCCAGGTTGGAGTGCAGTGGCACAATCCGGCTCACTGCAGCCTCAACCTCCCAGGCTCAGATGATCCTCCTGCCTCAGCCTCCTGAGCAGCTGGGACCACAGGCATGCATAACCACATCCAGTTAATTTTTTGCATTTTTTGTAGAGATGGGGTTTTGCCATGTTGCCCAGGCTGGTCTCAAACTCCTGGGTTCAAGCAATCCTCCCACCTTGGCCTTCCAAAGTGCTAGGATTACAGGTGTGAGCCACCACACCCAGCCTTATTCATTTATTAAGGGCATTTTTTACTGCTTCATCCGGCCAGGTGCTGGCTAGCTTCTTAGGGTACAGAGAAGGGTACAAGAGCTCCTGGTCCAGTCAGCAGGAGACCTAGTAGGTAACTCACTGATGCCAACTCTGTTTAATTGGTACTAGAATGGAGGGTCCTATAGGACATGCAGGAACCCAAAGGAGAAAGGACAGGCTTTGCATGTCAGTGCAAGCAACACTGCACAGGCCCAGGCCATGTGCATTTGGTGTTGAGGGATGAATAGGGAGATGGCCCCATGGCAGGCAGGAAAGACAATCCAGCTAGGAAGGATGACACAGACAAAGGCAGGGAGACATCCAATGGACAGGATCATGAGGGAAGGGCCACTGCTTCTGGGAGGTGGATGCACCTATGGGAGAGGCAGGTAAGCAATGGAGGCACAGAAATGCCACTGTGGGGCATGTGCTCTAGAAGGGGAGGAGAAAGGACTGGGGCTGCTGAGGAAAGGGGCCAGGGATCAGGGAGAGGGCTGGGACAGGTGGTGATGTGGGTTGAACCAGAGTGTTGGAGTGAGAACAGAGAAGAAAGGACAGTCACTAGAGACTTCCAGAGGGAGAGGGGCCTGGCTCTATGGCTGCTAGGTGCAGCGGCCAGCACTGAGGAGGCTGGTTTCTGTGTTTCTCCCTGCTTCTTCTCCTGTTAGTGTTGGAGGGAACGTGAGCAGGGTTGAGGCTTGAGACAGGGAGCCAAGGCCCCCATTTCTTGGCCCTAGATTATAAAAGGAAAGGAGAAGGAGCCACTGGCAGGTAAGTGAGCTCAGCAGCATCCTTAGGAGCCATTCCTGTGTAGCCGGGGATCCCCTTCCATTTGAGCAACCTTCCCTGACCCTGTCTACCCGGGCAGGTGGCCCAGCTGCACAGCCTCCAGGGTGTGGACCTCAGATGGCTCGCTCTGCCTCTCTGAGCCTGTGTTCCTCATATGCAAGTGGGGTAACAATCCCGCCAGCCTGACGTGCTGGGACCATTCAGCGGGGTAGTGCACATAAAGTGCTAGTCACAGGCAGGAGCCCAAAGAGTGGAATGGATCGGTGAGCGGATGAAACAGCAAAAATCCACACCTTCTAATGTTAGCCTGAAACTGCAACTGGGGTTTTATTTTTGTTTTACTTGTTGCTGTTTGTTTAATAATAGCCCACTGACACTGGTTCTTCTGTTGTTGCTGTTGTTGTTACTGAGTCTTGCTCTGTCGTCAGGCTGGAGTGCAGTGGTGCGATCTCAGCTCACTGCAAGCCGCACCTCTCGGGTTCAAGCAATTCCCCTGCCTCAGCCTCCCAAGTAGCTGGGACCTATAGGTGCGTGCCACCACACCAGGCTAATTTTTGTATTTTAGTAGAGACGGTGTTTCACCATGTTGGCCAGGATGGTCTCCGTCTCCTGACCTCGTGATCCACCCACCTTGGCTTCCCGAAGTGCTAGGATAACAGGCATGAGCCACTGGTTGTTTAAAAAGGACTGACCCTCTCATTTCCAGTTCTTGGTCCCACCTCATTTTAATGAGAGAATGGTGAGCTCTGGTCCCTTTGGGCTAAGGTGTCCCTCCCACTGCAGCT
This sequence comes from Homo sapiens, assembly GCF_000001405.40. Taxonomy (NCBI): domain Eukaryota; kingdom Metazoa; phylum Chordata; class Mammalia; order Primates; family Hominidae; genus Homo; species Homo sapiens. Next base: position 174,071,102 of record NC_000005.10, on the reverse strand, counting down.
TCTCCCCACTGGATGTGCTCTAGGTCTGGACTGCAGGCATTCCCAGGATCCTTCCCAAGTGCCTACACACCCTCCAGTCTGAGCTGGCCCTGGCCAGAGCCTAATGAGGCAGATTCTCTGAATGCTGGATCAGGGTGTGGGGTCAGGGATGCTCCTGAGACCATCCCAAGAGACAGGGCCCACAATGCAACACACCCAAAGCCTGCTCCATGCCAGGCCAGTGCTGGGAACTGGGAACACAGAGATGCACCAGACACCTCCCTGCCCTCCAGGGATCAGAAGCTAGAGGGGGCTGCAGGTGCGGGATAGGCCAGGCAGAGGACAGTGGGAAAGGAGGCCTCATGACCCTACAGAGCCCAGAGGAGGCCCCAAATCCAGCTAGAGGATCAGGAAGGGGTCCCAGAGTTGCTGACTCCAGGAAGAGCACAGCTGAGAAGCTGCACAGAATGTTTCTCATCTGATCCACACATTTGTTAGCTCCTTCAGGGCAGAGGTTTTGTTTTATCCATTTTTGTATCTCCCAGCAACAGGCATTGAGCCCAGACCAGAACCAATATTAATAACGACAAAGAAGAAAAGGGAGGGAGACCAAGAAGGAAGGAAAGAAGGCAGGAAGGTCACAGCTTGGCCAGGACAATGGCAGGGTGACATCAAGTTGTGGCAGAGAGAATGGGATATGGAGCCATGAAGCTGGGTTCTTGCTTTGTTCTGACATTTCCTGGCTAAGTGACCTTGGGAAAATCACCTCACTTCTCTAAGCATTAGTTTCCTCACCTGTAAAATGGGGATAATAAAAGTACCTACTTCCCAAGATTGTTGTTAGGCTGAAAAGTAGATGTAAAAGCATATTTAAGACATTATTATTATTTGTCTTATAACTGAAGTACTAAAAAATAGCCCACGAAAAAAATGACCAGACGGGGCATGATGGCTCACACCTGTAATCCCAGAACTTTGGGAGGCCGAGGCAGGAGGATCGCTTGAAGCCAGGAGTTCAAACCAGCCTGAGCAACAAAGTGAGACCCTATCTCTACCAAAAAAAGAAAAACCTTTTTAAATTAGCCGAGCATGGTGGCTTGTGCCTGTAGTCCCAGCTCTTTGGGAGGCTAAGGTGGGAGGATCACTTGAGCCTGGGAGGTCAAGGCTGCAGTGAGCCATGATCATGCTAGTGCACTCCAGTCTTGGTGACAAAGTAAGACCTTGTCTCAAAAAAAAAAAAAAAAAAAAATGGCCTACCTTTACCAACAAGCAAACACGTGCCTCCAGGAATCACTGTGGGAAGCCAGAGACCACCCATGAATCCTGACAATGAACTGGCTACCCCTTGAAATGTTCCTCCAGGTTCTCCCAGTCACATTCCCAGGGAGAAAAGCCTGCAAAGAGAGGCCCAGAGCCCAACCAACAAACAAAATCCAGCTAATTAGACAGGAAGCTAAGAACACAAGAGGAAGAAAAAGGATATAAATAGGAAAGAAAGAAAATGATAATTTATTAAGCCCCTAGCGTGCACCAAAGACAGACTATTCATTATTATTGTCTGGTTTTATTAATGAAAAGTTGGGAACTTGGGAGTGGAGAGATTTTTCCCAAGGTCATGAAGCTAAGATATGGCAAAGCCAAGATCTAAGATGCCTAGGCGAGCCTAGTCTCAAGCCCAGGTATCTCCCTGGAGGACAGCTGTGCCTCTCCACAGCTTAGCACCAATGACTTCCAAATCCAAACTCAGCTCCAACTCACAGACGAACCTGGAAACAACCAGGCCTGGCAGCATAGCTAGGTGCATAAGCACCTTCCAGAGCCTCAGTACCCTCCTCAGCACCAGCATCTTCCATAGCACCAACAACCTTCAGAGCACCAGTAACCTTTAGAGCACCAGCACTCTCCTTGGCACCAGCTGCCTCCATAGCACCAGGATCACCATGATACAAGCACCCTCCACAGCAGCAAGATCACCATCACACCAGCACCCTCCACAGCACCAGGGTCACCGTGACATCAGCACCCTCCACAGCACCAGGATCACCTCCATAGCACCAACACCTTCCACAGCACCAGCACCCTCCATAGCACCAGGATCACCATGACACCAGCACTCTCCATAGCACCAGGATCACCAAGACACCAGCACCCTCCATAGTACTAGCACCTTCCACAGCACCAGGATCCCCATGACACCAGCACCTTCCACAGCACCAGCACCTTCCATAGCACCAGGATTCCCACGACACCAGCACCTTCCACAGCACCAGCACCTTCCATAGCACCAGGATTCCCATGACACCAGCACCTTCCACAGCACCAGCACCTTCCATAGCACCAGGATTCCCATGACACCAGCACCTTCCACAGCACCAGCACCTTCCATAGCACCAGGATTCCCATGACACCAGCACCTTCCACAGCACCAGCACCTTCCATAGCACCAGAATCACTATGACACCAGCACCCTCCATAGCACCAGCACCTTCCATAGCACCAGGATCACCGTGACACCAGAACCCTATATAGCACCAGCACCTTCCACAGCACCAGGATCACCAGGAAACCAGCACCCCCAACATCACCAGCACCTTCCACAGCACCAGGATCCCATGACGCAAACACCCACCACAGCACCAGCACCATCCATAGCAAAATCAGTTTTAGAGAACCCCTTGCTCTCAGATTAAGAAAGGAGGGTTTTTTTCTCTGCATTTTCCCATTTTCTCACATAACCCTGATGAAAATATTTCAAGTCTGTGGCCCTTTACAATGACTGCAGGGCCTCCTTAGTTTCAGAAATGACAAAAATTCCAGGCAATTATTTCAGCTCATCTTTCTCTATTCATCTCTCCCCACCCTGCTCCCTTCTTTTCTCTCTTACAGAATAATTGCCATGAACTGCTTTCTCCAGGTTAATTTTGAAATTCAAATCACAAGCTGTCCCAGATCCATGAAGGGATTGGAATGAGAAGGGGTGCACCTTTGCAGTTTCCAAGGTTCCCTCAGCCCCGGGCAATATATCTGCAGGGTGACCCAGTGACTGTGTAACAGCACCAAGCTCTCTAACTGTAAATTCCCTGACTCCAGCCCTAGTTCTCCAGTGGAAATCTCCATCCTGAGCTCCAAACCTATTAGTTCCAAGGGTGGCCAGACCACCTGTCTTCCCCCTCCCCACCCATGGTCTCCAGGCACCTCACACTCAGAGCATCCCCCCAGCTCCCTACCTCAGTGGCAGGTAGACAAGCCAAACACCAAAGAGTCCCCCAATGCCCTTCCTCCAACCAGGAGCAAGTCCTGTAAATTCCACCTCCATAACAGCCCCTCCCTGGATCATGAGCCCCAGCCAGCTTACTCAGCTCAGACCCTCAGACTCTTCTTAATTACCTCCACGCCTCCTCCCTAGCCTCCCTGCATCCACCTCTGCACCTGCAGGTGCATCCTTCATGGGGCCCAGAAGGAGCTCTCTTTAAGAAAGTGAAAAACCAGGCTAATTAATTCTTGCAGCTTTACATAAGCATAAGAGAATCTGCTCCATTCCTCCCATTTTGCTTCAAGTGCAGGTCCCCCTCTGCCCATGCCTGACAGGGCTGACAGAGGGCTGCCCCTGAACCACAAAGCCCTTCTTTCCTGACCCCCAAGACTAATTGAGTCAAACTGCGCGGGGGTGGAGAACTTCTACAGGCCCTGGTCCCTGACCCAGCACCCTTTTTCTCTTAGCTGACTCATTTCTGTTCTACCCAGCAGTTACCTACTGCAGGCATCATGGCTGAGCAGAGAGGCCGCCAGGCCCTGGCTCTGCCACTTGCTGGTGGGTCAGCATGTTATGTCACCTCTCGGAGCCATAGGGGATTATATCAATCTCTCACATAGATATGAAAAAGTAGCCACATCACCAAAAGTTGTCAAAGAAGACAAAAAAAATATATAGCCCTATATCACTGCTAATAACACAGCCATAGACAGCATTTTAATATTAATACATTTATTTGTAATTTTTCATAGCTCCAATCCTAGAAAGCATACAATCTTAATCTCTATTTTACTCACTCAACATTCTCTCTTTAAGTATTTGCCCAAATTATTGCACTTCACAGCCATCATTTCTTTTTTTTTTTTTTTTTTTTTTTTTTTGAGACAGAGTCTCGCTCTGTCGCCCAGGCTGGAGTGCAGTGGCGGGATCTCGGCTCACTGCAAGCTCCGCCTCCCGGGTTCACGCCATTCTCCTGCCTCAGCCTCCCAAGTAGCTGGGACTACAGGCGCCCGCCACTACGCCCGGCTAATTTTTTGTATTTTTAGTAGAGACGGGGTTTCACCGTTTTAGCCGGGACGGTCTCGATCTCCTGACCTCGTGACACAGCCATCATTTCAAATGACTGCTGGATAAAGGATAATTTCATTAAAAATGCCTAACACTCTGTTTTTTTTTAAAAAAGCACACTTAAAAATAATTCTCATTTTTGTCTGATTATTGAAATAATTAAGTGCACATTGCATAAAATTTGGAAAGCATAGAGAAGTAAAAATTAGATGAAAGTATCTCATATACATATAATTTAGAGAAAACTACTCTCTGAGGGAAAAAAGGTAATTCTTAAGAAACTGTAAAGTAGTTCATCATATGGATGTGTTCTCATTTATGAAATCACAAGAAAGTTGTTGAAAGTCTAGTTTCCAATACTTTAATTTTATAGATAGTACTGCAGCAAACATTCTTACATGTGAACCTGGGAATATTTCTTGTGATCTCTTGCCAGGAAGGCAGGTAAATTTGACCCCGTGGCCTGGTGCACCAAGATACCCCAGGCCTCTCCTGCAAGCTCTGTGCTCATTCATGCAGGTACCTGCTTATTCCTGCAAGTACTTGTACGCAGCTGGGTCTTGGTCCACTTTCACTGGGCCTGTGCTGTGTGGCAGACACTGAAAGTACAATAAAAAAGTAAGACCAGCCACTGCTCTCCAAGAGGAGGGTGGCATCTAGGAAGTTCCACATTCCAGGGAATGCACACAGAGGGACCACACTCCTCCCCTGGGCCACATACGCAGCTGCTTCAGTATTGATTTAGTGGGGAGAAAAATAGTCAAAGACAAACAAACCCACATGTTTCTCCCCGCATACGCTTCAATTCCCAGATAACCAACCACGAGTCATGTTCACTTTCAAAGCTCCCAGTCACAGTTGACATAAAAAGGCTACTATTGCGCACTTATACAGATCCAAGTGCTTTGCAGGTACTTTGTACTTCATCGTCATAGCAACCCTACTATTATCTCCATTTGATAAGTGAGGCTTAGTGACTCGCTTGTGGCCACACAGCTAGGATAAGGTGGAACCAAGGCTCAAGCCCAGCCAGGCTGCTGCATCATCCATCCACAGGACCACTTGTTCTACTGCCTCCAGGGCTGATTGTTTGCCTCCTAAATATTTTAGATCTGCCTGCATCTCTCCACCCACTGGCCACCCTTATCTGATCTGCCACCGTTTTTTGTGTGTTTTTTCACTTGAATGACTGCAGTAGCCTAATAGTGCCCCTCCATCCCCTTTCATCCACCACACTCCATTAGCCATGTAAAAGCCAGCATACTTTTTCTAAAACCCAAATGTAATCATGTCCCTTCTCTTCCTGAAGTCCTTCAAAGGCTTCCTGTTGCTTTTAGTATTAAACCCTAAATGCCTTCATACAGCCTTCAATGCTTGGAACTGTCTGCCCTCCGCCCACTTCTGCCTCATCTGTGTCTGCTCCCTGCACCCTCCTAGAGCCCGGCCTCACTGTCCTTATTTCTTTTTTTTTTTTTGAGACGGAGTCTTGCTCTGTCATCCAGGCTGGAGTGCAGTGGTGCGATCTTGGCTCACTGCAAGCTCTGCCTCCCTGGTTCACTCCATTCTCCTGCCTCAGCCTCCCGAGTAGATGGGATTACAGGCGCCCGCCACTACGCCCAGCTAATTTTTTGTATTTTTAGTAGAGGTGGGGTTTCACCGTGTTAGCCAGGATGGTCTCGATCTCCTGACCTCGTGATCCATCCGACTCAGCCTCCCAAAGTGCTGGGATTACAGGCGTGAGCCGCCGTGCCCGGCCCTCACTGTCCTTATTTCTATTCAGGGTTTCTATTTCTGTTTCTATTCAGGGTTGGGGCTAGCCTCCTTCCTGCCTCAGGGCCTTTGCACAAGCTGCACTCTCCTCAGCTGCAAGCACCTTGTACCTGCTTCATACCCACTTCCCCACCCACCTCAGCTCCTAAGTGACTTCCTCGGGGCATTCCCTGGGATTCCTCTTTCACCCTCACAGAGAATGCTTTGTGGATCCTTGATGCAATTCATCACAGCTAGCAACATATTCTCCAGTGCTCCTCGCGGCCCCTCCACCAAGAAATAGGAAGCCAACCATTAGGGTTTCACCACCAAGAAGCCAGCTTTTCTTCCCCCCACCTTTGTTTTTCTCATATTTGTTGCAACGAAGGACTAAAATGTGAGTCACTTACTGCATTTCCATCACATTTCCTGGAGATTGTGATGAAAAAGCAGGAAGAAGGGAACAGGAGAAAGGAGAAGGAATAGAAGAGGCATTTATCAATTATGAGATTTATCAGAACATTCCAGAGTACACGAGAATATGATAGACCTCAGAGGCAGAGTTCTTGTTATTTGATTAAACTCAGTGGCCAGACTGTATGGCTTCAAGAAATCCTCCAGAAATAGCCTGCATCATTTCCCCACCCACAGCAGTACTTGCTCCAAGCACGAGGTGTGCTGAGCTGGCTGGAGCCAGCCTCTCCTTTACTCTTTCTATTACACCATCAAGAAACTGACCGTAAATTCAGCGATTTTCGGCACCCGGAACTTCCCTTTGTTCTTCTGTTCCGGCTGATATTCCGTTCTTGTCTTCACAATCACCTGAAAGAGTCAACCAGTGTGTTAGCATGCATGGAGACTTGAAACATTTTCCTTTCTTTTTTTTCAGTAACCAGAATTTATTACACATGACATAAAGATCAAAAAAATAAAGAACCCCCCTTCAAACACACGTAAGAGAAAATTCAAGTTACTCATAATACTTCCCCATTCCAACAGAGACAACCCTAGGTAACAACTTTGATTATACCTTTTTAGATATTTATATAGACTTATATATGTACATATTGTTATATATTTACTATTTGTGAAAATATATATTTTATGAGATGAATTCATACTTTATAGTTTATAACCTGCTTTTATCACACAACACTATATTTTTCTCCAATTTTCCAATGTAAACAAATATATCATTGTATTTTGCCTTTTGGCATAGTATAACATTTCACTGCATGTGTGTACTGCAACTGATCTAATTAAACTTTAATTGTTACACGTTTAGGTTGCCTCCAGTTTTGGTTATATAAACAAGTTATGGGATTGTTTGTAACTCAAAGGATAAATGGAGGGGATGGAGGGGATAAATACCCCATTCTCCATGATGTGCTTCACATTGCATGCCTGTATCAAAATATCTCCTGTACCCCAAAAATATATATACCATGTACCCACAAAAATTAAATAAATAAATATGTAAATAAATAAAATAAAATAAAATAAAATAAAATAAAATAAAATAAAATAAAATAGAAAGTTATGATGAAGATTCTGTTTCTAAGCCTTTGCACACACACTTAATTCCAATTTGATTTGGGGACTTGTGAGAAGAAAAATAGAAAGTTCTGTTGAATCTGTTGTATCATCTTATTTTTCTAAAGTCTGAATATTTTTGCAGAGGTGGTTAACATCTTATCAAGATATGCTGTCAACCTGACAAGACATTTATGTAACTCCATCCCACTGTGCAGGCAAAGTGAAAGAAAAAGAAACCTGACAGATAATCAATAACTATTGCCAAGTGCTGCAGTGCCATGAGGAACACAGAAGCTGTCTAAGCCTCAGGGTCTCATCTGTAAAATAGAGACAAATAATTCTAATTCATATCCCTATTTTGTAAGGTTGCTTTGAGAGTTAAGTGAGATGATAATGAGCAATATTTTTGAACCACTTATTATATGCCAGAACTAGATCAAGCACTTCATATGCCTCACCTACCTATCACTACTATTTCCATTCTCCTAACAAGGAAACTCAAGCTCAGAGATGCTAAGTCACTTGTCCAGGGTCACACAGCTAAAATGAAGTAATCTTCTAACCATGATCACTCCTACTTCCCATTATGGCTCAAATTAACAGAATTTTCACTGAAAACGCCCACCAACCTTCCCTGGAGACAACAGTCAAGCGTATTAACTAGAGCAAGAATTCTTCTATGAAGAATGTCCTTTAACATCTGTGAGGCATGTCATGGACTCAATGCAGCTCAAAAAGGAAGGGATAGGGACGGCGCTACCATACACGGAACATCTACCAGGTGGTACCTAAACCCAACTAACCTATGGCTGGACTTATGGGGGTTAAGGAGGCCCTGGACCCCAGCCCATCAGCACCCCACCCTCTCTTACCTCTAGAACCCATTTCTGGATGGAAATTCTGCTGTTGTTTCCTGCCCTCTTTGCAATCTGTTCCTCCAAACAACAAAAAGAGAGCCCCTGGCTTCCTCAAACAGGGAAGCAACACAGCCAAACATGGATGAGAGCTTACAGGGGGTGGGGGCAGAAGGATGCTCTGTTATTTTTATTTTCTTCCTACCCACTAGGCCAAAGAATAGGAAAACAGAAGCTCTTGTACCACAGATAAGAAAAATAATTCTCATACTTTGTGCATTTACTATATAGCAGGCATTGAGCATTTGGCATGCCTTACCTCACTTAATTCTACACTATAAAGCAGATACCAATATTGTCAATATTGTAGGGGAGTGTACAAGTGTGGGCTGAGTTCAAATCCTGGCTCCAGAACTTACTAGCTGGTGACCTTGGGTGAGTTGATGATGCCTTCTGTGTCTTGATTTTCTCATCTATAAAATGGGGAAATCACCATGACCACCTCGTTGGATTGTTGGGAGGCATAAATGAGTTGATGCAAGTTAGACATTCAGAACATTAATCCAATAACATCTGGGTGCTATCACATTTTCTTCCATAGATACTGAGGCAGCTGTAGAGTGGAGCCTTGCACCTGTCAGGCTGCAGTGTCACCCTACCTAGCCTATCAAGAGCAACACAAGGACTTCTCAGGAACATGGGCATTCAAGAATGCCCCCAACTTCCCTGCCTAAAAAAAAAAAAAAAAAAAAAAGTTTGGGGGCTCGGCACAGTGGCTCCCGCCTGTAATCCCAGCCCTTTGGGAGGCTGAGGCGGGTGGATCATGGGGTCAAGAGATCAAGACCACCCTGGCCAACATGGTGAAACCCCATATTTACTAAAAATTAAAAAAATTAGCTGGGCATGGTGGCGCACACCTGTAATCCCAGCTACTCAGGAGGCTGAGGCAGGAGAATCACTTGAACCCGGGAGGTAGAGGTTGCAGTGAGCCAAGATTGTGCCACTGCACTCCAGCCTGGCGACAGAGCAACACTCTGTCTCAAAAAAAGAAAAAAAAGAGTTTTGGAAGATGAATAGAAGTTTCCTGGGTGGACAAAACAAGGGAAGACAGTCTCTGCAAAGTGTACCACAGAGCCAAAGAAACAAAAGTGTGAAATAGCATGTGATCTACAAGAACTTGCTTTGCTGGCATGTGAACTGCAATGCGAATACGAGAGTCGGAAGCTGATGTAAACAAAAGAGCAAATGGTAAAGCTCCTAGGCTAGTTCACAGCATTCTGGGATGGACCAAATGAAAGAACATACATGCAGGTGCTTTGTGAACTAAAAGGATATTCTACAAATTCCAGTTATTAGAAATATTTTGGACATCACTAGATCAACTGTCAGATTATGAAGTGGTACAGAAAATTTAGATGTCTGATTATTTCTCTTAATCCACGATTTTAGAAATATTCACAAACTTGGATTTACAATTTTAATTTTATCTCCCCATGCATGTGTGTATGTATATATGTGTGTGTGTGTGTAATATATACATGTAACATATCTATTAATATATATAATATATGTATTTCTTGGTCAGCATGAGCCACAAGCCTTGGGGTAATAATTGCTTTTTGGGGTAGGCAGCATTCTAATTTGGCTCCAAAGATTCCTGCCCCATGGTGTTCATGTGCTGTATAATTTCCTCCCTTTAGGATGTGGGCTGGACCTGTGGTTATGATGGGCTAGTCCCTCCCATGATTACATTGTGCTATGTAAAACTCCAGGGTAACAGACTGGAAAGAGATTCTCCACTGACCTTGAAGAATTAAACTGACATGCTGAAAGACAGCCATGCAGCTAGTACCTGAGGGCAACCCTCAACCAAGAGCCAACAAGAAAACCAGGACCTCAGTCCTCCAACCACAAGGAACTGAAATCTGTCGACAGCCTCAATGAGCTTGAAAGAAGATCTCAAGTGTCAGTGGGAATGCAGCCTGGCCAACACCTTGATTTCGGGCTCATGAGACCCTGGTGCAGAGAACCCAGCTAGCCTATGGCTGGACTTCTGACCTACGAAAACTGTGAGATAATAAGTTTATGGGTTTTAAGCCACTTAATTTTTGGTAATTTGTCACACAGCAATTGAAAACTAGTCCACCTTCCCACATTGCCAAGTCTATTTCCATCATCTCTTGGCTTGATCCCTTCCTTTCTAGATCCACAGTCCTCCAACTGTTCTTGAGAATCCTCACATCAAATGTTGGATGCAAACTCAGAGACTAGTAAATTTAAAAAAAAAAAATATTAAGAAGTACTTGCTTCTTAGTCTTTCTCGCTCCCTCTCTATTTTTATAAACATCCTTCCCAGAGCTTTTGAAAAATCTGAAAACCGTTTCCATTCTCTGTAAACTTAAAAGACCCCATATTCTAACCAACATGTTGAGACAGGAGACAGAACTGAAAAATATTACTGTCAGAACAAGACCATGAATAATCATTACAGGCAATATCATTTTTATTCTCATAATAATAAATATTTTGAGGTTGCTTCTCTAGCATCCATCTCCTTCTTCAACCAAAAGCGCTATGATATTCCTTTTGGGAACCCACCCCTGCCTCACTGTGTGGCAGCCATGTGGTTCAGTGGGATTGACCACTTCCTTAGTGACAGTGATGGTCCCTAGTGAAGTTGAGCCAATCAGGGCATACCATCCTATTGATCACACAATTTGATTGACTCAGACATGGGCATGTTACCCAATTTGGACCAATGAGCTATGAGGTAGTATTGACTAGTGTCTTGATGAAAGAAGCCTTGTAGGTCTTCATGAGTGATTCTTCCTCTGGATGGTATGCTGAAGACTTTAGTCCTGGAATTGTTGCCATCTTGATGGGAACCAGGAGAAGAACAAGGCAGCACACAAAGAAGGGCAGAGCCAAGAGGAACCCAGAGAAATGGAGCTGGGTCCAGATGACATCCTACCCCGGGATTGCACCTTGCCTGAAGTTAGACCTACTCTGGGATCCACAGTTATAGGGGCAAATACCTACTCTTTGAGCCTTAATATAATTTTGGCTGGGTTTTCTGTTACTTGAAACTAAAAGCTTTCTATCTGATACACATGTCTTCCAAGAAAACCCAAGAAAATGAACTGAAAAGTGATTAGAATTTAGTAAGGTAGCCAAATACTAAATAAGTAAACCAAAATCAATAGATTTCCTAGGTGTCAGCAAAAAGTCAGCTCAAAAACATAATGGGTCCACCAAAAGATACAAGAACATTCATAGCAGCTTTGTTCCTGATAGCCCCAAACTGGGAACATCTCAAATGTACACTAATAGGAGAATGGATAAATTGTGGTTTACTCAGAAAATGGAATGCCTCACCGCTATACTACATATACATTGATGAATTTCATAGACATTACATTGAACAAAAGAAATTAGATACCAAGAGGTTTTTATATACTGCGTGATGTCATTTACATCAACTTCAAGTATACATATAATAATTTATATGTATAATATGTTTATCATAAAAATATGCCACTCACCATTTGCAGTCATGGGGTTAGAGGGTACTGAAATTAGGCAGAGTTGGGACCATAACCCTCTCTTCAAATCCATGTCCTGCTTTGCTCTGAACCCTTATGAAATGCTACTTAGGCTTTGAGTGACTTTCTAATGAAAATAGTCCCTTTAGCTTCAGGTCCTCACTCCTCAAACCACAAAGTTCAAATACAGGCCAAGAGACAGGCAGGTGCCTGATACCATGTGGGTCCTCAGTCATCTGCTGTTTTCTTTAGCTAAGCCACATTTTCTCCAAAAGCAACTCAGGCTGCTACACAATATTTTGTCTTCACCCCGAGGAAGTGTTAGCTCTTTGGAACTCCATCTCCATTTCAAAAGGTCTTGGCCTGTTTGCCTGGAACAAATGGACAGTGCTCTGCCTTCATCTTCTTTGACCTCTCAGTCATTTTTGACAAGCTTGTTCTCTCTCTCCTCCTTGAAAGGTTCTCCTCCCTTGGGCCCATGGCAGCCTCTCTCTTGGTTCTGTTGCTGGCTCACCCAGCAGCCCTCCTCCGTCTCCACTCCAGGCTCCTCCTCTTTCTGATCTCTCAGTGTTGGGATTTCTCAAAGCCAGCTCATGACCACTCTTCTTTCCATCTACAAGCCCCCTCTGCATGTTCTCACTCCCATCACTTCCAAGTTCATTGGTTTTTTTGTTTCTTTGTTTGTTTGTTTTTTACAGAGTCTCGCTCTTTTGCCCAGGCTGGAGTGCAGTGGCATGATCTCAGCTCACTGCAACCTCTACCTTTTGGGTTCAAGAAATTCTCCTGTCTCAGCCTCCTGAGTAGTTTGGACTACAGGCATGTGCCACCACACCTGGCTAATCAAGTTCATTGTTTATCCTCATGACTCCCAAATATTTACTTCCACTCAGATATCACTCAACACTCAGATGACCCTACTGAACATTCACCCTTGACCCTCCTGCCCCAGCCACCTCACTCTCAACATCTTCATGCCATGTAATCCCCAACTTAGAAGATAACAGCAGCATTATCCAAACTACTGTTTATGTCAAATCAAACACAGAATCTCTCATGATTCCTCCCTTCCCTTTAGTCTCAAAATTCATTCCATTATTCCACCCATTCCAGCTCCAGCTTCCTCAAAAATTTCCCTTAAATCAACCCACTCATCCAGTTGCACGGCCTCTACCCCAATATAGGACATGGTCATCTCTCTTTGGACCTTTGCCCTGGCCAGCTTCCTTGTTTCCAAACCCAGGGGAAAGATCCCTCTAGATCGAGGGAGAGACAATACCAGCAAACCTTCAGAAGACATCCGGGAGGCCAGCACCTGAGGCAACTACAGAGAAGCAGTTTTAAGTGGCCAGGGAACAGGATGGGTGAGGTGAGTAGGTGACAGGGAGGAAGCTAGAGAGGCACACAGAGGCTCTGAATGCCATGCTAGGCACCTTGAAGATTAATGTGAGGGCAGTGAAGAGCTGAGGAATGATTATAAATGAGAAAACGGCTTTGCAGGTATGCATTTCAGGCACAGGAGAGGCCTCTGGCCACAGTGAAGGTACACTGCATGGGGACCGGCAGAGAGCAGGGAAAATACAACCCTACAAAGTCACTACAACCAGCCAGCTAGAGGACTTTCATAAAGCTTAGTGTTTTGTTCCTGTGGAGTAGAGCCAGAAACATTTCCCTTCCATAAACGATAAAGTCACAGTTCCTTTTTTTTAGTACTCTGAAAGGGAAAGCATTAAGAAATGTTAGCCAATCGTTATTAATTGTACCTTGGAGGAATCAGCTCGCATAGGCAAAGAGAACAAGACAGGAGAAAAATAAATTTGCAAAGAAAGCCTCTCTTCTAGACATTCTTCTTTTTCCCGCAGTTAAAAGAAAATGGAGCAAAACAGAGCCCTGAGCGCCTTGTCTATCAGCAGAAATGAGAGAAGAAAAGTAGAGAGGGGAGGGGCAAAATTTCTCCTACTCTTTTTATTCTTAAAAGTGGGGTTTTATGGATATTTGGAAAAATGAAACTCCAGGTTTTCAAATATGACTGTGGATTTGGGCAAAGAAATAACTTTGTTTTCTTTCCATATTTACACATTGGATCCCCATTGTCCTGTCAGCTGCTAATATGAAGAACATAATTTAATATAATTGGCATTGTGAAAATGGGATAAATTATTCATCCCTAAAGGACCCCTTGTCTGGATATAATTCCCGTGTCACTGGCAAGGCCAGATAATACATGGTGGTTCAGACAGTGCAAAGTACAGATCATAAAAATTTAAAATACTACTTCCCAGGATTATCAATAATGAAGACGTTCCCACATGGAGAGGTCCCAGGATTGGCAGGAACAATAAATACAAGTGCAGAAGTGCTGACAAGGAGCAAGATTGTATTTTTATGAGCTGGACTTGCACAGTCCAAAAATAGATCTAAGCTATACCCATCATCCCTGGAGCAAAGAGACAGGTTCAGAGCCAGGACAATAAATGGCTGGCACTGAATCCCTACTGTGAGCCAGGCACGGTGCCAGGTGCCCTGCTGATGTGGACTCATTCAATTCTCATAATTCTCCTGACAACATTCTCTCCAAGCCTCAGTTCTCTCCTTCAAAATCATTATGATTATTCCCATTTTTCAGGTGAGGAAATTTAGCCTCTGAGAGTTCAGTCGCTTGCCTGTGATCAAATGACTGGCCTCGGGTTGAGCTACATTCAAACTCAAGAATACCATACTCTTTCCTATTGATCATGGTTTTGGGTTTTTTGTAAAGGTACCCACTATGTGCCTGGCACTGTGCCAAACACTTTACATCCTGTATCTCAGCAAATCTTTTCAATCATTCTATGAGGTAAAGGTAATTATTCCCATTTTACAGATAAGGAGCCTGAGTCCCAGAGAGCAGAAATGACTTCATAACTTCACATGGCCACTAGGAGGCAGAGCCCAGACTTGAACCTAAGCTCAGTTCCAAGTGCCACCTAACACTTGAACTCTGATCCTGGGGAACCAAGACACAATAGGGAGGCCATAAAAACTGTGGAATGAATCAGTGAACAAATAAATCCTATTTCTAAAGAGAGAGGGTGAAGTTGCCCAGATGGGGCCTGCATCCTTAGTTGGGAACTTCCCCATTTGCACCTCTCGCTCCTCACTCCACACTCCCTCTTTGGATTCAAGTTTTTTCCTGGGCCTTGAAGGTTGGTATTGGGCCGTGAACACAGGGTAAAATGTCAGTGCTCAAAAGACTTTAGTGGCAGTGTTGTCCAACCTCATCAATTCACAAATAGGGAGACTGAGGCATAGAGCGGGAAAGGGATTTGCCACAGGTCACACAGTAAGACTGAGTCGGAAGCAGGTCTCTAGTATGAATGCCAACTCTCAGTCTGGAGCTCTTTCCATGGAATAAACTTTGTCTTTCTTGCTGGGCCTTTGCTTTGCTTTCTCAGAGGCAATATAAAAGTTGGTCTCAAATGAACTATCTGCCTCAATAAATCTATAACTCCCCACTTACTTTTTTATTTTTATTTTTATTTTTTTGAGACAGAGTCTCGCTCTGTCGCCCAGGCTGGAGTGCGGTGGCGTGATATCTTGGCTCACTGCAAGCTCCACCTCCTGGGTTCACACCATTCTCCTGCCTCAGCCTCCCGAGTAGCTGGGACTATAGGCACCTGCCACCACGCCCAGCTAATTTTTTACATTTTTTTTTTAGTAGAGATGGGGTTTCACCGTGTTAGCCAGGATGGTCTGGATCTCCTGACCTCGTGATCCGCCCACCTCGGCTTCCCAAAGTGCTGGGATTACAGGCATGAGCCACCATGCCCAGCCAACTCCCCACTTCTATGGCAATGCATAGCATGGGGCAAGATGAGGTGCTCTCCACAGGATCCTCTACGGGGGACTTCCAGCTCCTTCTGCTCTGAACAGAGGCAAGCTGCCTAGGCTGGAATCATTACAGTGGAGCCCATAGCTCTGCCACCTGGGTCTTCCACAGTCCAGAGGCCCAGACCATGTCACTGTTCACCTCTCCTTGCTGCCTGGGGTAGCCCTGTGACCTCCGGAAACAGGGAACCTGTTTCTGGGACTAAATAGATCATGTTAAGAACAACAGCAATAATAATTACTCCGTTGCATTAAGCATCTACTACGTACTAGACACTATGATAAACATTTGCTATGTATTTTCCTCATTTTATCTTTACAACAATCCTTAGAGAAAGATACTAGTGTCATGAGGAAACAGAGGGTCAAAGTGGTTAATAAACTCACCCAGGGTCACAGTGCAAGTAGGTGGAGTTAGGATTTGAATTTAAACTGTGCTATTCTGACACCTCCCTGTACAGAGAGACACTGGCTTCACAGTGATCTCCCTGTGTGTCAAAGTGAACAAGTTACATCCATTCCCTGAGACCATTCACTGTCTGTGAAATGGGGGTGATTTTTTTTTAATAGAAAATCTGAGGCCAGGTGTAGTGGCTTACATCTGTAATCCCAGCACTTTGGAAGGCCAAGGCAGAAGGATCAGTTGAGGCCAGAAGTTTGAGACTAGCCTGGGCAACAAGGCCCCGTCTATTAAAAGTCTTTAAAAATCAGCCTGGGTGTGGTAGCATGTGCCTGTAGTCCCAGTTACTTAGGGGACTGAGGCAGGAGGATTGCTTGAGCCCAAGAGTTCGCGACTGCAGGGAGCTATGTACAATCACACCACTACACTCCAGCTTCAGGACGACAGAGAGAGACCTTGTCTCTAAAAACAGATGAATAAAATTCGACGCATTCTTATGGTTAAAAACAAAAAAAGATAAAAAGTATAGAATAAAATTCTTCAAATGGAACGCACCTACCCCAATTCCCATTTCCCTAACATTTAACAGTTTTCTGTGTGTCCTTCCAAAACTGTCTTATGAATTACAAGAATAAAACATGCTCACACTATGTGTGTTTCCCCAAATGGGATCACTCCACACCATTCTCTTTAAAGCTGTTTGGATGAAGCAGTGTGTCTGTTATAGCTTTCCACGCTGGCGCATGCAGATCAGCCTCATTCTCAAAACCTCTGCTTAGGATTCCACATGCGTGTGCCAGAGCTCAGTTAACCAGGCCCTTCTCAGGGAATAGTCCAAGTTGTTCCCAGTTCTTTTCAATATATAGTGGCCTTTGCATACTTGAAATATATACCCATAGGGTAACTTCCTACCAGTGAAAAGCATACCAGTCAAATGCTACCCACAGTTTACATTGTACAGACAATGTCAAAATACCCTCTGAAAAACACTGCATCACATTACATAACCAACAAGAGCAAACTGAGGACAAGTTTGCCCCAGTATTGTCAACATGAGGAAATATCCATTTTTTTGTGCCAATTTGGTAGGTAAAAAAGTATATTTTGTTTAAGATTGTGTTTTTAAATTATAAGGTATTTTTGCTACATTTATTGATCATTAGCTATTTGCTGGATCTGCCTAATCAGAGATGTTGTCCCAATTTGAGATGATTTACAATTCATCTCTTGAGATTCTCTGAAGAACCAGGGGGCTCTAGGGCCTGGAGCCTGCAGTGATGTGCATTTCTGTTGTTCCCTGGGGAAAGCCTATGTTTCTCATATCCTGTGTCTCGGAGAGAAAAAGAAACACTGCGGAAAGCCCAGGGAGAGGCCCAGAAGGCACACAGGCCTCAGTGACAGCCATAGGTCCCCTTTCAGGCCTCCCCTGCAGAGCATCATCAGGCCCCACCCCGCCCCACACCCACCTGTGAAACCCCATCCTTCTCAGCATGCTCCAATTCTGCAGTCTCCTTCTAAACCTATCATCTTCAAGAGACATATTCTGGATGCCCAGTGAAAGAAAGGAAACCCTATCTGTGCTCTCCCTCAGTATGCCTTGCACTGAGCTGGGCCCATTAGACAACTGTCACACTGTTTCCCTCATCAGCACCCTCTGAGGTAGATATTATTGCCTGTTTTAGGGCTGAACAAACTCAAAGCCCAGAGATGCTAAGCAATGTGCCTAAAGCTACACAGTAAGTAAATAGCTTAGCTGAGATTTGAACCCAGGTCTCTAGGACTATGAAGTGCATGTGGCCTACTGTGCAAAATTTAAAGCATGCCATACATTAGTCATTAGTTTCTAAATATCTGTGTTCCTCTCCTCCCACAA
Source organism: Homo sapiens (assembly GCF_000001405.40). Classification (NCBI taxonomy): domain Eukaryota; kingdom Metazoa; phylum Chordata; class Mammalia; order Primates; family Hominidae; genus Homo; species Homo sapiens. The sequence continues at coordinate 174,052,984 of NC_000005.10, read as the reverse complement.
GCAGGTAAGTGACCTCCTCCAAGATGCATAAAGACTTAATAATCAATAGAAAGAAAAGAAGCGTTTGCCCAGAGCGCAGCAGCAGACTTGCCGATTATGGTTCCCCTGTGGCTCTGCCAAGGTGGGTTGTGCCTGTCTATGGTTTGCTTTCTGCACACCTGCCACCCTTCCCAGCACACGTGCATGCAGATCTTGGCTGCACTGTTTTCCTTTGATGCACCCTAGGACAGCCTTCCACCTGTCTGAGCCTGTTTCTGCACCTGTAAAATGGGGATTATGGTAGCAACGTCACAGGGCTTGTGGGGACACCTGGGTTATTGTGGCTACTTAGATGAACCAAAGGCAGCAAAGCACCAAAGGCATGTCCTGAAATTTGATGTCTGCAAACTAATGTTCCAGCTTTTCAGGAGCTTGCTCCCATGGCCTGGAGAAAGCCACCTAGATTTGAGTCTATTTCCTCAGCTACCAAGTAGAGAAATTGAGTCCAGTTTTAAGCTAGGCAAGAGAGGGGATCAGCCAGTAATTTCCACTGCCCACTGCAGGCCAGGCCTAAGGCTACCGAGATGACACAGCCTCAGGTCTAGCTGGGGCCTCAGGTCTAGTGGGCAAATGGAGCAGAGAAAGCAAATTCTCCTCCCAATCAACCTGGTACCACATCTCAATACCACTAGCCTCCCCACCCCACTGCCACTGCCCCACTACCCTCTCCTCCCTGAATGTAGTAGTGGCCTTCTAACTGGTGTCAGACCTCCCATTCCTTTCTTCTACTCCCATATCGGGGGTGCTTCAGGCAACTCAGTCACCCCTGTTTTGGGGGACACTAATCTGGTGCTGCGTGGAGGACTGATTGGACAGAAAGAAGTAGAGGAGATCAGAAGACCAAGCATGAGACTGAACCTGTCCCTTGTCCCTAGGGTGGCTCACAGCAATGAGGGCAATCTTCCAAAATCAAACTCTGATCCTGTGACTCTCCTGCTTTAAATACCTTTTGAAAAAAACAAACAATCCACATAAACTGGTACCCACCCCACCTCATCTCTTAAGTCTCTCCCCACCATTTGACATCACCAGCCAATGTGGCCCCCTGATCGTTCCTCCACCCTTCTGAGGGCTCAGTTAGGCCTGCTGCCTGACCACCTTGTCATTATAATTAGGTCCCCTATATGTCTTATCTCTCCTTACATTACAACATCTTGTTCTTTCCTTAATAGCCCTTCTCACAATTTGCATCTATATGCTTTTATGTGTATGATGGATTGTTTGAAGTCTCTCTTTCTCATTGGACTGGAAGCTCCATGAAAGCAGTGGCCAATGCTGTCTTTTCATTGCTGTGTACCTATGGCCTAGCACAGTGCCTGGCTCACAGAGGGTACCCTATAAGACTTGCTGGATGGATGGATGGATGGATGATGAATGGATGGGTAGATGGATGGATGGATTGGTGGATGGATGGATAGATGGACGACGAATGAATGAATAGGTACAACTACAGCTATACTTATCAGTGGTCAAGGAAGGCATTCAGGAGAGGTGCTGTCTGAACTGGGTTTAGAAAGATTAATATTGACATCATACAAGCAAAGGAGCCAGAAGGGCATTCTGGGCAGAAGGAATGGCATGTTCATGGAGGTGAAGGCATGGAACATCCTGGGGAGTATGCAAGACTCTAGGGCAGGGTTTCCCAACCTTGGCGCTGTTGACATTTGGGGCAGGATAATTCTACCCAGGGGCAGGACTGGGGGACTTGGGTGTCCTGTACATTATAGGATATTTAGCACCATTCCTGGCCTCCACCCATAAAATGCCAGTAGAATCCTCCCTCTAGTTGTGACATCGAAAAATGTCTCCAGACATTGCTAACTGCCCCCCAGGGAGAGAGAATCGCCCCCATGGAGCACCGCTGCTGCAGGTAGGTCTGGCACGCTAACATTCGAGGCGCAACGTGGGAGTGAAAGGAATGGAGGCCAGCGCAGGCCAGATGGTGAAAGAGCTGGAGTGGCAAGGTCAAGATTCAGGGATGGGATGTTGTGGGGTGAGGAGATGCAGAAGGTTTCCATGGGAGAAGGACCAAGGCACAGCCCTGGGGAGGCTTGGGGGCAGTGTGGAGGCTTGGCGGCAGTGAGTCGCATGAAAGGGAGAAGAGGCAGGAGGCAACTCAGGAGCCTGCTGCTCTTCCCTGAGGCAAACACCAGTCTCTCCAGCACCAGGCAGGGAGAGAGCACTGGGGCCTCTGGTGTTCTGTCTGGGGGACCAGTCCAGGTCCCTTCCAGGTCCAGGAGCCTGCCAGGGGGAGGGCTCAAGGGGCAGCCATGGATGAGGAAGCCTAGAGTTTGAGGAAGCACTCTCCCAGAATGAGAGACTTCTTACTGAAGGCAGTGCAATGCAGAAAAAAAAAGTTGGAACATCAAGTACACTGAGGTTCCAACCCTAGCCCTTCCACTCTTCATCTGTAAAGTTTAGGCAGGCCACTATATTGTCCTGAGCCTCAGTTTCCTCATGAGTGAAATGGGTGCACTGAGATCCACCTCACAAGGCTACTGGGAAGATTAACTGAAATAACCTGAATGCCCTGCATAGTCCCCTCCCTGGCCTGGAACAAGTCTTCAGACACGTTCCACGAGAGGACTCCAGCTAGCCTCCAGAAGCTGTTCTCTTGAAATTCAGATTTCATACTACTAAAGGATACTTAGAATACTGATTTTCAGTATTACAAGCATACTCTGTATTTTACATTTTCAAAAAGAAAAGCCATGATCTGACATTGGGGTCAAATATCCTTCTTTGTGATAACCATCTTAGCTTCAAGTACTCACCATCTGACTGGAGCCTAACCAAAGGGCTGACAGCTGACAGCTGTGTCAGGGCTCACTCTGCCTCCTCTACAAAAGTCCTGTGAGTGAGTCCCAAAATTAGCGTCCCCATTCTATACACTAGAAGACTGATGCTGAGGCAACTTAAGAAACTACCCTCCAAGTTCTTAGCCAAAGCAGGCTGGTAAGAGTTGGAGTGGGATTTGAACCCACCTAAAGAGGTGGCTTCAGAGTCCTTGCTGGTCATCTGGACACTATTCTAAGCATTTAGAGGACCTTTGGCTTCTTGAGCAAAATTTACTTTGAACACATCTGTTCTCATGTCAGGGAAACAATGTAATTACTCTTGTAAAGATTCTAAAATCTAAATATTAGCACAGAAAACTGATAATACAATTTTCCACTCAGAGAACACAGACCTAAGAGAGGGGAATGGAGCGCACTGTGGGTCAGTGGCTGAGGTTGAGCCACAGACCACACCTGGGGACTCCCAGGCTGGCTCACTCCTCATTCCTGCTGAGGTAGAAGGTTCTGGAACAGCACTGCCTGGGCTCTATGTCCAGGATGCTTTCCCAGCTATTTGCTATGGGGAACTACTTTACCACTCTGTGTCTCAGCTTCTGTAAAATTCAGACCAAAGTAGTGACTCCCTCACTGGGGCCTATTAATTCCTGAGAAGAAGAAAGAAAATTGCACACATGTGTGAGTGATTGTGTGTGTGTGTGTGTGCACGTGCGCGTGCACATATAGCTTAGAATTTAGGAAGCACTTGAAAAATGGTGACGCTATTCTCTTGTAGTTTGTTTTTTTGTTTGTTTGTTTGTTTGTTTGTTTTGAGACAGTGTCTCGCTCTGTCGCCCAGGCTGGAGTGCAGTGGCACAATCTCAGCTCACTGCAAGCTCTGCCTCCCAGGTTCACGCCATTCTCCTGCCTCAGCCTCCCAAGTAGCTGGGACTACAGGCACCCACCACCACGCCCGGCTAATTTTTTTGTATTTTTAGTAGAGACGCGGTTTCACCGTGTTCGCCAGGATGGTCTCGATCTCCTGACCTTGTGATCCGCCCGCCTCAGCCTCCCAAAGTGCTGGGATTACAGGCATGAGCCACCATGCCCAGCCTCTTGCGGTTTTTTTTTACCAGGCACTTTACGTATAATGCCACATCTAACTTTGTTCTGACCATTGTGAGGTAGATGTGATCCTCCCCATATCAAAAAAACAGGAAACTGAGGCCACCCTGGTGAAAGACTGTGTGATGACAATCAGAGTGTCAAACTGGGTGCCCTGGATCTTTCAGGATAATTGGCTTCACGTTGCATGCATGCAGGCCCACTATGAGAGACAATGCATTATCCTTCAGGCTTTGGGACAGCTTCTGGTGCACCTGGACTGGATACTCAGTGGTTATCAGACCTGCCTCCTCTCTCAAGGAAAGAATAAAGCCCTGGGAGGTGGGTGGGAGAGTAAGGGGGGACAGAGACCATGATAATCTCTAGATGACCTGCAGGCATGTAGAAGGCTAGGGGAGAGATGACCTCACCACAATCCCTTTTCTTTTCACACTTCTTAAAGACATGCAGATCTGCAAGGCTATAGCTGTTGGCCTCATAAAGCCCCAAGAGAATATCTCTCCCTTCTCCTACCCAACCTCTACTTATATCTGGGTTCAAACTCCAACATTTCTACTTACTCCTTCTGTGAGCTTGGATAACTCACCAAATTTTCATCTACAAATATGAATGAATAATCCCTGACTCCCAGGTTAATGCACACCTAAAACAATGGTCCTCAACTTTGGCTGCATGCAGGAGCCACCTGGGAGATTTCATTCATATTAATGCCTGGGTCTCACTCTCAGAGACTCTGATACAATTGTTCTGGGTCATGGTCTAGAAAGCAGGAGTTTCAAAATCTCCCCAGGTGATTCTAATATGCAGTTCAAAACCAAGAAGCTCTGATATACATGTAGCACATACTCTATTAATATTGCCCCTTCTCATCTCTTTAGTGTTAGTTGCCTGTTCAGAATTTATCTTTAAAGGCTTTACCAGTTCCTTAGGATGGCACTTAAGAATTCTCTCTGTCTGCCACCCCACCCCTGCACGTTCTCCTATTGACAATCTCTGCACTTTCAAAACAAATGATTCAACCTCTGGCCAATCAGCAGCCCCTTTATCTAGCTTTGGCTCCTCTTCTGTTGATTGGTTGAAGCCAATTGGTTAAGACACACAATGCCCTCCTGCAGATGCCAATGGGAAATCAAACAGATGGAATGATCCATTGTTCGCTCTTAAGCCAGGGAACTCCATCATTGGCCTCCAAGTCTCTCCCTTACCGTGTACAAAAGCTCACATAATAAAACCCCAGGTTGTCTCAGGTGGACCTGAAATGATACTATTTCTCCCTTCTGTGTCCATAACCCCCATCCCACCTTTGTGTGAATGCCCACCTCCATTCTTCATGGACTACTCCCATGTCAGGAGATGTGCCATCAGCCAGTCACTCATTTCCAGCCACGCCTCCCCAAAAGACACTCTCCTGCAGTCATGCTGCTCCCCTAAAGCTCTCCATGCTTTGCATATGTGTGCCCTTTGCCTTAAAAATGCCTTCCCTTCCCCACTCCATGGTCTGCCAGGAAGGGTTTTTACTCACCTTTAAAAGCCCAATTCAAATGCTCTCCTCTGCAGTTTGCCTAACCTGTCTTCTCAGTCCCATTCCCAAACCTTCTCCACCCCAATAGAATTTAGTTGTTTCCACCTGTGCACCCTCACAATCTTTGTAATGCTCAGGTATAACATTTACCAGGATGAATTAATCTGTCATACTAGAAAAGGATTTTGTAATTTTGTCTTTTTATAACCAACTCCTAGTATAGGGACAGGGCCTTAGCAGGTACAAACTGAATGCTTGTTTGAGTGAATCCAATCCTCTGTCCTCAAATCTATACCTGTCAATTTTTGAAAGACCTTCCCAAAATAATCAAGATGAATTTTCTGTCACCACCTAGAAGCTTATTAGTATTCACCAGCTGTAAGAAAACTTTAACAAGGAAAGATCAATTTGCTTGCCCATTTATGCAGATATGAACAAAAAATGAATAAACACTTACCATAAATCTGAAATAACACAAGAGATGTCTTGGCTCTGGAAGGAATAACTACATTTTACAAGAAAGGGAGCACATTTGGCAGATAAGAGAATGAAAGGATTTGGGGGGTGGAATTTTTTGCTGCTTTATTTCCTGAGATGGGGGGAGCCTGGGGGCTGATGAGAGCAAGAGGACATGCTTTACCTTTTCTGGAGCAGGCAGCTGTAAGTGATTAACCTCCAAGGGAGTGATGAGAGGGACGGTCTGGAAGCCATCCTCAACTGAAGGCGGCTTGGTTCCCTTCTCGCTGGGGTTACTGTTCAGCTTCACCATCCTTACGCCTTTCTTCCCAGACCTAAGGCAAGCAGTGGGATTCTGGTTACAGCAGGAGGTGAGGCAGAAAGAGAGGGCTGACGACAGAGAAAATAGCACTGTCCTCAACAGCTCCACTCAAGTGGCTTTCAATCTAGTGATCAGTCATTGATCTTCCACTAGATTTCCAGACATGATTCCCATTGTCCAACAAAACTTCTTTAATCATCAAAATATGCCACCTTCCCATGGGGTTCAACAGCACTCAAATTTAAGGAATTCAAGGAAAATCCTAAACCTATACACACAAAAAATATAAGTGTAAAACAAATACCCAAGACACTAGAGCTAAAGTGCTCACACAATGCCAGTAAAAAGATTATACTTAGTGCAAAATGAAGTCCTATTATACCACCCCCCCCGCCTGCAGTATGATAAATTTCACCTCACCACTCTGGTTGCTATTCTATTATGTTGGTTTTCCATCAGCAATACCCTAAAACACAATAAATACATTCAACGTCTCAATGTGTACCCTGTTACATCATATGTGGATTGTACATGAGGTGCAATTTCCTAAAATAAAAACAAACAAAAAAAAGGCTAGCTTGAACCTGATCCTGTTATTCAGCCATGGAATGCCTCCATTTCCTCAATAGCGAAGGGCCATTTTTTTTTTTTTTTGGTTCCATGGAAAGTTAGCAGCCCCCATATTGCAGGATTGCCAACTAAATAAACAAATCACATTTATTCATCTCCAGATCCCTTAGAAGTCAAATGGTGCTCCCCTCCCACCCCCAGAAGCTCAACACAACTGAATTTCTTCTCTCAATCCTGCTGATGGAACGTTTAGACAAAACAGGGTTGTTGTGGGGGTGAAAGGGGTTGGAGGATATTGGGGAGTGGTTATAGCAAAAACAAATGCCTACTTACTGTGCTGCACTCGTGGGGGGTCAGAGCAGATTCAAGCCAATTTGAAGAGGAGGAGGACGGCCAGGAGTCCTCCCTCCTCAGCCCGAGCTTGTGGTGCTGAAAGGACAGCGCCTCGCGTGTGTCTGGATCGGAGCTTCTGAGAGCAGGCGTGAGCGAGCAGGGAAGAGCTCCTGGCAGCTGCCTGCCTGCTTGCTCGCTCGCGCCCCCTCCTACCGGGGAACGCGCTCCCACACCATCTGTCATCTGGCACCACCTGCTGTTTCTTATGCATGGCCACAACCACTGCACGGGACAAAATGGTTTCAAGAAAGTGGGAAGGATTTTGGCCACACCAAAAAAATAATTAATATGCACCATATAACAAGTAATCCTTGAGCCTTTGGAAAAACTGGAAAAGCAGGCACATTCATTAGGAGAGGGCATTGCCTCCTAAGACCTTCCAGAACAATATCATAAAACACAGAATGGTTCAAGACCTCTACTGTGCTCTGACCCTGTGGTCAGGACAGAAGGGAAATATATTTATTGTGTATCTTTCATGCAGTGGGCACTTTTCCAGCCTCTTTCAGACTATCTCCCTCATTTGCAAAATGGTGTTTCTAATAGTACACACATGATGGGGTTAGTACAAAGCATGAAATGGGATAGCATAGGGAATGCATGTAGTACAGAGCAGGGACTATGGCAAGCACTGTATTCACATGAGCTACTACACTCAACATTGCACTGTGATCATACAGGGCAGCCACGGTAACCAGAGCTGGAATTTGAACCCTGATCGGTGGCCACCAAAATTTGTATCCAGCCCAGGACATTGCATGGCTTCCAAGTTGGTGCCTGGAATCAGACAGGGCAAAGTCCTAGTGTCTGCTCTACCAAATTCTGGCTGTATGGATTTTGGACATTTTGCATTTATTCTTTAAACCTCCATTTCCTTTTCTCTGGCGTAAGAATAATAATATCTCTCTTGCAGAGCGATTGTAAATATGAGAAGAGATTGTGCTCAAGGAAACCCCTTATTGCTCAGGAGAGCGATTGTAAATATGAGAAGAGATTGTGCTCAAGGAAACCCCTTACTGCTCAGGGACAAGGTTCTGAATGGCTGCATTATTTCATCCCCGGGGATTGCTCACAGATTCTCTTCAAATCCTCTGAGGTCAAGGCTGTTGCCACTGTCTTCACCAAGCTGTGGTTCAAGTCACTGATGGTTGTTCATTCCCAGCTGCAGTGCTGCTTATGATGCACTTCATGAGGCCCAGCTGTCTTGGCATTTGTCATAGGGTCCCCTTTTGCTTTCAAAAGTATTCTAGTTTATGTGATAAATTGTTAGGTCACCCTAGTTAGTGCTCATGTGCTGAGCATACACTCTGCTAGCTAAAAGGTCAGGAGAAAACGTAAGTATTATATATATTGTTCAGTAATGAAACGTGTGGGGGGGGGGGACACGTGTGTGGAGAGACAGAGAGAGAGACATTTTCTGAGACAACAAAAGCTAGCACATCTGAGCTGCACAGGGCTATATTAATAGAAGTAGGCAGATACATAATATGGGAGTGTCCCAGTAAATGTTAGTCCTCCATTCTCTTCTTTCCAAAGACCTAGATGAGTTTTCAGGTGCAATCATTGTGACAACACAATGTGGATAACCACGTGGAGTCAATTGTGAACCCTTGTGTTTAATCTTTTTCCTCCAGAGGAAAAAGAAATTCCTTTTGACATGTCTTGTGATTGATTCACACATAGAAATCACACTTTTAATAATTTCAAGCCAAGCTTCTGCACAGCAAAGGAAATAATTAACAGACTAAAGAGACAACCTACAAAATGGAAGAAAATATCTGCAAACTATGCATCTGACCAGGGGTTAATACCCAGAATATATAAGAAACTCAAACAACAGCCAAAAAACAAAAATCTGATTTAAAAATTGGCAGCCGGGAGCAGTGGCTCATGCCTGTAATCCCAGCACTTTGGGAGGCCAAGGCAGGTGGATCACAAGGTCAGGAGTTCGAGACCAGCCTGACCAACATGGTGAAATCCCGTCTCTACTAAAAATACAAAAATTAGCCAGGCATGGTGGCGCATGCCTGTAATCCTAACTACTTGGGAGGCTGAGGCAGGAGAATCACTTGAACCTGTGAGGCACAGGTTGCAGTGAGCTGAGATCATGCCACTGCACTCCAGCCTGGGCGACAGAGCGAGACTCTGTCTCAAAAAAAAAAAAAAAATGGCAAAATACCTGAATAGACATTTCTCTAAAGAAGACATACAAATTGCTAACATGTGTATGAAAAAGGGCTCAATGTCTCTAATCATCAGGGAAATGCAAATCAAAACTACAATGAGATATCACCTCACCCTAGTTACAATGGCTATCATTAAAAGACAAAAATAACAAATGCCATCATGAACGTGGAGAAAGGGGAACTATTATACACTGTTAGTGCGAATGTAAATTAGTACAGCCATCATGAAGAACAGTATGGAGGATCCTCCAAATTTAAAAATAGAACTACCATATGATACAGCAATTCCACTACTGGATGTTCATCTAAAGGAAGGGAAATCAGTATGTCAAAGAGATATTTGTACTTTTCATGTTTACGACAGCACTGTTCACAATAGCCAATATATGGACTCAACCCAAGTGTGCAATCGACAAATAAATGGATAAAGAAAAGGTGATATATAGATACACAATGGAATACTATTCAGCCACAAAAAATAACTTCTGTCATTTGTGGCTACATGGATGAACCTGGACATTCTGTAAAATGAAATAAGCCAGGCACGGAAGGATAAATACTGCACAATCTCACTAATGTGAAATCTTAAAACAAAAAACAAAAAGTTAATCTCATAGTAGTAGAGAGTAGAATAGTGCTTAGCAGTGGCTGGAGATAGTAGGGAGTGGGGAAGAAGGGGAAGAGATTGGTCCAGGGGTACAAAGTTACTGTTAGACAGGAAGAATAAATACTGCCGTTACCTTATTCCTTCTATATAATCAAAATTTTGTATCCTTTGACCAATGTCTTCCCCCTACCCCCAGTCTCTGGTAACCACCATCTCTTCTCTACTTCTAAGTTCAACTTTTTTAGTTCCCACCTGTAAGTGAGACTACATGATATTTGTCTTTCTGTGCCTGGCTCATTTCTTTTATTATTATTATTATTATTATACTTTAAGTTCTAGGGTACATGTGCACAACGTGCAGGTTTGTTACATATGTATACATGTGCCATGTTGGTGTGCTGCACCCATTAACTTGTCATTTACATTAGGTATATCTCCTAATGCTATCCCTCCCCCCTCCCCCCACCCCACGACAGGCCCTGGTGTGTGATGTTCCCCGTCCTGTGTCCAAGTGTTCTCATTGTTCAATTCCCACCTATGAGTGAGAACATGCAGTGTTTGGTTTTTTGTCCTTGCGATAGTTTGCTGAGAATGATGATTTCCATCTTCATCCATGTCCCTACGAAAGACATATTATCTTTAAAAATTAGCAAGGAAAAAAAGTGAGAGTAAACAAATACAAGTTGTCACACTTATTGTTGTTATCTGTGACACTGACTTTTAAAAAGGAGGAGAAAATATTGTCCATAATATTGGCTACTGTATAATGTGGACCCATTGCTTAAGGGACCTATATATTCATTTTTTATGTATTCGTTAGTTCTGTAATAAACATACAGTACCCGCTATATGGCAGATAACCAGGGATATGCATTATGAACAAGATGGGAACATAATAATTCTGGAAGGAAAATATTACTAACCCCATTTTATAGAAGAGACAACTGAGACTCAAAGGGGTTAAATAACTTATATAACATTATATGTGTGAATCCTTTCCATCAATAAAACTTCTTTGGTTAATGAGAACCCAATAAAGTGAGGACTGTGCCTGTTTTGTTCACCGTGTATATCCAGCATGTCACCTATTGCCAAGTAAAGAGAAGGTGTTCAATAAATATTTTTAAATAAAAAAAAAAATCTGCTTTTACACTGCACAGTAGGGTAACTATGGTTAACAATATTGTATTGTATATTTTAAAAGAGCTAAAAGAATTTTGAATGTTCTCATACAAAGAGATGATAAATAAATGAGATGAACATGCAAAATACCCTGATTTTGTCACTGTAGAATGTATACATGTATCAGCCAGGCACGGTGGCTCACACCTGTAATCCCAGCACTTTAGGAGGCTGAAGCAGGGGGATCACCTGAGGTCAGGAATTCAAGACCAGCCCAGTCAACATGGTGAAACCCTGTCTCTACTAAAAATACAAAAATTAGCCAGGCTTAGTGGCAGGTGCCTATAATCCCAGCTACTCGGAAGGCTGAGGCAGGAGACTCACTTGGACCTGGGAAGTGGAGATTGCAGGGAGTAGAGATCATGCCACTGAACTCTAGCCTGGGTAACAGAGCAAGGCTCTGTCTCAAAAAAAAAAAAAAAAAAAAAAGAATGTATACATGTATCAAAACATCACACCATCCTCCATACATATGTACAATTATTATGTGTTAATTAAAAGCAAAATTTCAAAAAATAATTTCAAGCCAGTTGTATTGAGTTTAGTAAGGTCCAAGCCTATCTCAAGGCAGTGGGAAATTCAGGTCTCCTGATATGTGAGGCCAGGAGAGAAGCTGCAGGAAGAAACAGAAGGCTGAAGTGATATGGGAAATTTTCTCCTGGTTGGCGAGGTCCTATTTTTTCTTCTTCCAGCTATTTTGAAATATACAATAGATTTTTATAAATCATAGTTACTCTACTGTGAGGGGTTCTTAATACAATAGACCATTATAGTATAATAGACTATTTTTCTGCTATGTAATGATCTTTTTTTTAAGAGACAAGGTCTCGTTCTGTCACCCCCACTGGAGTGCAATGGCACAATCCTATTATAGATCACTGCAGCTTCAAACTTCTGGCCTCAAGTGATCCTTCTGCCTTGGCCTCCCAAAGCACTGGGATTATAGGCATGAGCCACCTATGCCTGGCCTGGATTTCTTTAAAATATGTTTGTAGTTGAAAACAAAAATTATAACATCTTCTGATGAGGTATTCAATGTATGTAGAGTAATATATAAGACAACTGCAATACAAAGAATTGAGGCTAAAGGGACCAATATGGTGGGAATGTTTCTATATTCTACTTGAAGTGGCAAAAGTAGGCAAAGCTAAATTTTTCTATTGTTATCTCTAGGGCAAACAAAAATATACAAAGAGATATAGTCAAAATGCAATAGATCAAGTGGGATACAAAAAAAGTTCCAAAAGAAGGCAGAAACGGAAAAGGAGAGGAACAAAAAAAATTAGGGGGCAGAAGAAAACAAATGATGAAACAGTAGACTTCAAACATACCAGTAATTACATTAAATGTTTAAGTGGGCTAAACAAGCTAATTAAAAAGTTTGTCAAAATGGAGAAAAAACACAAACCAAATATATGCTGTCAACAAGAAATTCACTTCAAATATAAAAATATAAGTAGATTCAAAGTAAAAGTATGGACTCTGGGCTTTCAGCTCAGAGGAAAACAAAGTGCAACCTTCTTCTGCCATGCAGCATCTGATTTCATATAACACCAGCCGCCTCTTCCATGCCATCCAGGTTCAAGCACACCAAAATCAAAGTTGTATACCTGAGGGACGCTGGTGGGGAAATCAGTGTCATGCCTGCCCTGACCCCTGAGATCAACTCCATGGACCTGTCTCCAAATAAATGTTGGTAATGACATTGCCAAGAAAGCTAGTGACTGGAAGACCCTAAGGATTACAGTGAAATGAACCATTCAGAACATGCAGGCCCAGATTGAGGATTCTGCCTCTGCACTATCATCAAAGTTCTCCAAGAATCGCTCTGTGACAGAAAACAGCAAAAAAAACAGTAAGCAGAGTGGAAATATCATTTTTGTTGCAATTGTCAGCATTTCCCAATGCAGCACTGATATTTAGCTAGAGAACTCTCTGGAACCCTTAAAGAGCTCCTGGAGACTGCCCACCAACTGGTGGACTGCACTATTGATGGCTACCACACTCCGCATCATAGATGACATCAACAATGGCATAGTGGAATGTCCAGCTAGTTAACAACTACAAAGGAAAATATTTAAATGAATGATCATTTGACAACAACAACAAACAAAAAAACAGTAAAAGGATGAAACAAGATACACCAATGTAACACTGACCAAAAGAAAGCTGGAGTAGCTATATTAATATCAAACAAACAATCCAGAGCAAAGAAGAGAGAGATAAAGAGGGACATTACACATGATAAAAGGTCAATTCACTAAGAACACAAAACAGTCCTAAATGCGTATGAACCTAATAACAAAGCTTCAAAACGCATGGACCAAAACCTGACAGAACTAAAAAGAGAAACAGACAAAACCACAATTATAGTTGGAAACTTCAATACTTCTCTCTCTTTAATTGACTGTTAGGGCAAACAGAAAATTCAGGAATATTAACATTTTAGACTGGATAATTATGGTGAGAGTTGTGGGGTAAGGCTCTTCTGTGTATTGTAGGATGCTTAGCAGCATCTCTGGTTTCTACCTACCAGGTGCCAGCAGCATCCCCTCCTAAGCTGTGATTATCAAAAATGTCTCCAGATACTGACAAATGTCCCCTGGGGGAAGTGGGGGAAAATCATTCTCAGTCGAGAACCACTGCTATAGGAGAACAGAACATCATCAATTAACTGGATCTAACTGACATTTATAGAATAATTCACCCAAAACAGAAGAATAAACATTTATTTTTAGTGCACATTAAACACATACCAAGATAGACCATATCCTGAGTTATAAAACAAACCTGAAAAAAATTTAAAATTGAGATAATACAAAAAAACTGTTCTCTGACTATAATGGAATTAGACCAAAAATCAATGACAGAATAGTAACAGGAAAGTCTCCAAACAGAAGTTAAACAACATTGTTCGAAACAATTCATATATCAAAAAGAAAGTCTCAAGAAAAATAAGAAAATATTTTGAACGGAACAAAAATGAAAATATAAGATATCAAAATTTGGGGAGTGCAGCTTTAGTAGTAATGAGAGATAAATTTGCAGTGTTAAATGTGTGTATTATAAAAGAGGAAAGATTTCAAATAAATAATCTAACCTTTCACACAGATAAGAAGAGCAAAATAAACCCAAAGCAAACAGAAGGAAAGAGATAATAAACAGCAGAAATCAATATAATTGAAAACAGAAAAACAATGGAGCAAATCAACAAAGGCAAAAGTTGGTTCTTTAAAAAGATTAGTAAATTTGGCTGGGCAGAGTGGCTCATGTCTATAATCCCAGAACCTTGGAAGGCCAAGGCAGGAGGATCACTTGAGCCCAGGAGTTCTAGATGAGCCTGGGCACCATAGTGAGACCCCATCTCTACAAAAAATTTAAAAATTAGTTAGGCATGGCGGCACATACTTGTAGTCCCAGCTACTCAGGAGGCTGAAGCGGGAGAATCACTCAAGCCAGAGAAGTCGAGGCTGCAGTGAGCTATGATAGAGCTACTGCACTCCAGCCTAGGTGACAGAGCAAAACTCTTGTTTCAAAAGAATTAAAATTTAAATTTAAAAATTAGTAATTTTGATACACCTCTAGAAAGACTGACAAAGAGAAAAGACAGAACACACAAATTACTAATCTCGTGAATGAAAGGCGCTAACACTACAGAGCATGAAGGCATTAAAAGGATAATAAGAGACTACTACAAACAATGCTATGTACATAAATTTGATAAAGTAGATTAAATCGGTCAATTTCTCAAAAACCATAAACTAGCAAAACTTACTGAAGATGAAATGATAATCTGAATGATAATCTTAACTATTAAGGGAATTGAATTTGTAGTAATTTTCCCCCAAAAAGGAATCTTCAAACCAGACAGTTTCACTGTGGGAACACACATTTAAAAAAAAAGTTCTATACAATCTCTTCTAGAAAACAGAAGAAGAGATAAACAGTTCCCAATTTATTCTATGAGGACAGCATTACTCTCATACCAAAACCAAAGACAGTACAAGACAAGAAAAATACAGGCCAATATGCCTCATGAATGTAGGTGCAAAATTTTTCAACAAAATATTAGAAAATCAAATCCAGCAACACACAAAAAGAATAATACACCATGGGCTTTATCCTAGGAGTAAAATTGATGAAGAGAAAAACATTTAATAAAATTTATGTCCATTCACAATTCTCAGCAAACTTGGAACAAAATGAAACTAAGCTTGATAAAGGACATCTTAAAAATAAGATAAAACTTGGCCAAGCATAATGGCTCATGCCTGTAATCACAGCACTTTGGGAGGCAGAGGTGGGAGGATTGCTTGAGGCCAGGAGTTTGAAACCAGCCTAAGCAACATAGTGAGATCCCCATCTCTGCAAAAAATTTTAAAATTAGCATTATGTTTTACTTAATGGTAAAAGACAAAATGCCTTCCTCCTAATATCTGAAACAAAGCAACACTCTCACCACTCTTACTTAGAAGTGTACTAGCCAGTGCAATGAAGCAAGAAAAATTAATAAGAGGCATACGGATTGGAGAGGAAGAAATAAAACTATCCTTATTTGTAGAGAACATAATTGCTTGCATTAAAAAAAACAAGAGATCTATTTTTTAAATACCTTGAACCAATTTAGCATGTGGGTTAACATTCATGAATATATGAATGTGCACAAATTAATCAATCATATTTCTATGTATCAGAAATGAATAATTAGAAATCAAAATGTTTTTTACAATACCATTTACAATAGTTCCCCAAAATAAAAAACCTTGGTATAAATCTAGCAAAATACATACAGGATCTGTATAGTGAAAATTACAAAATGCTTATGAAGTATCTTAAAGGCCTAAGTAATTGAAGAATACCAAGTTCACTAATTGGACATTCAACATAGTAATGATGTCGAATCCATAAACATTGATCTATGAGTTAATTTTCAATTCTAACCTCTGGCAGAAATTTTTGTAGGTAAGGTTATTCCAAAATACATATAGAAAGGCAAAATAACTATAATAACCAAAACAATTATTTTTAAAAAGTAAATAAAATTGAAAGAATCACACTATCCAATTTTAAGACTTACTATAAAGCTATAGTATTTTATACAGAACTGTAAAGGCAATGGGCTAGACATATAGATTAATAGGAGAGATGAGAGAGCACAAAAATAGACCCACACAAATATGGCCAATGGATTTTTGGCAATAGCGCAAATGCAATTCAATGGAGAAAAGATGGTCTTTTTAAAATGATGCTGAATAATGAGCTTTGACCTAAACCTCATATCTTATATAAATATAGGCTACACATCTAAAAGTGAAATATGAAACTGTAAAATGTTTAGAATAAATCATAGGAAAAAATACTTCACGTCCTAGTGTTAGGCAAATAGTTCATACACTTGACACCAAGTGCAAAATCTATAAAAGATAAGATTGATAAATTGGGGTTCATCAAACTTTAAGATTTTTGTTTTGCCAAAGACACTGTTAAGAAAAAATAAAAAGACAAGCTATAGACTTGGAGAAAATATTTGCAAATGTACCTGACAACAGACTTGTATTCAGAATACATAAAGAACTCTCATAATTTGACAATAAAAAAAACAAACAAACAAAAAGTGGGCAAAAATATTGACTGGATACATCATCAAAGAGTATGAATAGATAGCAAATAAGCACATTAAAGGATGTTCAAAATCATTAGCATTACGGTCCTGGAGATCACATAATTAATTTAATCAGCCTTTGTGTGAATGAATCTATTAGATTCCTTCCCAAGAGCTCATTTTCACAGGGAAGGAAATGGAGCATGATTAAATGGAAGAAACAAATTAAAAAAAAAAAAAAAGGAAGGGTAGGCAGGGCCAAGATGGCTGACTAGCAGTGGTTGGAGGCTCACACTGAGGAGAACCAAAACAGCTGAGAATCCTGCACTGGCAAGCAAGGTATCCATATTCTAGCATCAGGACTGACTAGGTGGTTGGCATGACCCACAGATAAAAATGAAAAGCAAAGTGGTGTGTTGGCC
The DNA here is from genome assembly GCF_000001405.40 of Homo sapiens. Lineage (NCBI taxonomy): Eukaryota > Metazoa > Chordata > Mammalia > Primates > Hominidae > Homo > Homo sapiens. Next base: position 174,035,784 of record NC_000005.10, on the reverse strand, counting down.
CACCTGAGAGCTACACAGGGCAAGGGGAATCCTCACCCCCAGCCAAGGAAGGAGGTGAGTGAGCATGCTACCCAGCCTGGGAAACTGTGCTTTTTCCACAGATCTGTGCAACCCCAAATCAGAAGATCCCACTTGAGAGCCCATGCCACCAGGGCCTTGGGTCCTAACCACAGAGCCACACAGATTCTCAACAGCCACTCAGCTGGAATCTACCTAAGTCTACCAAGTTCCCGGGGCGAGGGTCGGCAGCCATTACTGCAGCTGCTAGCTGCCTAAGACACTGAACTCCCAGGGCTGGAGAGAAGGGCGGCAGCCATCACTATAGCTCCAGTGATTTTTCCCTACTGGAGCTGAGGAGACTGGATTGCTTGGTCCCAAGAAGTATTTCCCACAGCGCAGCACACTGACTGTTGCAGACCATGGCCAGACTGCCTCCTTAGGCTGGACACTGACACATTCCTCCTCACTGGGCAGGGCCTCCCTGCAGGAACTCCAGCAACTCTAGCCAGGGTTTTAGGGACAGAGATCTGATCTCCCTGGGCCTGAGCCTCTAGAAGGAGGGTTGGCCATGGTCTCCATGGACCAGTAGACTTAATCTTTCTTCCTGCTAGTTCTGAGGAATCCAGGCAGCTCAGATGAGTGGGTTTCTCCCCTAATGCAGCACTATCCCTCCACCAAGGGACAGCCAAAGTGCTTTGTTAAATGGGTCCTGGTTCCCATGCCCCCCAACTGGGTGAGACCCCATAACAGGGGTTGCCAGACACCCTATACAGGAGCATTCCTACTGGTATCAGGTTGGTGCCTCTCAAGGTCAGAGATCCCAGAGAAAACGCCAGCACCCATCTTTGCTGTTCTCCAGCTGCCTCGGGTGACATCTCCAGGTATGGAAGATACCCAGATGAATAGGGCCTGAAGTGAACCCCCGGAAAACTGCAGCAGCCCTACAGAAAAGGGACCTGACTACTGAAAGAAAAACAAACAAACAGAAAGCAACAAGAACAGCATCAACAAAAATCATCCCCACAAAAATCTCATCCAAAGGTCAGCAGCCTCAAAGATCGAAACTAGGCAAACTCATGAAGGTGAGAAAGAATCTACATAAAAACACTGAAAATTAAAAGGCCAGATCATTCTCCTCCAAATGATTGCAACGTCTCCCCAGCAAGGGCTCAGAACTGGATGGAGGATGAGATGGATGAATTGACAGAAGTAGGCTTCAGACAGTGGGTAATAACAAACTTCGCTGAGGTAAAGGAACATGTTTTAACCCAATGCAAAGAAGGCAAAACCCATGATAAAAGGTTACAGGAGCTGCTAACTAGAATAGCCAGTTCAGAGAGAAACATAAATGACCTGATGGAGCTGAAAAACACAGCACGAGAACTTTGTGATGCAAACACAAGTATGAAAAGCTGAATCAATCAAGTGGAAGAAAGAATGTCAGATATTGAAGACTATTTTGCTGAATTAAGGCAGGCAGACAAGATTAGAGAAAAAAGAATGAAGAGGAATGAACAAAACCTCCGACAACTATGGGACTATGTAAAAAGACCAAACCTATGACTGATAGGAGTACCTGAAAGAGACGGGAGAATGGAACCAAGTTAGAAAACACACTTCATGATATCATCCAGGAAAACTTCCCCAACCTAGCAAGACAGGCCAACATTCAAATTCAGGAAATACAGAGAACCCCAGTAGGATACTCCATGAGAAGATCAACCCCAAGATACATAATTATCAGATTCTCCAAGGTTGAAATGCAGGAAAAAATGTTAAGGGCAGCAAGAGAGAAAGGCCAGATCACCTACGAAGGGAAGCCCGTCAGACTAACAACAGCAGACCTCTCAGAAGAAACCCTACAAGCCAGAAGAGAGTGAGGGCCGATATTCAACATTCTTAAAGAAAAAAATTTTCAACCCAAATTTCATATCCAGCCAAACTAAGCTTCCTAAACAAAGGAGAAATAAAATACTTGTTAGACAAGCAAATGCTGAGTGAATTTGTCACCACTAGGCCTGCCTTGCAAGAGCTCCTGAAGGAAGCACTAAATATGGAAAGGAAAAACTGGTACCTGCCACTGCAAAAACACACTGAAATACAAAGACCAATGGCACAGTGAAGAAACTGCATCAACTAGTGTGCAAAATAACTACTAGTATCCTGATGACAGGATCAAATTCACACATAACAATATTAACCTTAAATGTAAATGGGCTAAATGCCCCAATTGAAAGACACAGACTGGCAAACTGAATAAAGAGTCAAGACCCATTGGTGTGCTGTATTCAAGAGGCCCATCTCATATGCAAAGACATACATAGGCTCAAAATAAAGGGATGGAGAGAAATTTACCAAGCTAATGAAAAGCAGGAAAATGCAGAAGTTGCAATCCTAGTTTCCGACAAAACAGACTTTAAACCAACAAAGATCAAAAAAGACAAAGAAGGGCATTACATAATGATAAAGGGATCAATTCAACAAGAAGGGCTAACTATCCTAAATACATATGCACCCAATGCCGAAGAACCCAGATTCATAAAACAAGTTCTTAGAAACCTACAAAGAGACTTAGACTCCCACACAGTAATAGCGGGAGACTTTAACACCCCACTGTCACTATTAGATCATCGAGACAAAAAATTGACAAGGATATTCAGGACTTGAACTCAGCTCTTGATCAAGTAAACCTAATAGATATCTACAGAACTCTCCACTCCAAAACAACAGAATATACATTCTTCTCAGTGCCACATGGCACTTACTCTGTAATTAATCACATAATTGGAAGTAAAACACTCCTCAGCAAATGTAAAAGAACTGAAATCATAACAAGCAGTCACTCAGACCACAGTGCAATCAAATTAGAACTCAAGATTAAGAAACTCACTCAAAACCACACAACTACATGGATATTGAAAAACCTGCTCCTGAATGACTCCTGGGTAAATAATGAAATTAAAGCAGAAATCAAGAAGTTCTTTGAAATCAATGAGAACAAAGAGACAACATACCAAAATCTCTGGGATGCAGCTAAAGCAGTGTTAAGAGGGAAATTTATAGCACTAAATGCCCACATCAGAAAGTTACGAAGATCTCAAATTGACATCCTAACAGCACAACTCAAAGAACTAGAGAAGCAAGAACAAACAAATCCAAAAGCTAGCAGAAGACAAGAAATAACTACGATCCGAGCGGAACTGAGATACAGACACAAAAAATCCTTCCAAAAAAATCAGTGAATCTAGGAGCTTGTTTTTTGAAAAAAATAAAATAAAATAGATAGACCGCTAGCTAGACTAATAAGAAAAGAAAGAATCAAATAGACACAATAAAAAATGATAAAGGGGATATCACTACTGACCCCACAGATATACAAAAAACCATCAGAGAATACTATAGCATACCTCTATGCAAATAAACTAGAACATCTAGAAGGAATGGATAAATTCCTGGACACATACACCCTCCCAAGACTAAACCAGGAAGAAGTTGAATCCTTGAATAGACCAATAACAAGTTCTGAAATTGAGGCAGTAATAAATAGCCTACCAACCAAAAAAAGCCCAGGACCAGACAGATTCACAGCCAAATTCTACCAGAGGTACAAAAAGGATCTGGTACCATTCCTTCTGAAACTATTCCAAAAAATTGAAAAGGAGAGACTTCTCCCTAACTCATTTTATGAGGCCAGAATCATCCTGATACCAAAATCTGGCAGAGATACAACAAAAAAAGGAAACTTCAGGCCAATATCTCTGATGACCATCAGTGAGAAATCCTCGATAAAATACTAGCAAACTGAATCCAGCAGCACATCAAAAAGCTTACCCACCATGGCTTCCTCCCTGGGATGCAAGGCTGGTTCAACACACACAAATCAAGAATGTAATTCATCACATAAACAGAACTAATGACCAAAAAACACATGATTATCTCAATATATACAGAAAAGGCCTTCAATAAAATTCAACATTCTTTCATGTTAAAAACTCTTGGTAAACTAGGTATTGGTGGAACATATATCAAAATAATAAGAGGCATGTATGACAAACCCATAGCCAATATCATACTGAATGGGCAAAGGCTGGAAGCATTCCTATTGAAAACCAGCACAAGAAAAGGATACCCTCTCTCACCACTCCTATTCAACATAGTATTGGAAGTTCTGGCCAGGGTAATCAGGCCAGTGAAAGAAAAAAAAAGGGGGGGTTATTCAAATAGGAAGAGAGGAAGTCAAATTGTCTCTGTTTGCAGAAGACATGATCCTATATCTAGAGAACCTGATCGTCTCAGCCCAAAAGCTCCTTAAGCTGATAAGCAACTTCAGCAAAGTCTCAGGATACAAAAATCAATGTGCAAAAATCACAAGCATTCCTATACACCAACAACAGACAAGCAGAGAGTGAAATCATGAAAAAACGTCCATTCACAATTGCTACAAAGAAAATACAATACCTAGAATACAGCTAACAAGGGATGTGAAAGACCTCTTTAAGGAGAACTACAAACCACTGCTAAAGAAACTAAGAGAAGACACAAACAAATGGAAAAACATTGCATCCTCTTGGCTAGGAAGAATCATTATCATGAAAATGGTCATACTGTCCAAAGTAATTTATAGATTCAATGCTATTCCCATCAAACTACCATTGACATTCTTCACAGAATTAGAAAAAACTACTTTAAAATTCATGTGGAACCAAAAAAGAACCCATATAGCCAAGACAATCCTAGTGCCCACAAAGATTCTTTTCTCTGAAGCATAATGTTTAATTTCCAAACATTTCAGGATTCTTCTAGATATGCCTCTTGTTGTTAATCAATAACTTATTGAACTGTGATCAGAGAATGTATTTATATTTAAGGTATAATTCCTTTGAAATTTTTTAAGACTGACTTTATGGTTCAGCATATGATCAATTTTGCTAAATGTTTCATGTGGACTTTAAAAGAATATACATTCTTTTATTTGGGGATGGAGAGGTGAATAAAGGCGAATGTGGTCAGATTTGTTTATCATACCGCTCAAATATTCTGCTCACTAATGGATTTTTTGTCTGTTTGTTCTGTCAGTAACTACAATAAATGTGTTAAAATCTCCCACTACAACTGTGAACTAATTTATCTTTTTATTTATGTTAGCTTTCGCTTTGTATACTTGAGGCTACATAATTAAGCAGGTACAAATTTAGAATTACTCCTGGTGGATAAACCCTTTTTAACATGATGAAATGTCCCTATATCTCTACAACTGCTTTTTGTCTTAAAGTCTATTTTATGTGGTATTAATATAGCTGTGTCAGCTTTCTTTTGGTTAATGTTTGTATGGTAAATAGTTTTTCATCCTTTAACTTCATCTTTTATCTCTCCGCATCCCTATGTGTGAGATCTTCTCCTTGCAAGCAGCATAAAATTGGACTTTATCCAGTCTGAAAATCTTTATCTTTTGATTGAATTATGTGGTCCATTTACATTATATAATAATTAATATATTTGGGTTTAATCTACCATCTTATTTTCTACTTGTTTCATCTGTATTTTTTTCTTTCTTCCTTTTTACCTTCTTTTGGATTATTTAAATATTTTTGTTACATTTTTACCACATTTGCTTTTACTTCTTTTTTATTACTTCAGCCATTACTCTAGAGATTATAATGCACATCTTTGGTTTATTATATTCTAATGTAAATTAATATTTTTACTTATCAGACAAGCAAGGCCTTGGAACAATTTAGCTATATTCACACTCTTCTTTGTGTTCTTATTGTCATAAATTTTAATTTTACATATATATAAAACCCACCACATCCTATTATTATAATAAAGTTTTAATAATATTAATGTAGATTTACCTAAATATTTATCCTTTGCATTAGTCTGTATTGCTCTGTACCTCACCAGGCTTCCATCTAGGATTATGTTATTCTGCCTAAAGAATAGCTCTTGGCCAGGCACGGTGGCTCACTCCTGTAATCCCAGCACTTTGGGAGGCTGAGGTAGGCGGACCACTTGAGACCGGGAGTTCAAGACCAGCCTGGCCAACATGGCAAAAGCCCATCTCTACAAAAAATACAAAAATTAGCCGGGTGTGGTGATGCACACCTGTAATCCCAGCTACTCAGGAGGCTGAGGCAGGAGAATCTCTTGAATCCTAGAGGTGGAGGTTGCAGTGAGCCAAGATTGCACCACTTCACTCCAACCTGGGTGACAGAGCAAGACTGTCTCAAAAAACAAACAAAAAGAATAGCTCTGAGTATTTATTTTATTGTGGCTTCATTCACAACAAACTCTCACTTTTTGTCTGGCATTGTCCTTCATTTTTAAACAATATTTTTGTTGGATATAAAATCCTATGTTGACAGTTTTCTTTTTCAGCATTTTAAAGATGCCATTTCAGTTTTTATTTCTCTTAAAAAATAAGTATCCATCTTATTGATACTCCTTTGAAGATAATGTTTGTTTGTTTGTTTTTACTCTGGGTCCCTTTATTGTTTTCTCTTGGCTTTCATTTTCAGCAGTTTTGTTATGTACCAAAGTGTGGTTTTACCTGAATTCATCTTGATTAGGGTTCACAGTACTTCTTGAATCAGTGGTTTAATGTCTTTTGTCAGGTTTGACAAATTATCTGTCTTTCTTTCTTCAGGAATTTATTGGCCTCATTTCCTTTCTCCTCTTTTTCTGGGATGCTAATTACAAATACATCAGGCCTTGTCCCAGTGTGTCTTACGGCACTTTCTGTATTGTCCATTTTTTCCCTCTCCATGTTTTAATCTACATATTTTCTATTTGACCTATTTTCCACTGTACTAATCTGCTTGTCTAATCTTTACAGTAAGTTTTTTCTGTGTACTTTGTCCAATTTGCTGTTAAATCACCTATTAAGTTGTAGATTTTTGTTTTTTTTTTTAAATATCTAGATATTCTTTACAGTTCTCTCTGTGGCGTTCAGGACTTTGATGAAATTTAGCATCTTGTCATCTATTTTCTTGATGATATTATTCACAAATATTTCAAAGTCCAGGTTTGATATTTCTTGTATCTGGATCACGTGTGGATCTGAGTCTATCGTTTTTTCTCTCCCTTATATTTTAGCAATTTGACTCTGACTTACCCATTAATTTTTTTTTACATTTTACATTGTGTACAAAAAAAAATTATACAGGCTCTAGATACTGTTAGCTTCCTACAAAGAAAAAATTACTTTTATTCTGGCAGGCAGGGGCATATTCGCCCTGTTCCAATGAGGGAATAAGTAGAGGTCCCAGGTTTGAGATTTTGTAAGGCCTGATCTATTTTTAGTTTGAACAGCCCCTCCGGGGTCTCAAATGAAAGTCTAAGGCATTTACCAGGACACGTCCCCCATGCCAGGCCCTGGCCTCCAGTTGCCTCTCTGTGGTGCTGTGAGGCTTCAAAGGTTCTGCTGAAGTTTCTTAGCCTCTTCACATCCACTTTCTATTTGGGTCATCAGTTGTGTACAGATTAAGAATCAGAAAACATCTTGAGGGGGAACATGTTAGAGAAGGTTGGGCTCCTTCTCAGCAGTTCCCTTTTCTCTGGGATCTTCTCCCTTCCCGTCCTGGATAACTTGGTAGCACTGAACCTCAGTGTTCATCTCCCCTATCCCATAAAACTGCTGAAAGCTCCGGATCACCACTTTCTGCTCAGTTTCTATCAGCAGTGTGAAGGGACAAAATAGTGGAGAATTTGATGCTTACTGCCAATCTCTCCAGAATCTTAGCTCCTGAGTCTATGCTGCATCCGTCCCTTTCCTTCAAACAGCTGCTTTGTTTCTTCTTTCTGTTTGTAATTAACATATTTTATTTTGGGGAACAGTTTTAAGTTTACAGAAACATTGAGTGGAAACTACAGAGTTTCCATACACCCTCTCTTCTGCCATCGCCACCCCCCTTTCCCTACAAACACACACAGTTTCCCCGATTACTAACATCTTGTATTAGTGTGGTACGTGTTTTACAATTGATGACACAATTTTGATACACTTTTCTTAACCGAAGTCCATAGTTTACATCAGGGCTCACTTTGGATCATGCATTCTATGAATTTTGGCAAATGCATGTAGGATGTATCCACCGTTACAGTATCATACAGAAGAGTTTCACTGCCCTAAAAATCCCGCATGTTCCACCTATTCCTCCCCCTCTCCTTCTGAACCCTAGGGAACTACTGATTATAATTTTGCCTTTTTCAAGAATGTCATCTAATTGGAATCATACAGTATGTTGCCTTTTAAGATCAGTTATTTTGTTTAGTAGTATGCATTTGTGGTTTCTCCAGGTCTTTTCATGACTTGATAACTCACTTATTTTTACCACTGAATACTGTCCCATCGTCTGGATGCACCACATTTTGTTTATCCGTTCATCTCTTGAAGACATCTTGGTTGCTTCCAAATTTGGGGAATTATGAATAAAGCTACTTTAAATATTTGTGCAGGTTTTTATTTGAAAATAATTTTTCAACTCATTTGGGTAAGTACCAGAGAGGACAACTGCTGAATTGTATGCTAAGAGTATGTTTAGTTTTGTAAGAGACTGCCAAACTGTATTCCAAAGTGTTCGTACCATTTTGTATTCCCACCAGCAATGAATGAGAGTTTCTGTTGCCCCACATTAGTATCAGTGTTTTAGGTTTTAGCCATTCTAATATGTGCATAGTGGTAGCTTATTGTTTCAAACACCTGTTTTTTTATTTTGACCAAGATGTTAGTTGTTTTCAGCAGAAGTATTGCTAAGATAAGCTTCTCCACCACACCAAAGAAGAACATGAGATTTGCTCTCTCCAGTCCTAAGTTCAAAACTTCTGAGGAAAGGCTCTGATCGGCCCAAGTAGAGTCCAGTGCTCACATCTGACAAGGGAAAGGAGACTTATAAGATGACAACCCCAATGCAAACCCCATGGTTGAATTGGGCAAAAGCATTTCTTGGAAGGAAGGAAGCATTTCTAAAAAGCAGAAAGGGGTGTTGAGAACTACAATCAACAGATATCTATCACAGCGCCATGCCGAGAAGTGCAAACTTTATAACCTTACCCTTAGCCTAATAATACATCCTTAAGGCTATGCATTGGCACTGACATGGATGAAACACAGAAATAATTAATCATTTGAACATTATCTGATATTGCCAGATGGCTTTCACTATAAATAACTTATAAAGACTATTTTAAATCCTCCATGTTTTTACTATAGTATCATACACATTGTTTTCACTTACGATTTTTAATTTGACATTGTTTCCATGAGTTTTTAAGCATCTTCCTTAATAATTGTGAGTATAGTATGGGAATTAAGGACACAGTCTCTGGAACCAGACTGTCGGCGTCAAATTCCAGCTCTGCCACTTGCTAGATTTATGATCTTGGGTCAGTTATTTATAACTTCTCTGGGCCTCAATTTCCCCACTGAAAAGTAAAGATACTACTAACACCATATTGGACCATTATAAGGATTAGATGAGTTCATACTCACCTAAAAAGTGCTTAAAACATGTATGTCCCAAACAAATATTTACTGTTATTATTCTATTATTACATAACCTTTTTAAAGAATCCAGTCTTGCGTTAATTGGTGGTACTGTTTTCATTTTCTAATATATTAATTTATACTTTTTTAAAATTATTTTATACTGTCTAATTACCTTAAGTTTGTCTTTTGAACTTCCTGGGACAAATATCTAATTTATTGAATTGCCTTCTTCCTATTTAATCATGAAAGAAGTTAATGCCATTACTTTATCTCTGCTGATTGTTGTTTTTCCATTATAATTTTTCACATTTAACTGAAGATTTACTTCTCTTTTCGACTCACAACTTGTTCAGTAAGATGGCTTTGGTTTGTTTTAATTTCCAAATGCTTGGTTTTCATTGTTGCTATGATGTGTATCTTTTGAGACTAGTTTCTGGTTTTATTATGTGTAGTCCAAAACTGTGGTCTTTTCTGCTTTGGGGAATGTATTACATTTTCACAATGGCCTAACATATGAACTATTTCTGTTAAAATTCTCTGGACATAAAGGAAGAAGCCATATTATTTATAAATACAGATTTATATGCATAACTACTACATCATGTCTGTTAGTTATGCCATTTAAATCTTCTCTGCCCTCATTTATTTTTTTACTTGCTTGATCTGTCAAGAAATGAGAGAGGGGTGTTTCTATCTTACATGATTGTTACGAAATTTCTCCTTGCATTAAAGCTATGATATGTCACACACTGTTTCAGGATGTCACATCTTCTTGTGAATTTTACTTTTATAAGTGTAAATGAGCTATTAGTCCTATTTAGCATTTCATGATTTGAATTCTTCTTTATCTAAAATACAATTGCAAGCCCTTCTTTCTATGGTTTCTATTTGTTCTTCCCAGCTTTTTATAGTTGGACTTGTTTCTTCACTAGGTCATTGTACATTATAGGTAACCTTTTCAATATAAGGATTTAACCCCTTAAAATTAACTCTTAGCCAGGCATGGTAGCACTGTCTATAGTCCCAGCTACTCAGGATGCTGAGGCAGGAGGACAGCTTGAGCCCAGGAGTTCAAATCCAGCCTGGGCAAAATAGCAACACCATATCTCTAAAAAATACATGTAAAAAAAGTAATTTTTATGACAACATGTATTGTCATGTACTTGTCATAATTTTTTCTGATTCTTTGCTATTTTCTTCATTTCCTTCATTGTTTTCTACACACACTTTTTTTCTCCCAGTAATTTGGAAGATGCTTTGTTAAAATTACATCTGTAGTTATTTCTTAATAAGTCAAAAACATTGGAAACAACACTTATCTCTTAGCCTTGGGAATCGAACACACTTTAGATCTTCCTCCATGTAAAATGAGATCATCAGCATACATGTTCCTTCGCCTTCTCCTTTTCCTGCTTCTCCTTTCTCCCACCTTTATCAGTCAAATCTTAGATTAACTCAAGTCTTTATTTTCACTGATACATACTTTTCCCTGTTTTATTTCCATTTCCTGAGACACTTTCGTCAGAATTGGAAGTAGGAGAAAAATTGATACAATGTAAGTTTCTCTTTCCAGAAGGCCTCAAATGATGCTTTATCTGAAAATAATTATTTTACATACATAGGTTTCAAAGGATTTGTGATGTTATGTGATAGGTTTTCATTACATCCTACGTTTAGTGTTCTTTTTCCGTGTATAAGCATACCGCCAATGAAAGACATGATAAAAGCACTTTAAATGTCTCATTATAAATCCTGTTGTCAGTTTAAGAATGTTTTTCAAAATGTAATGGTCTGATAATAATAATAAGGTTTTTAGAAATCTGCTCTAAGAATCTTGCAGACACAAGCACAAAAGAATGCTATACTAAGACTATTACTAGGAGCTCTATATTTAAATTTCAAATAACCACAGTCAGAAAGCTATGAAAAGCATGAGATTCTCTTTTTTCTTATAAAAGGAGACATTGCCTACTTTTGATTTCAAGGGGAAAAGGACAATAGAGAGGCAGAAAGGAAGTGGCAGAAAGGACAGTCAAAATTTCTCCTCCAGCTGGCTAGAAATAGATGAAGATGGAGATTCTCCAAATAAAGGAGACAAGCCCTAGGGGTGATACTTTGACATCAACTTAATGCAAGCAGGATGACTTACAAAGAACCCTTCCAACTGAGGTCTAGGAATCCATTTAGAAAGAAATAAGGGCTTTTTGAAAAAGTTTTTGAATTTTGCCTAGAAATTTATGTCTTTAAAGAGCATTCTTAGAGACTATTTTCCCGTTAAATGATCCATTTATCTGTCTCTTCTAAGAAAACCCTTCCTAGTTTGTGCTGTAAAACAAGCCACATTTGAATGGAAGGTTTTCAGTTACAGGACAGGTTCCCCAAAAAGCCAGCTCTGGGAAGCTCTGAATACAGGATGTTTATTAGGGTGTGGTTCCAGGATGAAGAAGGGAAGAAAAGGAAATAGGGTTGGTCAGAGGAAGATGGTAGGTTGTGATACAGCCTCAATGAACTCCTCAGCTGATCCCACAAGTAGCTATGAAGCTGGGATGGCCCTTCTTATAGCCACCCCACGTTGAGATGCAGGTGGGCCCTCTTCCCCAAGAAGGCATAACCCTGGGCAGTGTGGCTGTCTTCAGCTAAGGCCGATTCCCAGAGAGGGCTAATAGCTAAGGGTTGTCAGCTAGCAGCCAAGGGAAAAAAGTCTTTCAGTCCCAAAGGGAGATCTGTCCGGGCTGCTCAGCATCCACTGCCGGCTCTGTCCTGGCTGTCCTCATGCCACACTCTCTTGCTCAGCACTCACACCACCGACTGCAAATCCCATCACTATACAGATAGTTCCTAAATGTATACCTTCAGCACAGGGATTTCTTTAGGACTCCAGACTCATATATGCAACTATTTCCTTGATATCTTCACTTGATGTTTCAAGACACCTGAATCTCAGCATGTCCAAAACTGAATTCATGGTCTCTGTTATGAACTAAATGTTTGGGTCCCCCTGAAATTCATATGTTGAAATCTACCCCCAAAGTGATGGTATTAGGAGGTGGGGCCCTCATGAATGGGACTAGTGTCCTCATAAAAGAGACCCAGAGAACCGTCTACCTCTTTTTTCCCCCACATGACAAGCAGAAATCAGCCATCTGGAACCTGGAAGAGGGAGTGCATCAGAACCTGACCATGCTGGCACCCTGGTCTCTGACTTCTAACCTCCAGAGCTGTGAAAAATACATTCATGCTGTTTATCAGCCACCCAATCTATGACGCTTTGTGAAAGGTACCAGAACAGACTGAGGCGGCCTCTGCCCTCTAACCTGCTGCTCCTCCTGCTGTGCCTCCTTCAGGAATCTGTCCCATCATCCACCCATCCATTGTTCCGGCCAGAAACCTGAGAAGAATTCCTGCCAACTCCTTCTTCCTCCTACATCCAATCACCAAGTCCTGGCAATTCTCCCTCCCAGATATCACTCAAATCAGTCCACCCCTCTGTCTCCAACAACTCCACCCTACTCTGCTCTGTCTCCTGATCTAACAACCCTGCTTTCCTGCCCACCAATCCTACAGCCCGGCCTCCCAAACACCCACTCCCTCCCAGCCCAGAGACTCTCCCCTGATGCTTCCTTTCATGTTTCCTCTTCAGAGAGTGCTCTTCCCACTCCTTTAATTAATTCCTTGTGATTCTTGAGAGCCATTTAAGTATTACTTCCTCAGAGAAGCCCCCTGAGGCCCTGGACTCTGTCCAATTCCTTAGCACCCTGTTCATTGTTGAAATACCATGACACATAAAACTACATAATTAGTTGTGTAATTGTGACTTAATGAGAATGAGGACTGAGTTTTTACAATCTAATTATCAGCAAGTAGGGGTGGATGGGTAAATCTTGGTTCATTGCATATGATGAAATATTATGCAGTCATTAAAAATGATGGCATAGAATATGGAATAACATGGGAAATGTTTACGACATAATTTCGAGTAAAAAGAGGAATCAAAGTTGTATAGACATTATATAATCTCAACCTTGAGAAAAAATAAAGATAAAAAAAGGCAAAACTGTTCATTGGATTTTTTTCTGGATGATGTTATGGGTGATTTCCATTATTTTTAAAATACTTTTTTGTTCATGTCCCCAAATACATGTTTTTGTTTTTTGTTTTTTGTTTTTTTTTTGAGACAGAGTCTCACTCTGTCACCCAGGCTGGAGTGCAGACGTGTGACCTTGGCTCACTGCAAACTCTGCCCCCAGAGTTCAAGTAATTCTTCCACCTCAGCCTCCCAAGTAGCTGGGACTACAGGCATGTGCTGCCACACTGGGCTAATTTTTGTATTTTTAGTAGAGACGGGGTTTCACCATGTTGCCCGGGCTGGTCTCAAGCTCCTGACCTCAAATGATCCACCTGCTTTGGCCTCCCAAAGTGCTGGGATTACAGGCATAGGCCACCATGCCAGCTGCTATTTATTTTTAAATATGGGAAAAACATGAATAATTTTCTGCCAGAAAAAAAATCCACTGAGTTCTAGAAAATATAATTTTTTAAAAAACCGTGAGTTTATCACATACTAGTAAGCCAACATGATAAAACCAAATATTTGAGTATAAGTTTATTGGGTGTAATGAAAGAGCCCATGGAAAATTCCTTTTACGAGCCTGAAAGTCTCTGATATACCAGAGAGGATTTGCAGAATGCAAATATCTATTGCTCTGAAACCAGGTGCAACAGGGACATGAGTGTCCCCTCCCAAAAGATGGACCATACATCTCCACCAAAGAAAGACAACAGGTAGTATTTGCAAATGCCTCATGAAAAGTTTCTCTTTGTAGAGAAGGTATGCTTGATTTTTTATATTTATATTAAAGAATAAGGGGAAAACAATCATCCCTCACTGACTCAAAAAAAGGTAAGATGGCCCTTGCCTACTTTCAGTCCATTCTCAAAACAGTCGCCAAAGTAGTTACATGTTAGCTGGTTCATGTAAATTCACTACTCAAAACTCTCCAATAGTTTTTACATCTAACTCTGAAGAGAGGGAAAGTCCTCTAAGTAGCCCAACATAACCCAATTTCTGTTACTCACGCTCCCGTCTTCCCTCTCCCTCTCACTCCACGGGACTTCTTCTCCTTCTCCTTCTTCCTTCTCCTTCCTTCTGCTTCTTCCTTCTCCTTCTTCCTTCTCCTTCTTCTTTCTTCCTTCCTTCTTCTTCTTCTTTCTTCTTCCTCTTCCCCTTCCCTTTCCCCTTCTGCTTCCCCTTCCCCTTCTCCTCCTCCTCCTTTTTTTTTTTCCTCCTGTTTTTCAGCCTCAGGACCCTGGCCTTGACCCCAACTATTTGCATGTCTGGTTTGCTTACTGCTGGTTTTTATGTAAATATCACTTTCTATGTGAGGCCTTCCTTTGCCATTCTACTTAACATTGACTCCCCTGACACTCTCATCTCTTTCTCTCATTTATTGCTTTAGTTCTCCATAGTACTTATTTTTTTAAACATACTGTATACTTTATCACTTGTCTTTCCTTAAAGATGAATTTTTGTATGTTTTGCTCACTTTTGCTCCCCTGGTACCTAGAAAAGAATTTGGCACAGGATATAGACTCAATCAATATTACATGAATGAAGCAATGAAGGTATGAATGGATAAGTGTCTCACTTGAACCTGACTCACACAAGTAGGAGATTTGTGCATGGATGTCACCCCTCCTCCACAAGCTGTGCCCTAGACCATTACATAACTGAAGACTCCCACCTTCAGGCAGGAGTGGGTAGTACATGTTTGTAACTACTTGGCATTGCCTTTTGTTGAGGTAATTTCAGTTTTAAGTTCGTCTCTGCCTCTTGATCTCTGGAAGATTCAATTTCATAGAAATTTTTTAAAAGAAAAGAAAAATGTGGGGGGAGGAGCCAAGATGGCTGAATAGGAACAGCTCCAGTCTACAGGTCCCAGCGTGAGCGACGCAGAAGACGGGTATTTCTGCATTTCCATCTGAGGTACCGGGTTCATCTCACTAGGGAGTGCCAGACAGTGGGTGCAGGTCAGTGGGTGCGCACACCGTGCGCGAGCCGAAGCAGGGCGAGGCATTGCCTCACTTGGGAAGTGCAAGGGGTCAGGGAGTTCCCTTTCCGAGTCAAAGAAAGGGGTGATGGACAGCACCTGGAAAATCGGGTCACTCCCACCCGAATACTGCGCTTTTCCGACGGGCTTAAAAAATGGCGCACCACAAGATTATATCCAGCACCTGGCTCGGAGGGTCCTACCCCAAGGAGTCTCGCTGATTGCTAGCACAGCAGTCTGAGATCAAACTGCAAGGCGGCAGCAAGGCTGGGGGAGGGGCGCCCGCCATTGCCCAGGCTTGATTAGGTAAACAAAGCAGCCGGGAAGCTCGAACTGGGTGGAGCCCACCACAGCTCAAGGAGGCCTGCCTGCCTCTGTAGGCTCCACCTCTGGGGGCAGGGCACAGACAAACAAAAAGACAGCAGTAACCTCTGCAGACTTAAATGTCCCTGTCTGACAGCTTTGAAGAGAGCAGTGGTTCTCCCAGCACGCAGCTGGAGATCTGAGAACGGGCAGACTGCCTCCTCAAGTGGGTCCCTGACCCCTGACCCCCGAGCAGCCTAACTGGGACGCACCCCCCAGCAGGGGCACACTGACACCTCACACGGCAGGGTATTCCAACAGACCTGCAGCTGAGGGTCCTGTCTGTTAGAAGGAAAGCTAACAAACAGAAAGGACATCCACACCAAAAACCCGTCTGTACATCACCATCATCAAAGACCAAAAAGTAGATAAAACCACAAAGATAGGGAAAAAACAGAACAGAAAAACTGGAAACTCTAAAAAGCAGAGCGCCTCTCCTCCTCCAAAGGAACGCAGTTCCTCACCAGCAACGGAACAAAGCTGGATGGAGAATGACTTTGACGAGCTGAGAGAAGAAGGCTTCAGACGATCAATTTACTCGAGCTACGGGAGGACATTCAAACCAAAGGGAAAGAAGTTAAAACTTTGAAAAAAATTTAGAAGAATGTATAACTAGAATAACCAATACAGAGAAGTGCTTAAAGGAGCTGATGGAGCTGAAAACCAAGGCTCGAGAACTACGTGAAGAATGCAGAAGCCTCAGGAGCCGATGAGATCAACTGGAAGAAAGGGTATCAGCAATGGAAGATGAAATGAATGAAATGAAGCGAGAAGGGAAGTTTAGAGAAAAAAGAATAAAAAGAAATGAGCAAAGCCTCCAAGAAATATGGGACTATGTGAAAAGACCAAATCTACGTCTGATTGGTGTACCTGAAAGTGATGGGGAGAATGGAACCAAGTTGGAAAACACTCTGCAGGATATTATCCAGGAGAACTTCCCCAATCTAGCAAGGCAGGCCAACGTTCAGATTCAGGAAATACAGAGAACGCCACAAAGATACTCCTCGAGAAGAGCAACTCCAAGACACATAATTGTCAGATTCACCAAAGTTGAAATGAAGGAAAAAATGTTAAGGGCAGCCAGAGAGAAAGGTCGGGTTACCCTCAAAGGGAAGCCCATCAGACTAACAGCTGATCTCTCGGCAGAAACCCTACAAGCCAGAAGAGAGTGGGGGACAATATTCAACATTCTTAAAGAAAAGAATTTTCAGCCCAGAATTTCATATCCAGCCAAACTAAGCTTCATAAGCGAACGAGAAATAAAATACTTTACAGACAAGCAAATGCTGAGAGATTTTGTCACCACCAAGCCTGCCCTAAAAGAGCTCCTGAAGGAAGCGCTAAATATGGAAAGAACAACTGGTACCAGCCACTGCAAAATCATGCCAAAATGTAAAGACCATAGAGATTAGGAATAAACTGCATCAACTAACAAGCAAAATAACCAGCTAACATCATAATGATAGGATCAAATTCACACATAACAATATTAACTTTAAATGTAAATGGACTAAATGCTCCAATTAAAAGACACAGACTGGCAAATTGGATAAAGAGTCAAGACCCATCAGTGTGCTGTATTCAGGAAACCCATCTCACATGCAGAGATACACATAGGCTCAAAATAAAAGGATGGAGGAAGATCTACCAAGCAAATGGAAAACAAAAAAAGGCAGGGGTTGCAATCCTAGTCTCTGATAAAACAGACTTTAAACCAACAAAGATCAAAAGAGAAAAAGAAGGCCATTACATAATGATAAAGGGATCAATTCAACAAGAAGAGCTAACTATCCTAAATATATATGCACCCAATACAGGAGCACCAAGATTCATAAAGCAAGTCCTGAGTGACCTACAAAGAGACTTAGACTCCCACACATTAATAATGGGAGACTTTAACACACCCCAGTGTCAACATTAGACAGATCAACGAGACAGAAAGTCAACAAGGAGGGCCGGGCGCGGTGGCTCACGCCTATAATCCCAGCACTTTGGGAGGCCGAGGCGGGTGGATCATGAGGTCAGGAGATCGAGACCATCCTGGCTAACAAGGTGAAACCCCGTCTCTACTAAAAATACAAAAAATTAGCCGGGCGCGGTGGCGGGCGCCTGTAGTCCCAGCTACTCGGGAGGCTGAGGCAGGAGAATGGCGTGAACCCGGGAAGTGGAGCTTGCAGTGAGCCGAGATTGCGCCACTGCAGTCCGCAGTCCGGCCTGGGCGACAGAGCGAGACTCCGTCTCAAAAAAAAAAAAAAAAAAAAAAGAAAGTCAACAAGGATACCCAGGAATTGAACTCAGCTCTGCACCAAGCCGACCTAATAGACATCTACAGAACTCTCCACCCCAAATCAACAGAATATACATTTTTTTCAGCACCACACCACACCTATTCCAAAATTGACCACATACTGGGAAGTAAAGCTCTCCTCAGCAAATGTAAAAGAACAGAAATTATAACAAACTATCTCTCAGACCACAGTGCAATCAAACTAGAACTCAGGATTAAGAATCTCACTTAAAACCGCTCAACTACATGGAAACTGAACAACCTGCTCCTGAATGACTACTGGGTACATAACGAAATAAAGGCAGAAATAAAGATGTTCTTTGAAACCAACGAGAACAAAGACACAACATACCAGAATCTCTGGGACGCATTCAAAGCAGTGTGTAGAGGGAAATTTATAGCACGAAATGCCCACAAGAGAAAGCAGGAAAGATCCAAAATGGACACCCTAACATCATAATTAAAAGAACTAGAAAAGCAAGAGCAAACACATTCAAAAGCTAGCAGAAGGCAAGAAATAACTAAAATCAGAGCAGAACTGAAGGAAATAGAGACACAAAAAACCCTTCAAAAAATTAATGAGTCCAGGAGCTGGTTTTTTGAAAGGATCAACAAAACTGATAGACCGCTAGCAAGACTAATAAAGAAAAAAAGAGAGAAGAATCAAATAGACGCAATAAAAAATGATAAAGGGGATATCACCACCAATCCCACAGAAATACAAACTACCATCAGAGAATACTACAAACACCTCTACGCAAATAAACTAGAAAATCTAGAAGAAATGGATAAATTCCTCAACACATATACTCTCCCAAGACTAAACCAGGAAGAAGTTGAATCTCTGAATAGACCAATAACAGGATCTGAAATTGTGGCAATAATCAATAGCTTACCAACCAAAAAGAGTCCAGGACCAGATGGATTCACAGCCGAATTCTACCAGAGGTACAAGGAGGAACTGGTACCATTCCTTCTTAAACTATTCCAATCAATAGAAAAAGAGGGAATCCTCCCTAACTCATTTTATGAGGCCAGCAACATTCTGATACCAAAGCCAGGCAGAGACACAACAAAAAAAGAGAATTTTAGACCAATATCCTTGATGAACATTGATGCAAAAATCCTCAATAAAATACTGGCAAACCGATTCCAGAAGCACATCAAAAAGCTTATCCACCATGATCAAGTGGGCTTCATCCCTGGGATGCAAGGCTGGTTCAATATACGCAAATCAATAAATGTAATCCAGCATATAAACAGAGCCAAAGACAAAAACCACATGATTATCTCAATAGGTGCAGAAAAAGCCTTCGACAAAATTCAACAACCCTTCATGCTAAAAACTCTCAATAAATTAGGTATTGATGGGACGTATTTCAAAATAATAAGAGCTATCTATGACAAACCCACAGCCAATATCATACTGAATGGGCAAAAACTGGAAGCATTCCCTTTGAAAACTGGCACAAGACAGGGATGCCCTCTCTCACCACTCCTATTCAACATAGTGTTGGAAGTTCTGGCCAGGGCAATTAGGCAGGAGAAGGAAATAAAGGGTATTCAATTAGGAAAAGAGGAAGTCAAATTGTCCCTGTTTGCAGACGACATGATTGCATATCTAGAAAACCCATTGTCTCAGCCCAAAATCTCCTTAAGCTGATAAGCAACTTCAGCAAAGTCTCAGGATACAAAATCAATGTACAAAAATCACAAGCATTCTTATACACCAACAACAGACAAACGGAGAGCCAAATCATGAGTGAACTCCCATTCACAATTGCTTCAAAGAGAATAAAATACCTAGGAATCCAACTTACAAGGGATGTGAAGGACCTCTTCAAGGAGAACTACAAACCACTGCTCAAGGAAATAAAAGAGGATACAAAGGCCGGGCGCGGTGGCTCACGCCTGTAATCCCAGCACTTTGGGAGGCCGAGGCGGGCGGATCACGAGGTCAGGAGATCGAGACCATCCCGGCTAAAACGGTGAAACCCCGTCTCTACTAAAAATACAAAAAATTAGCCGGGCGTAGTGGCGGGCGCCTGTAGTCCCAGCTACTTGGGAGGCTGAGGCAGGAGAATGGCGTGAACCCGGGAGGCGGAGCTTGCAGTGAGCCGAGATCCCGCCACTGCACTCCAGCCTGGGCGACAGAGCGAGACTCCGTCTCAAAAAAAAAAAAAAAAAAGAGGATACAAACAAATGGAAGAACATTCCATGCTCATGGGTAGGAAGAATCAATATAGTGAAAATGGTCATACTGCCCAAGGTAATTTACAGATTCAATGCC
Source organism: Homo sapiens (assembly GCF_000001405.40). NCBI lineage: Eukaryota > Metazoa > Chordata > Mammalia > Primates > Hominidae > Homo > Homo sapiens. Next base: position 174,015,310 of record NC_000005.10, on the reverse strand, counting down.
ATCCCCAACAAGCTACTAATGACTTTCTTCACAGATTTGGAAAAAACTACTTTAAACTTCATATGGAACCAAAAAAGAGCCCGCATCGCCAAGTCAATCCTAAGCCAAAAGAACAAAGCTGGAGGCATCACACTACCTGACTTCAAACTATACTACAAGGCTACAGTAACCAAAACAGCATGGTACTGGTACCAAAACAGAGATATAGATCGATGGAACAGAACAGAGCCCTCAGAAATAACGCCGCATATCTACAACTAACTGATCTTTGACAAACCTGAGAAAAGCAATTGGGGAAAGGATTCCCTATTTAATAAATGGTGCTGGGAAAACTGGCTAGCCATATGTAGAAAGCTGAAACTGGATCCTTTCCTTACACCTTATACAAAAATCAATTCAAGATGGATTAAAGACTTAAATGTTAGACCTAAAACCATAAAAACCCTAGAAGAAAACCTAGGCATTACCATTCAGGACATAGGCATGGGCAAGGACTTCATGTCTAAAACACCAAAAGCAATGGCAACAAAAGCCAAAATTGACAAATGGGATTGAATTAAACTAAAGAGCTTCTGCACAGCAAAAGAAACTACCATCAGAGTGAACAGGCAACCTACAAAATGGGAGAAAATTTTCGCAACCTACTCATCTGACAAAGGGCTAATATCCAGAATCTACAGTGAACTCAAACAAATTTACAAGAAAAAAACAAACAACCCCATCAAAAAGTGGGCGAAGGACATGAACAGACACTTCTCAAAAGAAGACACTTATGCAGCCAAAAAACACATGAAAAAATGCTCATCATCACTGGCCATCAGAGAAATGCAAATCAAAACCACAATGAGATACCATCTCACACCAGTTAGAATGGCAATCATTAAAAAGTCAGGAAACAACAGGTACTGGAGAGGATGTGGAGAAATAGGAACACTTTTACACTGTTGGTGGGACTGTAAACTAGTTCAACCATTGTGGAAGTCAGTGTGGCCATTCCTCAGGGATCTAGAACTGGAAATACCATTTGACCCAGCCATCCCATTACTGGGTATATACCCAAAGGACTATAAATCATGCTGCTATAAAGACACATGCACACATATGTTTATTGTGGCATTATTCACGATAGCAAAGACTTGGAACCAACCCAAATGTCCAACAATGATAGACTGGATTAAGAAAATGTGGCACAGATACACCATGGAATACTATGCAGCCATAAAAAATGATGAGTTCATGTCCTTTGTAGGGACATGGATGAAATTGGAAATCATCATTCTCAGTAAACTATCGCAAGAACAAAAAACCAAACACCGCATGTTCTCACTCATAGGTGGGAATTGAACAATGAGATCACATGGACACAGGAAGGGGAATATCACACTGTGGGGACTGTTGTGGGGTGGGGGGAGTGGGGAGGGATAGCATTGGGAGATATACCTAACGCTAGATGATGAGTTAGTGGGTGCAGCGCACCAGCATGGTACATGTATACATATGTAACTAACCTGCACAATGTGCACATGTACCCTAAAACTTAAAGTATAATAATAAAAAAAAAAGAAAAATATTCACACAAAAATCTGTACACGAGTATTTATAGCAGTGTTATTTGTAGTAGACAAAAATGGAAAACAACCCAGATGTCCTTTAATGGATGAATGATGAAACAAACTGTGGTATCTCCATAGCATGGAATACTACTCATCAATAAAAAGAAACAAACCGGTGATACATCCAACACACCTGAATCTCCAGAGAATTATGCACAGTGAGAAAGCCAATCCAAAAAGATTATATAGTGTTTGATTCCATTGATATAGCATTCTTAAAATGGCAAAATTATAGAAATGTAGAACAGATGAGTGGTTGCCAGGGGTTAAGGAGAGGGTTGGGGATGGAGATAAGTGGTTCAGAAAGGAAATATCTCATTCATGTCCAGCTTAGGCAACACAGCAAGACCCTGTCTTGAAAGAAAGAAAGAAAAGAAAGATAGAGAAAATAAAAAAAAGAGAGAAAAGAAAGAAAAATGAAAAAAGAAAAAAGAGAAAGAAATGAAAGAAAGAGGATGGGAGAGGAAAGAGAGAGAGAGGAAGGGAAGGAGGGAGAGAGGGAGGAAATGTTCCTAATATGGCATATAGTAAATACTGAGAGTAATGGAGTCACCCACTATCAAACTAGGCTATTCCCAGTTGTTAAAAAAAAAATTTCACTAAACTTCATCAGATTCCTAGAATAATGGGGTCCAATAAGAACACATTAAAGTCAGAGAAAGACCAACATGGCACCTGACATTCTGGAAATCTTAGCCAGTGCAATAAAGCAAAGAAAATAAGTAAAAGGTATTTACAGGTTGGAAGGAAGAAATAAAAGTCTCATTTATAGATGAAATGATTGTAGAAATCCCAAAAAATTCTGTATACCAGCAATTAACAATGGAAAATTCAAGTTAAAAGTGCCATTCAGAATAGAACCAAAAATCACAAAACATTTGGTGTACATCTTACAAACTATGTGCAAGATCTGTAGAGTGAGACCACAACACATTCAAAACCTAACAAAATGTAAAAAGACCTAAATAAATGAAGATATATCCCATGTTCAGGAATCAAAAGATTCAACATCCTTACAATGATAATTTTTCCCAAACTGATCTATAGATTCAATGCAATCAAATAAAAATCCCTAGTGTTTCTTGCAGAAATCAACAAGTTAATTCTGAAATTTATGTAGAAAGGCAAAAAAACTAGAATAGCCAAAACAATTTTGGGGAAACACCTTAAGCTGTAAGACACAATACTTAGTTTCTAAAATTCCTATAGCCAGTCATAGGCCAAACTACCCCAAAATTACTATTGCCTCAAGACAGTGTGGTATTGGAGAAAGAATAGATACCTAGATCAAAGGAACAGTATTAGAGCATCCAGAAATAAACCCACAGACATACGATCAATTGATATTTTAAAGGAATCTTTATTATATATTGTTATAAGTAATAACTTAGCCTAAGAATCAGGATGCAGTTTTTAATTTTTTTGAGATAACTGTAGATTCACAAGCAATTGTAAGAAATAATGGAGATCCTGTGTACTCTTTACTCAGTTTCTCCCAGTGAATATCCCAGATGTGATTTTGCAAGATGTCACTTGCAAAACTATAGTGCAAAATCACATCCAGGATATTGTGATTGATATGTGCAAGACACAGACCAAGATCTCTCATGTTGCACTTACATAGCCACATGCACTTCTTTCCAACCCCAACCCTCTCCTTAACCCTTGGCAACCACTGATCTGTTCTACATTTCTATAATTTTGCCATTTCAAGAATGTTACATAAATGGAATCATATAGTATATAACCTTTTTGGATTGGCTTTCTCACTCTGCATAATTCTCTGGAGATTAAAGTGTGTTGCACGTATCAACGGTTTGTTTCTTTTTATGATGAGTAGTATTCCATGGTATGGAGATACCACAGTTTATCATTCATCCATTAAAGGACATCTGGGTTGTTTTCTATTTTTGTCTACTACAAATAACACTGCTATAAATATTCGTGTACAGATTTTTGTGTGAACATAAATTCATTTCTCTGGGATAAATGCCCAATTGCCGGGTTGTATAGTAGTTTGAGTGTTTTCAAAAATTGCCAAACTATTTCTCAAAGTGGCTGCAGCATTTTACATTCCCACCAGCAATGTATGACAGCTCCAGCTGCTCTGTATCCTCACCAACTTTTGTTATAGTCAGTATTTTTTTATTTCATCCGTAGTGTTATTTCATCATAGTTTTAATTTGCATTTCCCTAACAATGCAAATTAGGGAATTTGCATTTGTTCCTCCTTAGATCTATGATCCATTTTGAATATTTCTTTTATATAAGATATGAGAGCTGGCCACAGTGGCTCACACCTGTAATCCCAGCCTTTTAGGAGGTCAAGGCAGGCAACTGCTTGAACCCAGGAGTTCAAGACCAGCCTGGGCAGCATGGTGAAACCTTCTCTCTACAAAAAAATACAAAAATAAAAATAATACAAAAATTGGCTGAGCATGGTGGCACATGCCTGTAGTCCTAGCTACTCAGCAGGCTGAAGTAGGAGGATGGCTTGAGCCTGGGCGGTCGAGGTTGCAGTGAGCCATGATCACCACTGTACTCCAGGCTAGGCCAGACTGAGACCCTGTCTCAAAAAAAAAAAAAAAAAAAAGTGAGGTTTAGGAGAACGTTTACTTTTTTGCACATGGATATCCAATTGTTCCAACACCATTTATTGAAAAGACTACCCTTTCTTTACTGAACTGCATTTGCACATTTCCTTTATAAAATATCAGCTGAGACTTATGCTTCCACAGGGAAATGGTGCAGACACACTTTTCCCTATTCCTGTCTCCAAGTATTAAAAACTAAAAACTTGGAACATTATACATAAAACAAACATAAGAACACTCTGAAAGCTGTAGAGAACAGACCAGTTAAGAACCTCAAGGCTCAAGGAACAACACAGGAGTGAATTATTAGGCTTTCTTTTTGTTTCATATATTCCAGACTTGAAGCTTAAGAAGCCAGGACCCTGGAAATGCCAAAAGGCATAGACAAAAAAGGCCCAACAAAAACCAGCTCTCTCTACCTGAAGGACCAGGAAAGGAATAGCTGAGCAAGACAGAAAACTTTATGATGATAACCACTCAACTAGCCAAATACCACAGAAAAAACTGAGGCCCCAACCACATTAACGGCAGTAAGGGTTTAGTAGGAAGCCCAGGCTTTCACACTCATGAAGCTATGCTGATGTGTCCCAACACCCACAATGGGGTGATGCCAGAAAAGGCAAATTAGAAAGCCCAGACATTCACCCCACTAGCCAGAAGGCAGGAAAAAGAAAACAGAAAAACACAGACCAAAAATAACAAACAGAAAAAAACTAAAATAAAATGGAAAACTTAAGTACTAATATTAACTACATTAAATGTAAATGTAAATTACATTAAATGTAAATATATGCGTACCAATAAAAGACAGACATTGTCAGAGTAGATTAAAAAAACATGACCCAGCTATATGTTGTCTATAAAAAACTCATTTCAAATATAGTGATATAGGCAGGTTGAAAGTAAAAGAATGGAAAAAGATACAATAAAATGAAAGCAGGAATATTTATATTATTATCAGATAAAATAGACTTAAGAACAAAGAAAATTACCAGACAAAAAAGGGCATTATATAATGATAAAGGATCAATTACCAAGAAGACTTAGCAGTCCTAAATATGTATGCACCAAATAATAAAGCTGCAAAATATGTGAAGTAAAAACTGTGAGAACCTAAAGAATAGAAAAACATACAATTGGAGACATCAACACACCTCTTTTAACAACTGATAAAATAACTAGACAGAAAATCATCAAGGATACAGAAGAACTCAGCATCAACCAAGAGGATCTAATAGACATTTGTTGAACACTTATCAGCAGTAGAATATATATTCAAGTGCCCATGAAACCTATACCAAGATAAGTCATATCATTGGCCATCAAACAAGCCTCAACAAATGTAAAGGAACTGAAATCATACAAAGTGTGTTCTCTGACCACAATGGAATCATTCTAGAAATCAATAAAGAATAACAGGAAAATCTCAACAATTAGAAAGTAAACAACGTATTTCTACATAATCTACAAGTCAAAGAGGGAATCTCAAGGAAAATCAAAAATTACATTTAAGTAAACCAAAATTAAAACACTTAGAATCTGAGCTATTTGATCAGGAGGAAAAAAGAGAAAACACAATATATCAAAATCTGTAGGATACAGCTAAAGCGGTGTTGACAGAAAAACTTATAACACCAAATGCATATAGTAGAAAAGATGAAAAGTCTCAATAATGTAAGCATTCGTTTCAAGAATATAAAAAAGAGGAGTAAAATAAAACCAAAGCAAACACAAGAAAGGAAATAGTAAATAGAAATGAAAGAAACTGAAAACAGAAAAACGAGAGTTCCTGGGTGGCCACTGATGAAGGATGGCAAAATCATCTGGCCATCATTCCGTTTTCTTAATTTCCAGTATCTCTCCAGGACACTGGAGGATTATTTTTTTTCTTTTAAGATAGAGTCTTGCTCTGTCACCCAGGCTGGAGTACAGTGGTGCAATCTCGGCTCACGGCAACCTCTAGGACACTGGAGGCTTTCTAGCGGGCATTTCTAGCTAGTGCAACCGAAGTGGATGATATGAGGATTAGACTACCTGCTCATGTAACTTGCCTGTGCTCTCTGGTCCTGCTCAGTCTTCAGTCCAGATGCACTATTTCCATTTTATGATAGTCTACTGCTAGTACTCAATTTTTTTTACTTGGTAAGTCTGATAGAATCCTATTTATAAAGTGAAGTCCCAGATCCAGTCATTTGGTGCCTCAAGACCAATAAATCTGTCTCCACCAGAATCCAGAATCATGTCAGAAGTTGTTTTTCTTTCTTTTTTTTTTTTTTTTTTTGAGATGGAGTCACCCAGGCTAGAGTGCAGTGGCGCGATCTTGGCTCACTGCAAGCTCCGCCTCCCGGGTTCATGCCATTCTCCTGCCTCAGCCTCCCGAGTAGCTGGGACTTACAGGCGCCCGCCACCGAGCCCGGCTAATTTTTTGTATTTTTAGTAGAGACGGGGTTTCACCGTGTTAGCCAAGATGGTCTCGATCTCCTGACCTCGTGATCCACCGGCCTCAGCCTCCCAAAGTGCTGGGATTACAGGCGTGAGCCACCACTCCTGGCCCAGAAGTTGTTTTTCAAAAGGCATTTAATTCTATGCTGTGGACAGCATGACCCTGATCCATAATCCCATTACAGGGCCCGTGTTAGGCTTTCCATAAGCAACATACTACATCTTTTCTCACTACTGACATCTCTAACATCATAAGGTCTTCCAGATCATATGACTCCAGCAGCAGGACTGCTTACACCACAGCCTGGAACTACTGCAGAGCCCTTTCCTGCACTGTGTCTCATTCAAAGTTAACAACCTTCTGTGTCACCTAATATATGGGCCGGATCAATATTCCTAGATGAACAATATATTACTTCTAGGAATACAAAGAGGCCTACCATGCATGTGCTTCAGTTTTTGTGGTGAGGGAATCAAGATTTGAGCAGTGATTTTCACTCTGGAAGGGATATCCTAGCATACCCATGGCCACTGGAACCCTAAAAATATCACTCAAGCTTTCTACGTTGGACTCCTAAAATCTTCACTGAAAATCCAGGCAGGTCCCTGAATCTTTGTAGCATTTATCTTCCACCCTTGGGAGCACACACATCTTTTACCAAGGCCTCCAGTATACGAGCCACCTGTTGCTTGTTCTGCTGATCAGCATAAAGTTATTAATGTAATGATCAGTGTGAAATTCTGTGGGATGAACAAGCAATACAGATCTCTTTGGACTACATTATTATGAAAGGTAGGAGAGGACTGGGCGTGGTAGCTCATGCCTGTAATCCCAGCACTTTGGGAGGCCAAGGTGGGACGACCACCTGAGCTCAAGAGTTTGAGACCAGCCTGGCTAATACAGTGAAACCCCGTCTCTACTAAAAATACAAAAAAATTAGCCGAGTGTGGTGGCACACACCTGTAGTCCCAGCTACTCAGGAGGCTGAGGCAGGAGAATCACTTGAACCTAGGGGGCGGAGGTTCCAGTGAGCCAAGATCGCATCACTGCACTCCAGCCTCAGCATCAGAGCGAGACTCCGTCTCAAAAAAAAAAAAAAAAGGTAGGAGAGTTAACATAGCCCTGAGGCAAAACCTTAAGTAAATACTGTCTGCCCCATGTGAATACAACTGTGTGACCTTTTCTGATTCAAATGGAAAAGAATGCATCTGCCACATCAATTGCTATATACCATGCTCCTGCTCTAACAATGGCAACTGTCTAGCAAAGCAGCTGTGTTCAGAGCTACTATTCAATTAACTTTGTAGTAGTCTACAGTCCTTTGGGTCTTTAATGGTAGCAATAATTTGTCACCCTCCTCCCATTCCACAGAATGTGATCTCATTATTATTATTACTATTGTTATTATTATTATCTTGGCTGGGAGAAAGGAGGCAGTTTTAGGCATTTCTACTTGTCCTTCCTCGTTGTGATAACTCTTACTCCACCAGACAAGCATCCAACGTAAGAGTTACTCCAACTGCCAGGTATATCAATTCCAATTATACACCCAGGGCCTGGGGAGATGGCTATTGAGTAGGTTTCTAAACCCAGTGGGCCCACTGTGAGAGTCTCAGGCTATCTCTGGTGCAGTTCTAAGAATTTTTCAGAAAGACAAACAGAGAACCTTTGAGGCCTGTCTTGGAGAAACACACCTGCCTTAAAATCCTTACCATGCTTAATCATTGGCTTGGGTGCAACTTGTTGGGAAGAATGGCTTCATACAAATGTAGTAGAATTCACAATACAGCACAGCTGGGCTATCAGTCAATTATGCCCCTGTGGTGGGAAATCCAAGAAGCACATTTTCATGGCTGCCATAGGTATAGTCCATGACTCAGGAACTGGAATACTACTGCAGCAGCATACCACCACCTAACTCGGCATTCTCCCTAAAATAAAATGCTGCACTAGTGCTGTTCCCCATCTACTCCCAGGCTGTCCAGCCACCCGACTCCCACAGACCCGCTCCTAAACTCAAGACCATTATTTCACTATTTTATAAGTTTACTCCCATAAGATTCCCAGATTACCCAAGACTTTTCCCAAATTTTAACATTTCCTCAGCTTATATTGGATGTAAAAATACCCTGAATTTAATTAGTTCCTATGCTTAAATATTCCACTGTTTGTTTTTTTTCTCATGAACGTTTACCTGAAACCTTTCAGGTGACCTGGAATAAATGGCTGAATGATATTTTGAAGTATTGACGCTTCTTCACCATTCTGTACTCACCAAAATTTTTCATTAAAACCACTAGAAGATCTCTTCCCTCCCTTCCCTGCACAACTAAGCATGAAACAACCACTGCAGAACCCAAACCGTAAGTTGCAAATATTAGACTACTGGGCTAAAATAAAATGCCTTTCATCCACACAGAGGAAAGAGTCAGATATAGATTTGGTGAGTGAATGTTTCTACTCATGAAAACTAGACAAATGACACTTTGGGCTGGAGATGAAGAGAAGGCAGGACCACAATGCAGTCTGAAGTCTTTAATGTAGCAGGGGTGGGTCATTAGCCCCTACTGAAATTATGGAACAGAAATAAGTTAAAGTATTGCAGCTTATGTTCAGTGATGTATCAGTAAAGAAAAGTCTTATGTTTATTATATTCTATTTAACATAACAGATTGAACACATATTCACCAGAAATTATTAAACAAAAATTAAAAGATTTAGAACAAATATTTAGAACATTCATTTCAGTGGGAGTCTTCATTCCTCCATGGTTCTAGAACAGTGAAATAAACTGAGTTTGTATCCAGCATTAGACTCTTATTTTAAATCTAACAAATATTGATATACCTAATAAATTAAAACAGACTACTATGTCAAGTTGTATAAGTCACATAAATATAAACATACATTGAAGCAAACCTAAAACTCTCATACACATTCACTACAAAACTTTATGCAGCATAAATTACAGTATAAACAGTGTAAATATGTCTCATTTTGCAATGGACTTCAGTTGCATAAGCTAAAATTTGAAGCTTCACCCAAGGATTTAGCAGCCTGAAATTTACCCAGCATAATATAAAGAAGTTGTGTGACCCTCAATGCAGGGAAACTTGAGAGCCTACATGGCAAAAAAACCGAGGCCATTTCCCCAGGCAATGTGTCCTTCATCTAGAAACAGGTGGATTTGATAAATAGTCACTAGAAGATCATGTTACCACAAATTCTACACTGTCGTAGTCTCCTGAAGTAATTAAGTTACAACTATTAGAGGAAAAAACAAAACTATGAATTACTTTACAGTCCTTACAACTTGTACTATTTCATGAGAATTTTGTATATTAACACTTTGTAATACCTTTGTAAAATAATTAGGAAGCCCACCTTCTCAATGCCCCCAAAAAAGAATGGATGTCATCACTGTAATCATCCTGGATATAAAAGTACCTGTCACTCCAAGGGAAAGAAGCAACTAGAGTACACAGAATTTGATCATGAACAAGCCTCATTTTGTCTTTCCCTCCTAAGTTTCCAGTTCCACCTAGGTCTTTGATTCAATTTAGAAAGAGAGATCGTACCAGCAAAAAAGCAGAAAAACTGGCGGAGGTAAAAGTTGATTACTACTTAATGTTGAGTAGAAAAAAAGGACTTATTAAACAATACTTCTAAATGATTTTCAGAATTCTAATCCTCTCATTCATTGACTTAAAAATAATGTATTACTTAGGGGCCTGGCAAGGTAAAGGGCATCTCCTCTGATCTTTGCCCAAAAATTTTCCTAAAATACTCCATATTATAATATAGTCCATTATAATATATCCATATTATAAATGCATACATTTACTAATTTTCCTTAGGATGAAAAGATGGCTTAAATAATCATTAGCTTAGTTTTAACACCCAAAATAATCGTTGCTATGTAAATTCTAAGGTTTTTTCCATAAAATAATTGAGAAGTTTAGAGGAAGCCAAAAATAATTTAAATGAATCCAAGTTTAATTTAAGAGTTACATCTAAAAGAAGAGATGAACAAAGCAGCAGTTGTAGACTCATTAATAAAATGGAAAAGCTGGTAATTATAAAATTCATGCAATTGCATTGATATGCTAATTTAATTTTATGTATGAGGTTAATTTAAAAGTATGTAGAATAAGCATTAATTCTGAAAATAACACTTGCATGCATATGGTTAACAATATTTAACTAAAGGTATTATTAAGTAGCAAAGAAATATTATTAATTTATAAAGAAGGTAATTTTTCTGTTCGACTACTAAAGTCCCAATTCTAATAAAACACATCAAAATTAACAAATAATTATGATTCATTTAATGTTTCATCTTTAGATTCTTCATACTCTTCTTTGGGAAACATCCAAAGATAGGTTATTCCTAAATTTAAAAATGACAAAATTGAGTTCTTGTTAATATAAAATATCATCATCCGTAGTCACTGAAAATTTTTAGCATTTCTAAGGCTATAAAGCAACAGTTAGAAACTCCCTGTACTTACTGTTTTAATGACTTTTACTTTCTCTAGTTGAACATAAAAAGTTTCCAACAGACTCAATATGTAACTCATATTTTTCTTTTCAACTCTAACTCCTGCCAATACCCTTGGGTGACTTCAACAGTCCCATTTGCAAGAAATGTGTCACAGAAACATTGTGTCACAGGCTTTCACCTCCAGGCCATTTACTCACAACCAAGGCCATTGCCTAGACACTGTCATCACTGGAAGTTGTGCTTTACCTCTAGGTGCTGAAACTTTTCAAATGTTCCTAGATGACATATTTTTATGCTCCTACTTTTTATACCCTTATACTCTCACTAAGCAAGGTCTCTGCCCTCCTTTGAACTCCCAATCCCTTGATTTCCTGCGAATTTCATGTCTCCCTCCTCAGCCCCACAATCATCTCTCTCATTACTCCTGATTAAGTCCCTATAATCCCTGACTCCAAAACTGAAAATTCCTCTTTATCCTCGACATTGCCTGATACTCCGTACTCAGTCCTCTCCTCTGTCCATCTTCACATTAAAGTCTTCATCTACATCTACTGTTAGAACTACATATGACCTTTATGCACTACAGATATCACACTACCTCCTGTACAACACTTCCAATAACTTGCTTAGCATTTTTTCCTGAGTACCTCACTATTACCTAAAATTCAACATGCCAAAAGTAAAACTCAGTACCTTCACAAAATGAGTCCTTTCTCCTGACTTCCTTATTTCTTATTCACTCTCAAAACTCAGCATCATCTTATCCCCATACCTGATCATCTATCTCCTCTCTGCACCCTCTGCAACCCTCATTTGAGTGCATTTTACTTTTCACTTGGATGCTATTACAATCCCCAGATTTTCTTTTTCACCTCCTATTTCACCTCCATTCCAAATCTTTCCACAAATGACATCACATTCTTTCTAAAATGCAAATCTGATAGCTCCACTGCTTTAAAATGTTCTATATATTCATAAAGAAACAAGATATTTGCATACTCTTTCTATCTTCCTATGAAATACTAATTAAAAAAGAAAAAATAGTAACTATAAATGGATAACAACTTAACCAAGAGCTCAAAGTTAACATCATCAATAAGGGATCAGTGAAGATCACATAACTCAAGATGCAATCCTTTGGGAAGTTACATTACGTATACAACGTTCCAGCCAAAAAATTCATAACATGAATCAAATCATAAGTAGGCATCAGCAAGTCTTGAGAAATAGCCTGAAAAATGACGGGCCTGTATTCTTCAAAAATATCAGTATCAAAAAAGACAAAGCCTGACAAACTGCTACAGATTAAGGAAGACCAAACAGACACAACAGCTAAACACAATACATGATCCTGAACTGTATATCTAGTACCAAAATTTTTTAAAAATTCCTATTAAAAACACTATTGGGGCAATAGGGAAAAAAGTGAAATGTAGGCTATAAATTATGTTTGATATTGATGTTCAATTTCCTGACTTTGATAACTGTAGTGTGGTTATACAAAAGATACTCTTGCTCTTAGGTTATATACACTGAAGTATTTACACACAGAGAGAGAAGAAGAATGAGCAAGCAAACGTGGCAAGATGTTAAAAAACAGCAAATCTTAGTAAACAATATACTGGAGTGCTTTGTATTAGCCTAATCATCTTTCTGTACATTTGAAATCATTTAGAATAAAAGATTAAGAAAATATTCCATCTCTTCATTCCCTACTGAATGAAGTACAAATCCTCAGCCCAAAATTCAAGTTAGACTCTTTGAAATACTATCTCAGTATACTTTTATACCTTTCTTAGGTTACTGTGTTAAAGAATTTTTAATCAAAGTGTACATTCCCTAATCGTTTTCTTGACTCCATGAATTTGCTCATGTTCATGTCTAAAATATACTCTCGGCTGGACACAGTGACTCATGGCTGCAATTCCAACACTTTGGAAAGCTGAGGCAGTAGGATCACTTGAGGCCAGGAGTTCAAGACCAACCCGGGCAACATAGCTAGACCCCCACCTATACAAAACAAAAATTTAACTAGCCAGGCATGGTGGTGCATACTTGTAGTCCTATCTACTTGGGAGGGAATGCTGAAGTGGGAGGATCACTTGAGTCCAGGAGTTAGAGGCAGCAGTGGGCTACGATTGAGTCACTATACTCCAGGTTGGGTACAGAGTAAAACCCTGTCTCTTTAAAAAAAAAAAGAAAAAAAAAAGAAAAAAGATAACTGTATGTAGATTTCAGTAGAGGTGACAAAAAAAGAAATAAGTAGAACAGCCTAAAGAAAACCAGAGGTACATAACCAGAGGTCAAGGGTAGGATGAGATTTAAGGGTAATATACCCAGGAAGAGTAGTTGAAGCTATAAAAATCTGTGAGTTATCTCAGAGTGAATATGTAAAGAGAGAATGGGACCAACAATCACTCCTAGGACAGCATTTGTTATTAGGTGGTAGCAAAGGTAAATATGGTAAGTGAGGCAGGACAAGGGCCATAACACAGCCTACAGGATACTAAGACATAAAAAGGAGCAGTAGTAAGATAGCATTAAATATGACAGTATATTCAAAGGAAAAGAGGACTAAGTAGAGGTATAAACGAAAAGAAGAAGATTCTGCCCTCAGAATAATGTACCATATTGTACCCTCAGAGGGTACGATAGAAAAAAAGAAAGAAAAAGAAGAAGAAGGAAAAACATGGAGTACAGAGAGAGAATTTCTAATAGCATGATGGACATGGGGCCCAAATGAAGTTTTAAAGGTCAGTAAGTATTATAATGAGTGCCTACTATGTGCCAAACACTGTATTTAAGAAAGGAAATAGGCTGGAATTAGCAATGATTGGTTATACACTAATGTTTGGAGAAGGGAGGATACAGAAGGGAAGGGAATAAAATCTATATTCCATAATTATTACGTAAATAAATTCTTACCAGAAGATAAGAAGATTCATCTTGTGTAATTTGAGCCTGCAAACAACATAAAAAATAAGGAAAATTTAAGTTGGCCTCTAGCACTGGTTTTCCCATTAATAAATATACATTATGGAATACAAGTTATAATACATTTTTAAACATAATTATTAGTTTTATAAAGAAGTTCTGTAATGTAGTTTAACACTGTAATGTAAAATAATGAACTGGTTTACCAGAGGCTATTTATGGAAAACACAGCATATTAAGTTGTTAAATAATCCTTACAAGATTACATTTAAGAGAAGGCCTCTTGCTGAGGCAGAAAAGAACCCAACAAGTTCAAAGTTATGCAGTGATCTGAATTAGCACTCAGAAGTATGTCCAGGTTTTTTGCACACTGCTCTGCCTATTCAAACATCCTTTTCATTTAAGATACCTCTGACTTCTTTTTCCTATCCACCCCCCACCTCATTCTCCTTCTTAAATGGATAAGCAAAGTGAAACACATTATCACTAATATGCCATTATTGCAAACAATTCATGCTACCACTGATGCAATATTATATGAACCATAAGTTTCCACTGCTTGCAAAATGGCATTCTGTTTTCATGATTATCTTATGAAAATATTCTTCATGAAATTAAATACTGCAATTTTACTGACTATGAAATAGAAGTTGCCATAGAATGACCGTACTAAGAACTCACAGAAACATTCATGATAGCATGTGCAGGAAAGAAAGACATGTTAAAGAAAGAAATGCACGTTAAGGAAAGAAAATAACTTGTGATTTATCAATTCACATTGCATTATTAGTTACATAAATTTTATCCAACTTAATTTTTTTAAAATCCAGAACTACAAATTATTTTGATAAACACACCAGACTACATCTAATTTCGCTCTGACCACAATATCAACTCAATAGTGCTTTAGAGCACGGTTTAATTCATGAGTTGTTTTCCAGGAATGAAATAATGACATCAAGGCTATAACTCAAGGGTAGATCTTTGTTAAATGCATTAAGTAGGAATGTAGCTTCCATGGAGAGGAAATGACTACATGAAGTGACACAATGTATAATTTTATATTGCAGTTAAAATGTTTTTCTTCATCAATACCGATGAGCTTCGTAACTTGTATTTTTTAATTGGCATTAAGATTCACATTTAACAGAAAAGTATGTTCCCTTTGCTCAGTAAATTCCAGTCAACACACACCTTCTACATTCCTCCACTCACTCCTATACCTGTGCTCTCTGTGCTCACTGCTTGCAGGTGCTCTGTACTTCTAATTATGATGAATAGTGATAATATGGTAGCCTCATTTCTATAGTTCTGTATATTGAATGTGACAATTAAGAAAACTACTGATCTCATGCAATCCCAGGATAACTAAACTGTTACAGAGGCCAGTCTTTTTAATACAATAAAAATTGTGTTAACTTACTTTCACTAGATAACCTTTGGCATTTCAGCCTGTGTCTATATTTTTCATTTTCTTCAAGCATTCTTGAAATGACTTTGTATACTCTATTCCATACTAAAACCTTAAAAAGATAAGCACAGTAAAGGAATGCTGAGCAGAAAAGTAGGAATATATTTTCATGGAGGCAACTGGGAATGCCTCAACTGTGTTGTATGTCAATTGATATCATCATTATAAGGCTATATTAGCATTTAGAGAACTAAAACCTAAGTGTAATTGTTTACCCACGATCACTGAAATATCTGTTCTCTTTTTCAAAATTCCTAGAATTTCCTCCCTGTAGTATTTAAATTAACTGTCCTGGATGAAATTGCCTTTCAAAGGCAATGACTATAAAGTCCTACCTAATCAATTCTAACACATTCCATTCTGAAAGCTAATTTTAAAAAATTGTGAATTTATATTCCAATGATTAAACCATTGGGCAATGATTTGATTTTTTAAACATATTTTATTCCAGTTAAGAATTAAGTATTTCTCCTAGGACATACCAAAGCAATAGTACTAGAGAACATAAATATACTGGAATCGAAAGAACAAGGATTATAGAATCAAACAAATAGATCTAGGCTCAAATTCTAGCTTTGCCATTTTCCAGTTGCCTGGGAGAGTATTTTAATCTCATCTAGGAATAACTTCATACATTGGATTATAAGAATTAAGGAAAAAATATTTAATACATATGTAAAGCACTTACCCTAGTATCTGGCACACAGTAATTAAAAGGAAGTATTGATTATTGCTCTTTTCTCCTCACCTAAAAGGAACTGGTTCTCAGAAGAAACATCTCTTAGTACAGTGGGAAAATTAGATGCTCACTCAAAATATATTTGGTGCAAGAGTTATTAACCTCTAATGCTATTTTATACCATACACGGATATCAAACAAACTCAAAGCTCAGAAACAACACAATGTTATGTGTCACTATCAACCAATAATTTCTTTAAACTGAATATAAACGATGCTGTGAAATATAAACATACAGTGGTAATCAAAGACTTGCAGAGCATCCGGTCTTGAATATGTTCAAAACACTCAAGTTACCATGACATTTGGACAACTAGCAGCGAGAACAGCTCAGCAGCAGTGGCTCATCCTTCTCAGATTGCCTGCTAGAAACCTATTACATATTCCTTGTCTTTAAAAAGACCAATATAGATACATTATTCTTTTCTATGAAATCTGTGATTTTTCTTCTTATACTACATTATCTATCACAGTTTATTATATTCTGTGGAACATATATCATGCTTTGAAAAATCCTCCAGTGGGGTTACACTTTGATTAAAATGTGTTTTATACCTTCACTGGTATAACACTGGAAGGACAATTCTTTATGGTTAATAAATATTTCCAAACCCAGTTCCATTTCTTCTGAATTACTTCTATTTCTCATTTCAGAAAATTAAATTATTCAAAAGATGGTACTATTTTCACTGTCTTGAATATCTTTACACATTTGTATTTAGAGAGGATGATCTAAAATTCAAATATTGCTCATTCTCCTTTACAGCAATATACCTTTTTCTTTTTCTTCATTATTTTGGAAGCTTCATTCAATGGTATGGGAAAATCATACTTTTTAGCTGCATCCTTCTGGATTAAACCTAATTTTTAAGAAGAAAGTGAAAAGGTCAACATATATAAGGATTTACTATCTGAAAATAGAGACCATATAAATGTTTCTTGAGGTCTCCTTGGGGATTTTTATACTTGTTGGTATATTTCTGATCACCAGGTAATACTGGTTTACCAGTTCACTAATAACATGTTGAAAACAACCAAGAAAACTAGACATAATCTGGCAAGTACCCAGAAAACCATCCAGCTAGTTCAGTCTTCCTTTTCTGGTTTGTAAGGCTAGTCCCAAAAAGACCAACAACAGAATGAACAAATACCAGATAACACATCTTGCCCCAGTGTATCTCTACAGTCTCCATTCTTCTCAGTGCAACTCCAGACAGACATTACACTTCCAACTACACAATACCTTGTGGTACCTCAAATGTATCTAATTTCTAACACTTTCAGCACACACACACACACACACCCTCCCAGGCAAATTTCTACCTGTTCTTCAAGACTCAGCTCACACGTACCTCTTCTCTACAGCCTTCCCTCAAACACACGCAGCTCAACACACAGCATGGATCTGAGAACACCTTCTTCATAGCACTCAGCCTATCTTTTTATCATGTGTTTCCTCCACTAGGCTCTGACCTCCTGGAGGGCAATGGCCATGTGTGTCTTAGTCATCTTTCCACTCACACTACCACACACATAGTAGTACTAATAAGGGTTATCCAGAGTGAACGGGCTTCCTGAATACTCACTAAACCATGCTGCCTTCTCAAATGTTAACTGTTAGAAGAAAACCCAAGGGTTTGTTTTTCCAAAGACAAAATTATAAAATAATGAGCGTGTGTTCCCTGAAAGCCTTTATATTGGCTCTCATTTTGTCTAGAATATTCCCTCACCTCAACCCTTCCCCACCTTGTTCCTGCCCTACCACCACTCTATCTCTCACTTTCTTCTACTCTTTCAATACTTAGCTTTCCAGGGAGCCTTCTCTGATCTGACAAAGCACCCTCTGCTCAGGTATCATAGGATTTATCACACTGTTTACTTGAGGAGTGTGTTTTATTATTCACTAGAGATCCAGTATCCAATTCTATAGATATCAGCTATACAATAAGTATTCCATTTGTTGAATAAACTAGAATATGCTCTAAAATGGCATTTTGCAATTTGTGAGAAACATGCCACTGATTTGGAGCAGGTCACAGACATACAGACATAGCACTAAGGAATATTAACTCATATGGTGAGAAACTCATTCTCTCTCCAGTTTTTTTCAATATTCTGATTACATTTGGGAGAAAATCTAAGTTTGGTACCAGTATGTTATTAAGACTTCTCTAAGACTTGGTCGTCTCCCTTCGTGACCACAGACAACTCTCAGCAGACAACCTACTTAGCTAGAATTTAATAATATTGTTTTGCCTTTATTATATTTGTTTCTAATTAATTTCTATTTATAGCAAATGGTACAGTTTTCCACTGAAGTAATAATTTAAAGTGTTCTAAAAAGAAATTTAGTTAAAAGGGAAAATGTGCCTATTTAAATAAATATATTAATAATAGTACAGATGATATGCAGATATGGCATAGGAAAATAATTTAAGTTTGGGAAACTCTGCTCTTCATAAACCCATATTTATCCTTCCCTCTAAATGCCTACAACCTTTGGAATACTATATTTGCATCATTCCCAAATGTTTCTTGTTTGTAAGTCTTACCAACATAGACCTATACTCCTTGAGAAAACACAGGAGTCATCAAGTCTACCCGTAATTACTTGGGGATCTAAAATACAAGTACAGAAGACGTGAAAAAGAAAAAAGACATATTTCTTCCACTCATTTTGTGTATTGTACTGAGACTAGCTCCAGTGTATTTCATGGATTTTGTCCTGACTTATGTTTCAAATCTTTCTCTAGTCCTCTTTCCACCCACTCTGACCCAGTCGTTCTTCCTAATCACTGTCATCACTGATCCATACTCGGTGCTTTGTTCACATGTTTTCCCCACCTAATTCTCCTATCTCAGCCCCATGTGTAAATCTCATGGAGCTTCCACTATCATAAAGCCTTCCCTGATTCTCTCATTCCCCAAATTATTCACCACTTCCAAAACATTCATTTGTACTTCCACAATAGCATTCATCATCTTCCATTACATACAAATCATAAATGTAGCTTTCAAGTTCTGTAAGGACAGGGAACTGGCCTGATTTATTAGTCTTATTTGAAATGTTAGAAGAGTTGCTGATTTGCCTACTCCTGAATCTCTAAACTTCAGTACATTTCCAAACAGCTTACAAGTTTATCTTCCAGAAGTGCACCTGTCTCTGATAACTTTACTCCACCCCACCATTCAAAAATCTTCAGTGACTATAAAAATAACAGTCTGCAAGGTATTCCATAATGTGGTCCAAAACTTACTTTTCATTCATTCAATAAATAGCACATGTCCACTGTGTGCTAGACATGCTAATCACCATCTTCCCTTCAAGTCATCTCTGTTCAATGTGCCAGCATTTACTGGGCACTTATTCTATGCCGAACACTGTGCTAGGCACTCTGCATGTATTACTTAATTTAACCTTCACAGCAAACCTTTAAGGTAGGAACCATTACCCCCATTTTACAGATAAGGACACTGAGAATAATAGTGGTTAACTAACTTGGCCAATATGATCCTGCTGATGAATGACAGAACCACGGATTATGTCTTTCTGACTTCAAAGCCAATGCTCTTCATAACCTCTACTGTCCCACTAGTGACTTCTCTATTCATGTTCCCTGATTTTCTGCATCTGTGCCTCTTCTTTCCTTGAACTTGACTATCAAAGCTATTCTCAGCTCACTCTTACAACACTCATATCTACTAGTTTATATTTCCATTATTCATTAATTAATAAGTCCCTCGAGAGCAGACTACTTGTCTGATACATCTGTGTCACTAACATCTGACCTAGTGCTCACACGATAGGTTTTAAATAAATGTTACTGAATGAATAAATTCATCTTTTTCCCTATAGGGGGTGACACATTTAATGAATGTCTACTTAATATTAACATTAAGGGCTGGGTGTGGTGGTTCACGCCTGTAATCCCAGCACTTTGGGAGGCCAAGGTAGGTGGATCACCTGAGCTCAGGAGTTCAAGACCAGCCTGGCCTACATGTTGAAATCCCATCTCTACTAAAAATACAAAATCAGCCAGGCATGGTGGCACACGCCTGTGGTCCCAGCTACTTGGGAGGCTGAGGCAGGAGAATCACTTGAACCTGGGAGGCAGAGGTTGCAGTGAGCCGAGATCACACCACTGCACTCCATCCTGGGAGACAGTGCGAGACACTGTCTCAAAACAAAAACAAAAACAAACATTAAGTACACCCAAGACTGAGTAAAACCTAAGCACTTAAGCACTTTCTGGCTTGGTTTAAACATAAGTCTACCCCAGGACCCCCTTCCCTTGACTATAACCTTGGCTTCGCAAGCACAGCAGCGTGGTCACTAACGTTAGTGGCTCCATTATCCATCCAGTTGCCCAGCACAGAGACTTCAGACTTGGCCGCAATTCTTCCTTCTCTCTTTCAGTAAGCTATGTGATCCTGTCCATTCTGCCTCCGCTGCCACTGCCTTAGTTCAGGCCTTCACTCTTTCCACTGGACTACTGTAACTGTCTTGTAACTGTTCTCTGGCCTCCAATCTCTCCCACCCACCAACTCCTTTGTGGCAGAGTTAACAAGTTCAGATCCAGAGGAAGGAGAACTAGGAGGTGGGAGCGGCTGGACTGAGAAGAAGCTCCAAAACACTTCCCAAAGCCTAACTTGCACCAAAAAAAGCTCATGGTCACTGTTTGGTGGTCTGCTGCCAGTCAGATCCACTATAGTTTTCTGAATCCCAGTGAAACCATTACATCTGAGAAGTATGCTCTGCAAATCGATGAGATGCACCGAAAACTGCAACGCCTGCAGCCAGCATTGGTCAACAGTAAGGTCTGCATTCTCCACGACGACGACAGACCATGCACTGCACAACCAACGCTTCAAAAGTTGCACAAATTGGGCCACAAAGTTTTGCCTCATCCACCACATTCACCTGACCTCTTGCCAACCAACTACCACTTCTTCAGGTATCTGGACAACTTTTTGCAAGGAAAACGCTTCCACAACCTGCAGAACACAGAAAATACTTCCCAAGTGTTCGTCAAATCCCAAAGCGTGGACTTTTATACTACAGGAATAAACAAACTTATTTCTTGTTGGCAAAAATGTGTTTATTGTAATGGTTCCTATTTTGATTAATAAAGATGTGCTTGAGCCTAGTTAAAATGACTTAAAACTCAAGGTCCAAAACCACAATTACTTTTGCACCAACTTAATAAATTATCAAAGTAAATTTGGTTTTGAAAGAATAGTAAACAAAATATTTATATATTTTTCAACTTGAGATTTTTTTTTCAGTCTAACCTGCCTCTAAGTCAATCTCCCCTGTACAGCACGGTCAATAAATCTGACCCTATCACTTTTCTTTTTTCTTTTCTTTTTGAGACAAAGTCTTGCTTGTCACCCAGGCTGGAGTGCAGTGGCACGATCTCAGCTCACTGCAACCTCCGCCTCCTGGGTTCAAGCCATTCTCCTGACTCAGCCTCCCCAGTAGCTGGGATTACAGCAGGCGCGCACCACCACACCCAGCTAATTTTTGTATTTTTGGCAAAGATGGGGTTTCACCATGTTGGCCAGGCTGGTCTCAAACTCCTGATCTCGTGATCTGCCCACCTTGGCCTCCCAAAGTGTTGGGATTACAGGCATGAGCCACCGCGCCTGGCTCCTATCACTTTTCTTATTCAAAATCTTTTAAAGCAGGGCTTCTGGGTAGCTTAAGACAATAGCAAGCAAAAACCACACCCTCAGCATCACTTTAAGACAAAGGATGCTGAAGCTGCAAAACAACTGTAAGTAAAATGAGAAAAAAACATTAAATTGCTGCTCTATGATCCCATATGCCCTAGACCTACAGGGGCTCTGGCCAGCAGGGAAGAGAAACTAGAAATACTACAAAAATGCCTCAAAAGAGCTGACGTGACCAACATTAAGATTAAATGCATTCTAAATCTGAAAATAGTAAAAAAAATAAATAAATAAATAACTAGGCAAATCAGAGTACAGACTATAGGGGAGAAATTTAAAGAGACAGACACAACACAGAATGCCAAGCATGCAATATAATGGACAGACTCAGTTTAAAGGGGCAAGCATGATTTAAAGGAGCAGTCTTTCAATGGCATGGTTTCTGAGGTGAAAAGAACAAAAAGGATGATAAATTAGGTCACAAAGAAAATACCAGTAACATCCATAAAATGAAGGCATCACAAACAATACTCTCTGATCACAATAAACCTAGAGTTTACTAGCAAAAATTAAAAATAAAAATTAGAAATGCGCTGAAAACTTAAATTTTAAATCTATTAAGCAACTATATGGAAAAGAGTTAAAAATTACAGAATTTCTTCTAAAAATAGTGACAACGAAAACACTACATATTGGAATCTATGGGATGTATTTAAAGTAGTGGTTAGAAGAAAATTCACTGCACTAAACACTTAATAACAATAATAAAAATAAATGAATTAAATTCCCTGCTCACAAAAAAGTATAAGAAGAACAAAGTAAACCAAAAGAAAGCACAAGAAATAATAATATTAAAAGCAGAAATTAATGAGGAAGAGACTAGAGAAACAAAATATCTAACGAATAAATCAAAACCTTGATTTTTCCTTTTTAGAGACAGGTTCTCACTCTGTCTCTCCAGGCTGAAGGCCATATCATAGCTCACTGCAGCCTTGAACTGCTGGCCTTAAGCAATCCTCCCGTCTCAGCCTCCCAAAGTGGTAAACTTAGAGGTGTGAGGCACTGTATCGGGCCCAAATCTTAGCTTAGTAAAAAAAAAAAAAAAAATTAACAAAATAGTCAAAATGTTGGCTAACTTGATCAAGAAAAAGACAGAGTGCACATATATATAGGAAAAGAAATGACAAGAGGGAAATAACCATTAAAACGCAAGAAAATGTTTAAACATCATAAGACACTACTTTGCAGACATCTATGCAAACGAATTTGGAAACCCAGATGAGACAGATAATTCCTTAAGGAAATACAGATTACTAAAATTGACCTATTAGAGTTAGGAAGCCTACAAAGATCAATCTCCATAGAAAACATAGAGAAGGTTATTAAGGAATTATCCCTCAAAAAGCACTAGGTTCTAATAGTTACAGAAGAATTCTACCTAAGCTTCAAAGACAAGATAATCCCAACATTCTATAAATTATCCAAGAGCATAGAAAAGGAAAAATTCCTAATTCCTTTTATGAAGTAAACACAGCTCTGATACCTAAACCAGATAAAGGAGTACAAAGAAAAACTAAAGATCACTATCTCTCCTGAATACTGATACAAAAATTATAAACAAATTATTAGCAGAATCCAACACTGTATTAGGAAAATTACACACCAAAACCAAGTAGAATTTACTTCAGGAATGCAAGGTTGGTACAATAATTGGAAATCCATTTATATTACATTCCATATTAATAAACAAATCTAAAGAAAAAGAGTATCTCCATAGACCTGAGAAACCCTCTGACAAAAATCAACACCCATTCATGATAAAAAAAAAAAAACAAACACTGAAAAAATAAGTATGGAGGGATACTTTGTAATATTTGAAATATATAATCCTTAGTCACATAGCCAGTACCTGATTTAATGGGGAAACACTATAGGCATTTCCCCTATGGTCAGGAACAAGGCTAAGATGCCCGCTATCTCCAATACTATCCAACATTGCCCTTGAGGTATCAGCAAATGCAATTAGACAAAATAAATCTATTGCAGGCAAATGGGTGAAAAAAAATAAAATTATATCTCTTTACAAATAATATATATTGATACCTGGAAAATCATGAGAATCAAGGATAAAACTAATAATAAAAGTATCCAGTGAGTAAACAAAAACCAATAGGCTAAGTGAAAAAAGCCAGTCACAAAAGCCCACATACTCTATGATTCAACATATACGAAATGTCCAAAATGGTTAAATCTATGGAGACAGAAAACAGATTAGTACTTGGTTAGGGCTGGGCTTATGCGTAAAGGAGGGCAAATAGGGAGAATGGTGAGCAATGTTTAACGGATACAGGGGTTCTCTTGGGGTTAAAAATATTCTAAAATGGTGATGGTTGAATATGTGAACTAAGCATGCAAAACGGGTGAATTGTATGCACTGTGAACTATAGTTTAATAAAGCTGTTATTCCGTAAGTACAAGTGATGGAAATGTTCTATATCTTAATTATGGTGGCAGTTACTAGGGTGTGTATAAATCTGTCAAACCTCTTCGAAACATACGTAAATTAATCCTCAGTAAAGCTGACTTAGAAAAACCAAGAGAGGGCCTGGCGCGGTGGCTCACGCCTGTAATCCCAACACTTTGGGAGGCTGAGGCGGGTGGATCACCTGAGGTCAAGATTTCGAGATCAACCTGGTCAACATGGTGAAACCCCATCCCTACTAAAAATAGAAAAAAATTAGCTGGGCATTGGTGGCAGGTGCCTGTAATCTCAGCTACCTGGGAGGCTGAGGCAGGAGAATCGCTTGAACCAGGGGAGCGTAGGTTGCAGTGACCCAAGATCACGTCATTGCACTCTAGTCTGGGCAACAGGGCAAGACTCCATCTCAAAAAAAAGAAAGAAAAAGAAAAACCAAGAAAGGCTTGGCCCAGTGGCTCATGCATGTAATCCCAGGGCTGTGAGGCTGAGGCAGGAGGATCAGTTGGGCCCAGGAGTTCGAGACCAGCCTGGGTAACACAGGGAGACCCCCCCGCCCCCCATGTCTACAAAAGATAAAAAAAGTAGCTGGGCATGGAGGTGCCCACCTGTGGTCCCAGCTACTCGGGAGGCTGAGGTCAAGGCTGCGGTCAAGGCTGCAGTGAGCCTGTGATTGGACCACCACACTCCAGCCTGAGTGACACAGCAATACCCCGTCTCAAAAAAAAAAAAAAAAAATTGGCTTCCTATACACAGTGAGCATTTAGAGGGCATTTCGTAAAAAGAAACCCCATTTACAACAGCAAAGAAGATTAAATATTTAGGAATAAGTTGATCAAGACATATGCAAAACCTATGGGAGGATAATTTTTGAATTGAAGACATTTCCTGATTTAAACGTAAAGCTCATGCTGTTTTTAGCCAGGATGACTCAACAGCATCCGGAAGTCAATCCTCCAGGTGAGGGGGTTTGCGAAGTCAACGAATCTCACTCAGCTGGAACGGAAACACGCAGGCCAAAAGCCTCCGTGAGGGGGCCGTAAAGGCTCCATTCAACAACCTCTCCTCTTATGTCAGGTGCCCGTGCCGGCCACAGCTGGCCCTCTGAAGGGAATTACTGGGCTTCTCCTTCGCCCCTGCGCGTGCTCGCAACACGGCCTGACAGGAAAGCTGCCCCCAGCCTCCTGCGTGCCGCAAGATGGCGCCCAGCAGCTGAGCCCGCTCCGCCCCGTCCCGCCCCGCCGCGCCCGGTCCCGCCCTGCCCCGCTGCACCACCTGCACGCGCCGACTGTCTGGTGCCGCTCTGAACTCTCGATGCCCGCAGCTGGGAGGAGGCAGAGGCCGCAGCCTCCACACCAGGGGTCGTGGGGACCCTGAGCTGGGAACCGAGGGGCAGCTCGCTGCCACCCTGAACGCCCGCCACCGCCATTGCTTCCCTCGGCTTCTCCTGGCGACAGCCTGCCCCAGGCCCCTGACCCCAAAGGCCTTGAGCTCCACGGCCGCCCAGTTGCAGGACGCCACTGCACTGATGCGAGCCGAAGCGCGTCACATAGACGAAGCGCGCCGAGTCCTGCTCCCGACCCCGGCCTGCCGCCGCCATCGCAGCCTCAGTCAACGGCAGCCGGGCCCTCAGCAAACACGACGCCACAGGCGCCAGACTGCCCACTGTGCAGGCGAGGGATGCGGGAGCGGTTAGGGCCAGACCACCCTGCGGGGATTGGGGGGAGGGAGTTAGGGCCAGACCACCGCGTGAGGATTGGGGGGGGTTAGGACCAGACCACCCTGTGGGGATGGGGGGGACAAAGGGTTAGGGCCGGACCATGGCACCGCGATGAGGGGGACGGGTTTAGGGCCGGACCACCCCCCTAGGGATGCGGTGACAGGGTTAGGGCCAGACCACCGCGTGGGGATGGGGGGAGGGGGTTACGGCCGGACCACCTCGCAGGGATGGGGGTGGTGGGGTTAGGGCAGGACCACCCAGTAGGGATGGGGTGACGGGGTTAAGGCCGGATCACCACGTGGGGGTGGCGGGGACCACCATGCAGGGTGGGGCAGGGAAGTTAGGGCCAGACCACTGCTGGGGGGCTGGAGGGAGAAAGCTGGGCTTGAGGAGCGAGGCAGCCGGTCACTGCGTGGGCTGCAGGAGTAGGGGAAGGGCACGCTGCTGGGAGGTGAGAGGCCCAGGGGAGATGGAGGGAAGTGGGAAGAGGGCGGGTGTTGGGTTGGGGACGATGACGAGGTGCAGACCCCTCAGAAGAAATGAGCTACTCCAAGAAGAGGGTGGGAGAAAGGGACCAGGTCACTACTAGGGAGACGCCCCCATGCTTGGGTGCGGGAGGATTTCAGAGTGAGGAACCCACACGGGACTTGAGCAGCCTGGAGCATCAGCCACGTGACGCTGGGAGCCTGGGGGAGAACACAGAGCCCTTGGCTGCCGGAAGGTTCCAGTATGCCCTTGGCCTGGCAGGTGGTAGTGATGGAGCTGTGATCCCCAAGAGACACAGGGGTAGGGGGACAGGGGTCTGAGGCCCAAGCTGGTTAGGCACTGGCCAGCTGGGTTATTTGGGCAAGCCCTTTTCCCTCTCTCTCTCTTTTTCTTTCTTTTTTTTGAGACGGAGTCTCGCTCTGTCACTCAGGCTGGAGTGCAATGGTGCGATCTCGGCTCACTGTAACCTCCACGACCCAGATTCAAGCGATTCTCCTGCCTCAGCCTCCTGAGTAGCTGGGATTACGAGGATGTGCCACCACACCCCGCTTATTTTTGTATTTTTAGTAGAGGCCAGGTTTCACCATGTTGGCCAGGCTGGTCTTGAATTCCTAACCTCAGGTGATCCGCCAGCCTCCCAAAGTGCTGGGATTACAGGCGTGAGCCACCACACCCAGCCCCTTTCCTTCTCTGAGCCTCCATTGTCTTCAAATGTTAACTCAGGAGAACTGAGTTGTGAGGATAAATCAAAATAAGGCATATATTCAGCATCTGGCACACAGTGAGAGATAGTTATCCATTCAGGACGTAAACTGTGAGGTGCACATTGTAATTTCTTTACATTGAAACTTTACAAATAGGTTTCCACTAACCCTTTTTTTTTTTTCTTTTGTCAGTCTTGCTCTTTCTCCAGGGCTGGAGTCCAGTGATGCAATCTCAGCTGACTGCAATTTCTGCCTCCCAGGTTTAAGCGATTCGCTTGCCTCAACCTCCGGAGACTGCAGGCGTGCACCACCACGCCCAGCTAATTTTTGGCCTGGCTAATTTTTGCATTTTTAGTAGAAAGAAGGTTTTGCTATGTTGGTCAAGCTGGTCTTGACCTCCTGGGCTCAAGCAATCTGCCAGCCTTGGCCTCCCAAAATGCTGAGATTAGAGGCGTGAGCCACTGCGCCCAACCCGACCATCTCTTTAAATTCATGTAGCATTTTATGGCAGAGGAACTGGGGCTCCAAAATGTGAAGTTACTTCCCCAAAGTAATAGGCAGTGACAGAGACATACTTTCTTAAACACTTGTTATTAAATTATATGCAGAAACCTGCACAAATCATCACTATGTAGATGGCTGAATTTTTACACAGTGAATATACTTGTGTAAGATCCACCAAGGTTAAGAAATGGTGCACTGCAGAAGCACCTCATGACCTCACCCAATCACCATCCTTTTCCTGTTTTTTTGATTTCAGATGTCATCAATGGCCAGGTGCCTGTAATACCAGTACTTTGGGAGGCCGAGGAGAGAGGATCGCTTCAGCTGTGGAGGTCAAGGCTGCAATGAGCCCTGATCACACCACTGCACTCCCCCTGGGCAATGGAGCAAGACCCTTTCTCCAAAAAAAAAAAAAAAAAAAAAAAAAAGTCATCAGTTAGGTTTGTCCATTTAATTTATTTAATTTACTTCTTTTTTTTTTTTGAGACGGAGTCTTGCTCTGTCTCCCAGGCTGGAGTGCAGTGGCGCGATCTCGGCTCACTGCAAGCTCCGCCTCCCAGGTTCACACCATTCTCCTGCTTCAGCCTTCCTGGTAGCTGGGACTACAGGCGTCCACCACCTCGCCCAGCTAATTTTTTGTATTTTTTAGTAGAGACAGGGTTTCATCATGATAGCCAGGATGGTCTCGATCTCCTGACCTTGTGATCTGCCTGCCTTAGCCTCCCAAAGTGCTAGGATTACAGGCATGAGCCACCGCGCCCGGGCCTAATTTACTTCTTTCACTCAAGTTGTATCAGTGAGATGCATGTTATTGTGAAACCAAGAGCTAACCTGAGTAAACTCACCAAGCTTAACCTGCCTTGCTTGCTTTACATTGCTTACTTCTGGTTGTTCTTAAAACGAGGCGGGCAGATCACTTGAGGCCAGGAGTTCAAGATCAGCCTGGCCAACGTGGTGAAACCCCGTCTCTACTAAAAATACAAAAATTAGCCGGCGTGGTGGTGGGCACCTGTAATCCAAGCTACTCGGAAGGCCAAGGCGGGGGAATTGCTTAAACCCAGGAGGCAGAAGTTGCAGTGAGCCGAGATCGCGCCACTGCACTCCAGCCTGCGTGACAGAGCAAGACTCCGTCTTAAAAAAGAACAACAACAACAGCAAAAACTAATGCTAGCTATGACCTGAGTCCATGGGTGAGAAAGAAAAAAAAAAAACCCCGCTAGCAAGTCATGTAGCCAAACAATACATAACTAAACTCCCACAAGCTTCCTTAGAGATAATGTCTCTGGATGTTGGTCACTACAGTAATGGGTGCTTAAAGGTTTTTCAGGAACTGGAAGGCAGCTCTTGGTAATTTCCAATTGGTTAAGACCACCAACCCTTCAACTGGGCCTCCACAGATGCCCAGAGAATGACCTTGTGAAGTCAGAGGCCCAAAAACCTCACCCTCAGATCATGCCAATGCAGCCATTTTCTGCATGTGCGTGAAGAACGATGTAGCTTGATCACACTTGCACAGAAACCCCAATTACCTCACCTTTCCTCCCTACCGATCATCTTTCCCCACACTTTAAACCACCTTGCTTTCTATTCCTTACATACCTTCAAGCCCTATATTTGGGGAGGTGGATTTCAGGTTTGTTCTCCCGTCTTCTCACACAGCAGCCTTGTGAATAACATCTTTTCTCCCTTGCAAAACGCATCACCTCAGTGATTGGCTTGCTGCCTGAGGGTAGAATGAACTTGGTTAGTTAACAACTGTAGAAGTTTGTGTATCATTTGAATATGTCACCATTTATTTTTATCCTTTCCACTTATTGATGGACATTTAGTTGTTTCCAGTTTGGTTCATTATTAGTGGGACTAAGAAGAATCTCATACATACCCTTTGTGGAAACAGGTTATAGGCTATATATGTTAGTGTGGAGTTGCTTAGGGTGTTCATACGTTCAGCTTTAGGTGCTGCTGACAAACAGGTATCCAAAATGGTTGTACCAATTTACACTCCTCCAGCCAAGTATGAGGATTCCACTTGCTCCACTTGTTCACCTCCACTTGGCATTGTCATCTTCATGTTAGCTGTTCTCATGGATATGTATATTAGGGTTTTCCAGAGAAGCAGAAACAAAAGACTGTGGCGTGAGAGAGAGAGAGAAACTACAAGGTACACCAGCAAGCTAAGAGATCTAGGGAAGAGTTGTTGATGCTGCAGTTCCAGTCTAAAGGTCCTCTGCTGGCAGAATTCCCCCCTCTTCAAGTGAGCCCAGTCTTTTCTTCCAGGCTGATATGGTTTGGCTGTGTCCCCACCCAGTCTCGTCTTGAATTGTAGTTCCCATGATCCCCACATGTTGTGGGAGAGACCCAGTGGGAAGTAACTGAATTGTGGGGGCAGTTATCCCCATGCTGCTTTTCTCATGATAGTGAGTGAGTTCTCACAAGATCTGATGGTTTTATCAGAAGCTTTTCCCCCTTTTGCTCAGCACTTCTCTTTGCTGCTGTCATGTGAAGAAGGACATGTTTGTTTCCACTTCCACCATGATTGTAAGTTTCCTGAGGCCTCTCCAGCCATGCCAAACGGTGAGTCAATTAAACCTCTTTCTTTTATAAATTACCCAGTCTTGGATATATCTGTATGAGCAGTATGAGAATGGACTAATACACAGGCCTTCAAATGATTGGATAAGGCTCACTTATATTTTGGAGGGTTATCTACTTTACTCCGAGTCTACTAGCTTAAATGTTAATCTCACTAAGAAAAAAAAATACCTCACAGAAACACATCACTGTCTCATTAGGATTGGTAACTGGCACTTTGCTTTGTCTATCTGAGAAGGTCATGGTTCCCGGTTTGCTGTTGTTTCTTGTGGATGTGCGTCCATATCTTTGCATGAAAGGTTATATTTTCCAGTCTTCACATCCAGCTTGTTTTTGTCTTTCTAGGGTATGTTTGCTTAGATTCTTTGCAGTCCACCTGTTGAATGCTGTTTCCACTAGGACACTGCCTCCTTTTCCACACTAGATGGCCTCTTAAGCCCAGGTTTGCCTCACTTTCACAAACAGTAGTGCTGCCAGACTTGGATGGAGGGTGGTGAGGTCCCAAATGAAACACCCTAGCCATGTGGGAAGGCTGGTAGGGGGTCGTACCCAGGGACCTGTGGAGCATGCCTCCCATAGCGTGGTGCTGCTGGAGAGCCACTGAACTGCCATCCTCCCTTCTTAGTCTCAAGCTGCCCTCAGGGGTTTTTCTCCCTTCAGGCACTCACAACGCTTCCTATAGGTTGATGCAGGAACCCAGGATAATGGGAAAGCTGGCATCCACCTCACTGTCACCAGTGGAGCAAAAGTTCATGATGTGAGTCTCCACATGCTGTTCTCTTCGTCTGAGTGGGAGCTGCAAATTAGTCCTGCCTTCTATCTGCCATTTTCCCCCAGTAGGTCTTTTTTTATGTGTCCTATAATAATATTGACAATAACTCTCATCAACATATTCTACAAAATATTCTGAAGAAATTCTGAAAAAGAAAACAGCAAAAATGATTCTAAGGGCAGTTTTCTGTGTGGTGACTGGCAGCTTGGGGCACGATCATCAAGGATAAAGAAGTCCATTTCTCTTACCCTCCAATTGGAGGCTTTTTACTTCTCTGAGGCCTTGGGGATCATTTCTGCTTCATATTTGAGTTCTAGGATATTGCTGGTGATAACCTTTGCACTGATATTGGTTTTAGTTTTCTGTGGGGGAGAGGGAGGCCAGATTGCTTCTACTCTGCCATTTTGGTGACTTGACTCTCAACTTTTCTTCCTCCCTATGTTTTATGTAAGCACATATAGAGTTTTTGGTAATTTTATAGTATATTCTAAGCATCATGAGACATCAGTATTACTATGTTTTATACAGTCAGGCTTCATTTAGGTTTACTAATATATTTACTCTTTCCATTGCTGTTCATTCATCTTTTTTCCATTTCATTCATTTTAAACTGTATATATATATTTCTGCTGGGTATTGAATTCATGTCGCCAACTATTTTTTTTCAGCACTTTGAAGATATTCTATTGTCTTCTTGTTTCTGATATTGCTTTTGAGAAGTCAGCTATTAGTCATATTACTGCCCTTTACAAAGTAATGTGTCTTTTTTCCTCTGCATGTTTTTCAGATTTTCTTTTTTCATTGCTTTTCAACAGTTTCACCATGAAGTGCCTAGGTGTGGGGTTTTTGTCTCTACTCTGTTTGGGCTTATTGGTGCTTCTTGAATGTGCAACTTGATAGCACTTGTCAGCTTTGGTAAATTCTAGGACATTATTTCTTTGGCTATTGCCTCTGTTCCATTCTTTGTCTTCTTTTCTGAGACTCCACTACACATATGTTAAATCTTTTTACTCTGCTCCATAGATCTCTTCTGCTCTTCTGTAGTTTCCACACTTCTTTCTCTTAATGCTTCTGTCTGATTATTTTCTACTGATTTATATACCAGTTCACTAATCCTCTCTTCAGCACTATCTAACCTACTATTAAACCCTCTATTAAGTAGTTTTGTTTTGTTTTGTTTTTGAGACAGGGTCTTGTCTGTCGCCTAGGCTGGCATGATCATGGCTCACTGCAGCCTCGAACTCCTGGACTGAAGTAACCCTCCAACCCCTGCCTCCTGTGTAGTGGGACCATAGGCACGTGCCACCATACCTGGCTTAATTTTTGATTTTTTGTAGAAACAGGGTTTCACTTTGTTGCTAGGTTTGAACTCCTAGGCTCAAGTAGTCTCCTGCTTTTGCCTCCCAAAGTGCTGGGATTACAGGTGTGAGCCACCACGCCTAGCCTAAGTTCTTAATTTCAGTTATATTTTCCACTGCTGGAATTTCCATTTCCATTTTGCTAAGTTTTCTTATTCAGAATTGCTTCAGAATATTTTCTAGAATATGTTAATCAGAGTTATTGTCAATACTATTATGGAACACATAGAATAAGACCTACTGGGGAAAAAATGGCAAGTAGCAGGCAGGACTAACTTGCAGCTCCCACTCAGATGAACAGAGCAGCATGTGGAGACTCACATCACGAACTTTTGCTCCAAGAACTACTGCAGGAACATACCAGGAAAACAGAGAATTCAAAAGAAGCGGCTTGCTGCTGCAAACTGTGAGACGGCCGAAAAACTGTGAGTGCCCAACGTGTGAGAGGGAGGCAGTCCACCTCTAAACACACATCCTCACTGGGAAACCTGAAAATCGAGATCGCAGGAAAAGGATATAACCTTACCTAGAGCTGGAATGAATTTAGGGACCTGAGCAAAATATGAAAGTAGAAGAAGCAGCAGAAAGAGCCCTCAAGGTACTCCTGGTTCCCCGAGAAGCCATTTCTGACTTTCTCTCATGGGGTCCTTGGGGAGGGCTGCCAGTGGAATTGGGGAAGGACCACAGGGAGAAGGAAACATCCAGCTGAACTTTGTCATAATTTTGACCAAGCATGAATTTTCCAGGGCAGAATCAAGCAGGGAGGAGGAGGGCAAATGGGAAGTGCAGATGTGAGCACAGAAGCTGCAGCAAGCAGAGAAGGGCAAAGCCTCAAAGCCCTGCTTGTTTTCTTAGTGGAGAGGCTTGTAGTCTGGGGCAAGATCTCAGCCCTGCTCACTGGATGACTGGATATAAACTTTGTGTGTTGTTGGTGGGGCATGGAGGGAGTGAGACTGGCCTTGCTGGCTGCGTGGGAGCTGAGGCCTGTCATGGCCAGCTTTCCCTGACTTCCCTGGCAACCTGTATGATGCGGCAGAGGTAGCCTTAATCCCCCTGGGAACATAACTCCATTGGCCTGAGACCTACACTCAATCCCCACAGCAGCCACAGCAAGCCCCTGCCCAAGAAAAGCTTTAAGCTCAGACACACCAGCCCTGCCCCCACCTGATTGTTTTTCTCTACTCACCCTGGTAGCTGAAGACAAAAGACCTTAACTCGTGGGATCTCTTTGACCCTGCCCATCGCCTGAGAAACCCGAATACTTATCCAGGTGTTTAGGGCAAGCTTGTATTCTCCCCATACTACTACAGCTGATGCTGTCTTGAAAGTGCCACCTCCTGGCTGGTGGCCAACCAACTCATGCTGTCATGGCAACTCATAAAAACCCTTCTCCAAGAAGGGAGAAGACAACAGCTAATTCCACTGTCTGCAACATCCTGGATAACCAGAAGTCTTGAGTCTGTCCATGTGACAACTTCACTGCTAATGCAACCAGCATTCAAGAAAGCTAGCACACTAAACAAAACTACAGCTAAGGATCCTCACCAAGGACCCTCACCAGAGCAGGAGCTGGTATCCACAGCTGAGAGACTTGAAGATGGATCACATCACAGGACTCTTTGCAGACACTGAGCCTGGTAGCTCAGCTGGGTGGCTAGACCCAGAAGAGCAAAAACATTTACTGCAGTGTGGCTCTCAGAAAGCCCCATCCCTAGGGGAGAGAAGAGAATACCACATTAAGGGTCCATGGGACCAAAGAATCTGAACAGCAGCCCTTGAGCCCCATATCTTCCCTTTGACATAGTCTACTCAAGTAAGAAGGAACCAGAAAAACAATTCTGGTCATATGACAAAACAGAGTTTTTTAATGCCCCCCAAAGGTCACACTAACTCACCAGCAATGGATCCAAACCAAGAAGAAATCTCTGAATTGCCAGAAAAAGAATTCAGAAGGTCAATTACTGAGCTACTCAAGGAGGCACCAAAGAAAGGTGAAAACCAACTTAAAAAAATTCTTTAAATAATACAAGATATGGATAAAAAAATCTCCAGAGAAATAGCATAAATAAAAAACAATCACAGCTTCTGGAAATGAAAGACACAAAGAAATGCAAAATCCACTGGAAAGTCTCAACAAGAGAATCAAACAAGTAGGAGAAAGAACTTCAGAACTCGAAGATAGGGCTTTCAAATTAACCCAATCTGACAAAAACAAAGAAAAAAGAATTCTTTAAAACTGGACAAAGCCTCCAAGAAGTTTGAGCTGATGTTAAATGACCAAATCTAAGAATAATTGGTGTTCCCGAGGAAGAAGAGAAATCCAAAAGTTTGGAAAACATATTTGAGGGAATAATCAAGGAAAACTTCCCTGGCCTTGCCAGGGATCTAGACATCCAAATACAAGAAGCTCAAAGAACACTTGAGAAATTCATCGCAAAAAGATCACCTAGGCACATAATCATCAGGTTATCTAAAGTCACGATGAAGGAAATAATCTTAAGTGCTGTGAGGCAAAAAGCATCAGGTAACCTACAAAGGGAAACCTATCAGATTAACAGCAGATTTCTCAGCAGAAACCCTACAAGCTAGAAGGGATTGGGGTCCTTCCTACCTTTAGCCTCCTTAAACGAAACAAATATCAGCCAAGAATTTTGTATCCGGCAAAACTAAGCTTCATAAATGAAGGAAAGGTATTTTTCAGACAAACAAATGCAAAGAGAATTTGCCACTACCAAGCCAGCAGTACAAGAAGTACAAAAAGGAGTTCTAAATCTTGAAACAAAACCTCAAAATATGCCAAAATAGAACCTCCTTAAAGCATAAATCTCACAGGGCCTATAAACAGTAACACAAAGAAAAACCAAGGTATTCAGGCAACAACTAGCATAATGAATAGAATAGTACCTCACACCCCAATATTAACACTGAATGTAAATAGCCTAAATGCTCCAATAAAAGATACAGAATGGCAGAATGGGTAAGAATTAACCAACCAAGTATCTACTGTCTTCAAGAGACTCACCTAATACATAAGGACTCACATAAACTTAAGGTAAAGGAGTGGAAAAAGATATTCCACGCGAATGGACACCAAAAGTGAGCAGGAGTAGCTATTCTTATATTAGACAAGACAGACTTTTAAACAATTAAAAAAGACAAAGAGGGGCATTATATAATAATAAAAGGACTAGTCCAAAAGGAAAATATCACAATTTTAGATATATATGCACCTAACACTGGAGCTCCCAAATTTATAAATAATTACTACTAGACCTAAGAAATGAGACAGATGGCAACACAACAGTAGTGGGGGACTTGAATACTCCACTGACAACACTAGACACGTCATCAAGACATAAAGTCAACAAAGAAACAACAGACTTAAACTATACCCTAGAACAAATGGACTTAACAGATATTTACAGAACATTCTTCCCAACAGCTGCAGAATATACACATTATATTCATCAGCACATGGAACATTCTTCAAAGTAGACCATATGATTGGCCACAAAACAAGTCTCAATAAATTTAAGAAAATCAAAATTATATCAAGTGCTTTCTCAGACCACAGTGAAATAAAATTAGAAACTCCGAAAGGAACCCTCAAAACCATGCAAATACATGGAAATTAAATAATCTGCTCCTGAATGATCATTGAGTCAACAATCAAATGAAGATAGAAATTAAACCTTTTTTGCACTGAATGATAATAGTAACACAACCTATGAAATCGTCTGGGATTACAGCAAAAGTGGTGCTAAGAGGAAAGTTCATAGCATTAAACACCTACATCAAAAAGTCTGAAAGAGCACAAATAGGCAATCTAAGGTCACCTTAAGGAACTATAGAAACAAGAACAAACTAAACCCAAACACAGTGGAAGAAAAGAAATAACAAAAATCAGAGCACAACTACATGAAATTGAAACAAAAAAAATACAAAAGATAAATGAAACAAAAAGCTGGTTCTTTGAAAAGATAAACAAAATTGATAGACCGTTAATGACATTAACCAAGAAGAGAGAAGATCCAAATAAGTTCAATTAGAAAAGAAATGGAAGATATTACAGCCTATACCACAGAAATACAAAAGATCATTCAAGGCTGCTATGAACACCTTTATGTGCACAAACCAGAAAACCTAGAGGAGATGGATAAATTCCTGCAATATACAACCCTACTAGATTAAACCAGGAGGAAATAAAAACTCTGAACAGGCCAGGAGCACTGGCTCACGCCTGTAATCCCTGCACTTTGAGAGGCCAAGGCAGGCAGATCACCTGAGGTCAGGAGTTCAAGACCAGCCTGGTCAACATGGCGAAACCCTGTCTCTACTAAAAATATAAAAATTAGCCAGGCATGGTGGCAGATCCATGTAATCCTAGCTACTTGGGAAGCGGAGGCAGGAGAATCACTTGAACCTGGGAGGTGGAGGTTGCAGTGAGCCAAGATGGCACCACTGCACTCCAGCCCTGGGGACAGAGCGAGACTTTCTAAAATAAAAAAATTAATAAAAATTGAACAGACCCCCAATAACAAGCAGAAAAATTGAAATGGTAACTTTAAAATGGCCAACAACAACAAAAAGTCCAGGAGCAGATAGTTTCACAGCTGAATTCTATCAGACATTCAAAGAATTGGTACCAATACTATTGACACTATTCCAAAACATAGAGAAAGAGGGAATGCTCCCTAAATCATTCTATGAGGCCAGTATTACCCTAACACCAAAACCAGGAAAGGACATAATAAAAAAAGAAAACTACAGACCAATATTCCTGATAAACATAGATGCAAAATTCCTCAACAAAATACTAGCTAACCGAATCCAACAACATATCAACAAGATAATCCATCATGATCAAGTGGGTTTCATACCAGGGATGCAGGGATAGTTTAACATACACAAGTCAATAAATGTGATGCACCACATAAACAGAATTAAAAATAAAAATCACACGATCATCTCAATAGACACAGAAAAAGCATTTGACAAAATCCAGCGTCACTTTATGATTAAAACCCTCAGCAAAATCGACATAGAAGGGACATACCTTAACGTAATAAAAGCCATCGATGACAAACTTACAGCCAACATTATACTGAATGGGGGAAAGTTAAAAGCATTTCCCCCTAAGACCTGGAACAAGACAAGGATGCCCACTTTCACCACTTGTATTCAACATAGTACTGGAAGTCCTAGCCAGAGCAATCAGACAAGAGAAATAAAGGGCATCCAAATTGGTAAAGGAGAAATCAAATTGTCACTCTTTGCCAATAATATGATCATATACCTAGAAAACCCTAAAGACTCATCCAACAAGCACCTAGATCTGATAAATGAATTCGGTAAAGTTTCAGGATACAAAGCCAATGTACACAAATTAATAGCACTGCTATACACCAACAGCGACCAAGCTGAGAATCAGAACAAGAACTCAACCCCTTTTACAATCGCTGCAAAAAATAATAATAATAATAAAATTCTTAGGCATACACCTAACACCTAACCAAGGAGGCGAAAGACCTCTACAAGGAAAACTACAAAATGCTGCTGAAAGAAATCACAGGTGGCACAAACAAATGGAAACACATCACATGCTCATGGATGAGTAGAATCAATATTGTGAAAATGACCATACTGCCAAAAACATTGTGAAAATGACCATACTGCCAAATTCAATGCAATTCCCATCAAATTACCATCATCATTCTTCACAGAACTAGAAAAAGCAACCCTACAATTCATATGGGACCAAAAAAAAAAAAAAAAGTTCACATAGCCAAAACAAGACTAAGCAAAAAAAAAAAAAAAATCTGGAGGCATCACATTTTCCAACTTCAAGCTATACTATAAGCATATAGTCACCAAAACAGCATGGTACTCTGGTATAAAAATAGGCACATAGACCAACAGAACAGAATAGAGAACTCAGAAATAAAGTCAAATACAGCCAGCTGATCTTTGACAAAGCAAACAAAAACATAAAGTGGGGAAAGGACATCCTATTCAACAAATGGTGCTGGGATAATTGGCAAGCCACAGGTGGAAGAATGAAATTGGATCCTCATCTCTCACCTTATACAAAAATCAACTCAAGATGGATCAAGGACTTAAATCTAAGACCTGGAACCATAAATATTTTAGAAGATAACATTGGAAAAACCCTTCTAGACTTTGGCTTAAGCAAAGACTTCATGACGAAGAACCCTAAAACAAATGCAACAAAGGTAAATAGATGGTACTTAATTAAACTAAAAAGAAAGAAATAATCAGCAGAGTAAGCAGACAACCCACAGAGTGGGAGAAAATCTTTACAATCTATACTTCCAACAAAGGACTAATATCTGGAATCTACAAGAAACTCAAATCAGCAAGAAAAACAAAACAAATAATCCCATCAAAAAGTGGGCTAAAGACATGAAGAAAAAATTCTCAAAAGAAGATATACAAATGGCCAACAAACACAAAAAAATGCTCAACATCACTAATGATCAGGGAACTGCAAATCAGAACCACAATGCGCCAACACCTTACTCCTGCGAGAATAGCCATAATTAAAAAATAGGTAATGTTGCTGTGGATGTGGTGGAAAGGGAAGCCTTTCACATTGCTGTTGGGGATATAAACTAGTACAACCACTATGGAAAACAGCGTGGAGATTTCTTTTTAATTTTATTATTATTATACTTTAAGTTTTTTAAGTTTTAGGGTACATGTGCACAACGTGCAGGTTTGTTACATATGTATATATGTGCCATGTTGGGAGATTTCTTAAAGAACCAAAAGTAGATCTACCATTTGATCCAGCAATCCCACTACTGTGTATTTTCCCAAAGGAAAAGAAGTCATTTTATTTAAAAAAAAAAAAAAAAGACACTTGCACATGCATGTTTATAGCCATACAATTTGCAATTGCAAAAATATGGAACCAGTCCAAATGTCCATTCAGCAACGAGTGGATAAAGAAAATGTATATATATATATATATATATATATATATATATATATGCACACACACACACCATGGAATACTACTCAGCCATAAAAAGGAATAAAATAATGCATTCACAGCAACCTAGATGGAGTTGGAGACCATTATTCTAAGTGAAGTAACTCAGGAATGGAAAACCAAACATTGTATGTTCTCACTTATAAATTGGAGCTAAGCTATGAGGATGGAGGATGAGAATGATACAGTGCACTTTGGGAACTCAGGGGAAAGGGTGGGAGTGAGGGTGAGGGGTAAAATACTACACATTGGGTAGTCTACTACACTGCTCAGGTGTAGCAGCAACAGTGCACACTGCTTGGGTGATGGATGCACCAAAATCTCAGAAATCACCTCGAAAGCACTTATCCATGTAACCAAACACCACCTGTTCCACAAAAAACTATTGAAAATTTAAAACTACCATTATGGTAACCGAAGCCATTTGTTTCTCTTATTTTTTAGTCATTGGATTTTGAATTCTGGCATGCTGGAAAAATTTTTAAAATCAAATACCAGATGGTGTGTAATAAAAATTGTAGAGATTATTTGAAACTCCAGATAATGTTATCATTCTCCAGAGAGAATTTACTTTTGTTTCTGGTGGGCAGCTGAGGTAGAGGAAGTTCATCTTAATTCCTTATCTGGGATCAAGCTGATTTATAGCTGGGTTCAGTCTTTACAAAGGCTAGTGTATATCTTGTTTGGTCTTACTCTCTAGACTCTCGCTCTTAAATGCCCCAGTTGAAAGTCCAGGGTGTTTATCAGGGCCCTTTCTGGACCTGGTCTTATTTTTGTCCCTTACACCCCATGAGGCCACCTACAGCTCAGCGTCTTAGCCTCTAGGCTGTCACTCACGATCAGCCAATGTCTGGAGGAGAAGTCATGCTGGATATTGCATCACCGTGGTGCTTGTCTTCTGCCCAGACCTGTGCACAACCGGCCTCAAGGTCTTACCACCTCAGTAGCTCTCCAGTCCTTTTGAATATATATTTATATAAATATAAAATATATATTTTTAAATCTAGTGTTTATTTTGGTAGGAGAGACATCAAATCTGATACTAACTCCTTCCGCTTAGACAGAAGAACAGGGAAGGAGGAGATGTAGGCAACAGAGGAGACTGAAGCTACTGTGCCTTAAAACCCTGTTTTGGCCTGTCCATATGGAACAGTCACAGAGCTGTCTCACTGTCCCAGTCACCTGGGGCCTTCCCTGTTCTCCACGAGAGTCAGCATGCGGGGCTGCTAACAGGATGCCCAGCAGGATGACACGAGAGCCTGATAAGTGAGGGTGCACCCAGCTTACACCTTCTCACGGTGCAGATCTCAGCCTAAAGGCCCCTCTTGGGAGCTGCCATCCTGGACCCCTCTCTCCAAAGCAGCTCTGTCCTTGCGCCTTCCCTCACACATTGTCTCTACCATGCTCTGAAATTCTCTTATTTACTGTGTACTTGTTTATTGTCACCCTCCCCCACCTCAGCCTCATATCAGCACCTGCCCCCCTACCACCACCACCACCACCACCAGCCTCTTGGGACTCGAGTGTTCTGGTAAGAGGGGGAGAGGACTGTGGCTTATCTCAACACTTAGACATCATCTCCAGCATCTCCTTCACCTGCAGCAAGGGGCCAACCCTCAGTACCAGCGTGCGCCACCTCCACTGTTTCCCCAAAGTCTGCCCACTCCCGAGGTGGGGAAGCTCCTATGGCACTGCATCCCATCCCAGAATATGCTTATTACAAATTATAATCACCTGTGTACAAGTCTACCTCCCCAAGGAGACCATGGGGCCGGAACGTGCCTTTTCTGTTCATTCAAGTGTTCATGCCTGTCTCTCTCACCTGATAAGGCGAGGAGGAGTTTCTGCTCACTAGTCCTTCCCCCGCCCCCGTGGGCCGCAGAGCACCTGACACCATCCAGAGGTTCCCGTGGCTCCAGGCTTCTCTCCATGCTACCAGCCAATTTCTGAGCCCTGTCTCTGAGCCAGACCCGTGCTCGGTATGTACATGGAGTGCGTTATTCCATCCTTACGACCTAGGAGACAGGAACTGCCAATTCTGTGAGGTAGGGGCCGTGAGCCTCGTTTTACAGATAAGAAGGAGGAGGCACAGGAGAGGTTAAGTCGCTCAGCCAAAGTTACGGCAGGGAAGTCCCGGGGCAGGGACTCAAACCCAGGCTGTGTGGCTCTGGCTGCCACAGCCTGAGCCCCTATTCGAGACC
Organism: Homo sapiens; assembly: GCF_000001405.40. Lineage (NCBI taxonomy): Eukaryota > Metazoa > Chordata > Mammalia > Primates > Hominidae > Homo > Homo sapiens. The sequence continues at coordinate 173,973,511 of NC_000005.10, read as the reverse complement.
GCGCCAATCACAGCATCCGTCACACTGTGTTATGGTTGTTTCTCTCTTCCCCTCCACGGAGCTTCTCCCGGAGGGAGACAGTCGACCAGAAGAGTGAAGAATGCAGGAAGGGCTGATTGGAAGCGGGGAGCCTTTGTCTTGCTCAGCTGACATTGTCCACCAGGTGGCAGTCACAGCTCCCGGATAAAGTCGTCCCTTTTCATCTCCCCCCTTCCCCTTTAAGAAGGAAACCCTTTTTTTCCCCCGACGCCGCCTCCCTCAATTTTTATTATTACCAAGAAGTGAAGTGAGTAGCCTCAACTCAAAACACGACTCCCTGCCTGAGCTTTTTGAAAACGGCACGTGGAGAAGGTGCGTCTCCAACCCCCGTGAGCCGCGGCGCAAGCGGAGAGAGGCAGGCGGGCTTGGGGGTGCGCAGCCTGGGAGCCCAGGATCCATGACGTGAGATGGAATTTCAGCCCACAAAAGAGGTGACTGGCTCCTCCCTCCCCACCCCTCATCAAACAGCTGCAGGAGCGCAGTTAACCAAACGGTGCATATTCCTAGTCATGAATTCCATTTGGCCAGCAGCAGGTCTGGGACATATGGTCCCCTGAGGACACCTCGGGGATGGCTGTCAGGAAAGGGCCTACCCACCTCATCTGCCTGAAATGCTGTTCCTTCACCCTCCGCTAGTTCTGCCACAGCTTCTGGCAGCTTCCATTGTGTTCCCAAGAGTGGAAAGGGGACTGATTCGGGGGGAGTGGGGAGCCGGAACACACCTTGCTCCTAAGTCCCCTAACTTTCAAAGTGCTAACCCCAGGACTGCTCTGTGAGGGAAAGAGGCCCAGGCCAATTCTATGTGTTGAGGGGAAGAGAGATTTCCTTTTTTATAATAAACAAATTGTGGGCCGGGTGCGGTGGCTCACGCCTCTAAATTCCAGCACTCTGGGAGGCCGAGGCGCGCGGATCACCTGAGGTCAAGAGTTGGAGACCAGCCTGGCCAACATGGCGAAACTCCGTCTCAACTAAAAATATAAAAATTAGCCAGGTGTGGTGGCGGGCGCCTGTAATCCCACCTGTTCAGGAGGCTGGGGCGGGAGAATCGCTTGAACCTGGGAGGCAGAGGTTGCAGTGAACCGAGATGGCGCCACTGCACTCCAGCCTGGGCGACAGATCAAGACTCCATCTCAAAAAAAAAAAAAAAAAAAACCACACACAGAAATTGATATATTTTAAATGTGTATGTTAAACAAATAAATAAATGCTATTAACCCTCAAAGTACAATGTAACATCCTTGTGCTCTTGTTGAGAATTAGGGGAAGATTGGATTCTTTGTGGGTTACCACAGAGGGTGTGATAATGGTACCAAGTTGAAAGGTGTTCAGGGCTCAATGCTATGATACCAGGCAGTGGAGCTCTATGGCTATTGTTCAGCCTTCAGATAATGTCAGCTGTCTCCATTTTCAGTCCTTTGTGAATGAAAGGACCCTGGGCCCAGGGGACCTGGCCCAACCCTGAAGGAATGGGAGGGCCCCACCCCTACAGGGAACTGAGATACAATTCTCTAGACCTGGTAGCAGGAAAACTGAGTGTTTCCTCCCTCCCCCTGCTGCCTCCACACCACAAAACCAACACAGACACACACCTGGGTTTTGCGCCCAGTCTCTTAATTAAGTTGCCTGCATCATCACTTCCATCTCATTTTCCTTCCAGAACCGCCCTTCCCGCCCCCGCCAAATTAGAGCACCGCTTGATCAGAATTAGAGTCTGTTTCATGCAACTAAGTATTAATACCACTCCTTACTTGTTGAAGCAGGATCTCATACCCTTTCAGATAAGCAAAGAATTTCAATGAGACTTCAGAGGACAGGGAGGGGATTGGGGTAACAGTCTCCCTTTGTAATCGATACCTTCCTTTTGAAGGTTCTGTGTGTCTAGGCAGGATTAGAACTGGCCTTGTTTCCTTCTGACTTCATGAAAGTTTTGCCTTTGCTGAAGTGTTCCAAGGGAACGAGATTAGTAATGCGTTGTAAATTGTGTTTCCTCCCAAAATAGTAGGGCACGTGGGACTTTGCCAACTCTCAAGTCACGCGCACGTGTCTTCCTCACTGCCCACGTTCTCTCTGACACGAAGAGCTAACGTGGCCCGGTTCTGCTGCCATCCTCCACTGACACCAGTGACACCAGCGCCACTGCTATCCCCTCCTAAGGGCTTCTCCTGCCCCACTCGGGCTCCTTTACAATCTATTCTTCCCACAGTTGTCCTGGTGATCGCAAATCAGTCCCATTCCTCCCCTGCAGCTACTCTTCACTGACTCTCCCTCTGTGTAATTAGAAATAAAATCTAAAGTCTCTACTGGGCTAACAAGGTCTTGTCTTGTGCAGCCCCTCCACCTCTCTGAGCTCAGGTGCGCCCCCTGGCTCACTGTGCCCGGCCACACTGCTCTTCCTTGCACATTTATCAAGCTCAGTCTTGCCCCAGGACACTTGCACGTGCTATTTCCTCTGTCCAGAATACTTTCTCCTCACAGTTTAGCATGGCTTGTGTTTTCTCATTATTCAGATGTGTTTAAATCTCACCTGTCAAGGAGGCCTTCTCTAATCGCCCAGTTAACATAGCCCCACTCCTTCCTAGTCTGCACTGTATTAGCTGGTTTAATTTCCTCGAGGCTTAGCACTAATGTTTTCCTACTTATGTACGTGTTTACTTGGTGACCGTCTGATGAGTTCCCTTTCCCAGGACATAAATGCCAAGGGAACAGGGACTTTGCTGGATTTGTCCCCACAATGTCCCCAGAGCCTGGGACAGTGCAAATACTTGTTGGATGAATGACTGAATGAATAAAGAAACTCCCTGATGCAATGCTCTTTTGCAGATCAACAACTTTGGGTAACAGTTATAAAGTCGCAAATTCAGATTAGTGGTTCTGTGCATAACAGTAGTGCCTTATCTTTTCACGGCATTCTTTCCCGAGATCTTCCCAATGACGCCCATCACATTTCACTAAGGCTGCACTGCTGAAGCTGAAGTGACTCACCAAAATCCGACACAGCAACACACACACACACACACACACACACACACACACACACACATACATCCCAGGGCTCAAACCCAGGCCTTTGTCTCCAGAACATAAATGCCAAGAGGACAGAGCCTTTACCTGTCTTGTCCCCACAGCATCCTCGGGGCCTAAGAATAACAAATATTTGTTGAAGAAATAAATAGATGAATGAATGAGCAAACTCCCGGATGGAATTTTTTCCCTGGGACTAAGGCAAATTCTAGAAAACAGATTCCAGCCTCATCTGGCTGGTCTGCTCAGACATAGAGGGGAGCCAGCCCTTCCTTTGCTTTTGTCCTCCCTGTCCCTAGGGCCTGGGTCAGGCAGGAGGCCCACCCACAACCCCCCCAGGCTCTGCTCTCCCTGCCGCTGCACTCATTCTGACAGCGTTACTCCCAGGTCTGAACGTTCACGGCTTTCTCAAGAACTAACTTCTATGGAGAAGCAGTAGCATGGAGCCCACTGGATAGCTTGGTAGAGATGTAGTCTCAGGCTCCCAGCGCTGCTGACTCGCAACCTGTATTTTGACAAGATCCTCAGGTGAACTTTTTGCCTGTACTTCTCTGAGTGCTCCAGGCTACCTTTATCAGGCATTCTGATATCCACTTTCCTTGTGAAACATCCAGCCTTGGGGCCCCATAAGCTGTGGGCCTCTAATCCTGAAGCACAGCCCTCCTCTGCATGGCAATTTTGAAAGCCGGTCTAAGAAAGAGAGCTCACATAGGGATCCTGTTAGTCACCCATTCAGCAAACATTTAGTAAGTGCTTACCAGGAGCAAGGCACATGATGGGTCCTGAGGACACAGGCGAGCAAGAGAATGTTTGTTTCCTCCCCCAAGAAAGGTAAACAAATGATAGGCAGTGACAATTATGCATCCTATTTAGTGCTGAGTCAGGAGTGCTTCTGATAACAAATAAAACATGATGGCCAGGAGGGCTTCAGAGAGACCCAGGAAGTCCTCTCAGAGGGAGGAGGTGATGGTGATGTGCCAGCTGACTGCAGAAGGAGAAGTGAGGAGCCAGCTCCACGTGGAGCTGGGTCGAAGCAAGGAAGGGAGCAGGGCAGGAGCAGGCAGAGACTTTCCTAGGAGGCAGGTGAGAGGACGGTGCACCAGGGAAGGGGACCTGCATTACCAGAACGGTGGCCCAGGCAGAGCGGCGGCAGCCCGCCGTCAAGAAGGGGAAATAGAAGGGCAGGCTGGGAGCCAGGGCCAGGTCTTGCAAGGCCTTGGGGTGGATTTGATTTCCAGGGCAATGAGCCACTGCTGTTGGGGTGTTTTGCAAGGCAGGGGCAGAGGCGGTCAGGTCTCTGTTCCACCCTAGCTGCGGGGGTGGAGGCTGGAGGCTATATCTCCATCTCTCTGAGAGGTGAGGGGACTTTCCTTAGGTAGTTGGGGCCAACAATGGTCAGATCTGGGGCAATAATGTTAATGATACTGGGGACCCCTCATGATTATGACTGAAGCACATTTTTCGTGAATACCTTGTTAAATCCTAACCTCAAACCAGTGATGAAGATATTATTTGCCCCTTCTAATGCATGAGAAAGCCGATTCTTAGAGGTTACCTAATGTGGTCTGGGTCACTCGGTCCGTCAGCAGTAGTCCAAGGATAGAAACCCCGTTGGTATCACCCCAAAGCCAAGTCCCTAACCACAATGCTTCCTGTCTTTGGCGTTTGAGCCCAGCTATGCCTAACTCCCAGAAGCAAGTCAGGTCTACTATCCCACATGGTGTCTGGGCTCCCTTCACCCACCTTTTGCAGTTTATAAGGACAAAGGGGAAAAAATTGCAGAACTAAAAATTCTGTTTCCTCAAAGGCAGTATCACTGAGCTGTCGCTGAAGGACACAGGGCCTAATTTCCAACTCCTCTTCCCACCTCCTGATTCTTTCTCTAAAGGGAAAGATTTGGGGCTTATCCAAAGTTTCCAGAAAACCAGTCCCAGGACACAGCCCCTCTGGAGTTTCTGTCCAGTTTGGTAGCACACATTCAACCCCCTCTGCTGCCGCTCATGACTCCCAGACGTGGGCGGAATCCTCCAGTTCCTAAGATGGAAAGAGGGAGACAGCAAGAGCTGGGCACTGCGGTAGCAGCAGGGCCTGGAGTCGCAGAGCCTTCTCGGTCACCATGGCAACTGTTGTAGGCTGGATGGGGTGGGAGCCAGAGAATCCACAGGAGGAAAGGAATGTGGGAGAGGGGCATCCCGGGGTTCCTAGCCCCTGCACTGGGCAGTGACCCTGCCACCCACCTCTGCCCTCAACTCAGCACTGGGACTGGCACTTTGTCAGTGGATAGATAATAGTAGCAAACAACGATGATGATAATGAGTTAACACTTACTGAGTGCTTACTCCGTGCTAAACACAGTGCTACGTGCTACCAGCATCAGATGATAGACCCCGGCTTCCAACCATTATGGAGCTCCACTCTCCATGTAGAATTCAAAGGAAAGAATATTACAAAACGTGTATAAGGAAAGCCAAGAAAAAAATTCCAGTTTTTCCCCATTATGGGTGATAACTGTGTTAATGCAAAATTGCCCCACCCTGGGGAGAACGATGAGGGTGTGATCAGGAGTGTGGAAGGCCTTAGATCCCTAGTTATGGGCCGTGTGTGTAGAGGGTGCTGTTACCTTCTGGACACAAAATTACATGCAATAGTTAAATTCTTCTCCTCTCTCTTCTTGACCTCCTCATTCTCCCTACTCTCCCCCTTAAACTCCTCCTCCTCACCCTCCGACACCCCTTATGGAGGGCTGCTGATCCTGACTTAAGTACAACACTTACGAGACTAAATCTGATTTCCCAGGTTGCATCCTCTCCAGCTTTAGAATTTCATGTTTGGTCTTTGTAGGAGTTGAACTTTGGGAAGGGGCAAAGAAAAAGGAAGTTGCTGATGACTGTATTTGACCATGGTCTTAACGTCTCCCTCAGAAGGGCGTTTTGCTGCAAATCTAGGTTCAGAGATTCTAAGTTGATTCTTCCAGGCTCTACAGCATCACATCTGCTCAAGAACAGCTGTTTAGGCTGCGGCAAGGATCAAAGCCATGTGTAATTCAAAGCTCCAGTGCTCTAAAAATGGCAGACACTGCCTCTCTTTACATATATACACACACATATATATATAAAAAGTCAGGAATATAAATTCTCTGTAGAAATCTATTTTGATGCTTCTGACATCTGAATCCAAAAGCAAAACGTTCAAGTGCTGTTTTAAAATTCACGAGGACACATCCGTAAGTCTCTCCCCCATTCCTTTGGATTTCAGGACTATTTTTGTGAGATTACATAGACCGTGCAGATATCAAAGGATCAGATGCATGAGAGGAGGCTTGATTTTCTATATAGAGCATGTTGGTCAATTATAGTTCTATAGAAAAAAGTAAAACCCTTTCTTCTTGGTGGGATTTTTCTTTGCATCTAAAAAACATATATCTGAGATATACAGAGATATACATGTCTCTATATATACACATAGACATATAGATACACATATAGAGAACCTGTCTGTACCAGAAATAAAAAATTAGCTGAGTGTGGTTATGCTCATCTGTGGTCCCAGCTACTCAGGAAGCTAAGGTGGGAGGATCACTTAAGCCCAGGAGGTCAAAGCTGCAGTGAGCCATGATGGTACCACTGCACTCCAGTCTGGGTGACAAAGTGAGACCCTGTCTCAAAAATAAAATAAAATAAAATAAAATCTATCCCTCCAACCACTTACCTATCTATCTCTTCATTATTTAGCAAGCTGGATAGCCTTCCTCGGAACCCATGTGATTTTGGTTAGTTGGGCCTCATCTTAGTCCCTTGAGAATTTGGGGATGGCATAGCTACAACACAGATTAGCTGTCACACTATTCATTGGTGAGTTTTTAACCAACGCAGGGGAATAAATGAAATTTTAATCAAATTTCCCTTTTAGGTTGGACATTTCTAAGGGGTGAGGTGAAACAGGCAGGACCTGCGTGCCTGGATTTGAATCCTGGCTTTGCAGATTAGTTAACGTTTTTGAACCTTGGTCGCCTTAAAATGAGATACTGTATAATGACAGTATCTATGACATAGGCTTGTGGGGAGGTAGAAAGGAGATCCCTATATCAAATGCCTAGCACTTGGAAAGCACTCCACCAATGTTGTAGTTATTATTAATATTTTGAGATGGAGTCTTGCTCTGTTACCCAGGCTGGAGTGCAGTGGTGCGATCTCAGCTCACTGTAACCTCCACCTCCTGGGTTCAAGAGATTCTCCTGCCTCAGCCTCCTGAGTAGCTGGGATTACAGGCGTGCGCCACCATGCCTGGCTAATTTTTGCATTTTTAGTAGACATGGGGTTTCACCATGTTGATCAGGCTGGTCTCGAACTCCTGATCTCGTGATCTGCCCACCTTGGCCTCTCAAAGTGCTGGGATTACAGGCATGAGCCACCGCCCCCGGCCTTATTATTATTATTCTCACTCCTAAAATTGTGTTTCTGGAATTCTTGGGTTTACAATACTAGAGAAAAGGGCCCTCCTTTTTCTTTGTTTCCTACTCCAAACTGATGTGTCTCTCTTGGTGGTTGGATCAAAGAGAAAGAATATGTACTAAGAAGTCTGTACTGTACTTCCTTAAAGTGAATAGAAATGTCATTTCAACTACCTTGTCCCTACTCCTAAAATATATACCCAGTTCTGGCCTCTGAGCCATACTCATGGGCTTAATGGAAGCCAGTAAGGCAGACAAGAACTGCAGAGGTGGGCCTGAGCCACCTGAGCTTGACAGAGCTCAAGGACTTCCCTCTGGCCTCCTTATCTGCCTCCCTACTAACTAATTACATGACCTCGAGCACCTGTCTTAGCTGAGAGTCAGTTTTTAAGAGAGGAAGTGGCCACATTTTAGGACTCACAATCAAAACTCACATTTGCTCTTACAAAGTTTATTTTTATTTTTTATTTTTAAAATTAGAGGCAGGGTCTTGCCATGCTGCCCAAACTCGTCTTGAACTCCTGGCCTCAAGTGATCCTCCCACCTTCCAAAGTGCTGGGATTACAGGCATGAGCCATTGTTCCCAGCCATTGTACAACTTTTGAGTTTTTTTGGTTTTATTTTGTGGTGTTTTTGTTTTATCCCCCAAGATGGTCTCACTTTGTTGCTCAGGCTGGAGTGCCATAGTGAGATCGTGGCTCACTGCAGCCTCCACCTGCTGGGCTCAAGCGATCCTCCATCTCAGCAGCCCCCTTCCCCCGCAGCAGCTGGAACGACAGGCACACACCACCATGCCCAGCTAAGTTTTTGTTGTTGTTGTTGTTGTTGTTGAGACGGGGTTTTGCCATGTTGCCCAGGCTGGTCTTGAACTCCTGGGTTCAATTGATCCTCAGCCTAGGTCTCCCGGAGTGCTGGGATAACAGGCGTGAGCCACCGTGCCCACCCATCTTACAACTTTTGTTTTATCATCCTATCTCTATAGTTTCAAATATGACAGTTACACCCAGATTAGGTTTAGGAATGAAACTTTTCTTTTAAAAACAAAATAAAACTTGAATAAAAAGCCCTGATCCTGTTCATTGCTAATCCAGCGGCAAGAAGGTTTAAAGGAGAAGATTTGAGATTAGTAGATGAGAATTGGGACCTAGGCACATCCCAGCCTTGGCCAAATCACCCACCTTCTCCATGAGACAGTTCTATGATCTGTTCAATACCTCATGGAAGTGTTATCCTTGCTAATGTATGTAAGGGCCTGATATATAACAGGGGATCAGCATTTACTAGTTTCTTCTGAACCAAATCATTCCGTCATTGAAGTCAGCAGTGCTGAGAGTCATCTGATGGATGTGACTATTCCACATTCCCACCCTCACCCCACCCCACCCTCACCCCACCCTCACCCCACCCCACCCCACCCCAACCCTCACCCTCACCCCACCCCACCCTCACCCCACCCCACCCTCACCCCACCCCACCCCAACCCTCACCCTCACCCCACCCTCACCCTCACCCCACCCCACCGTCACCCTCACCCCACCCCACCCTCACCCACCCTACCCCACCCAGCACGCTGTTGGAATCAAACCTTCTGTCACCAAACACTCAAGGACCCACAGCACTTTTCCCTCAAACATGAAAGGGGAATTGTGCCTTTGAAGCGGCGTTGTGGTCTGGGGTAAGTACCCGAGGTTCGTCGTCTCGTGCCAGGGAAATCAACAACGCGGACATACAAGAAGTGAGTTTAACCCTGGAGGTTCAATAAGCAAAAGAAAGAGAATAGCTCTCTCTCTTAGGAGAGAGAGGGGCTCCCGGGTGGGACTTCCGGCTCCACAATGAAATGCATGGGATTTTATAGATGAGCTTGAGGAGGCGTGTCTGATTCACGTAGGGCCAGAGAGATTGGTCGGACCAGGCGTGACACTTGCATCACGCACAAAGAAGCTGGCCATCCCACCCTAATCTTTTATTATGCAGATGGGGGTCTCTACCTGGCCAACGCCATGTTGCCTGCCTTTCTACTGCACACATAGCGACAAAGAAAAGGAAGAGGGAGCCTCCATGTTGAACATGCCTGGCCCCCAGCTAGCCTTTTCCTGTTGGCACAGCTGCCGGCATTTACCTATGCAGGCTTCCAGCTTGCTTATTTATGTCTGCAGCTCGATTTTACAGGCTGCTCTTTGTTAGAAAAGAAATGATTTGGGGGCTGCTTTTTGTTAAAAGGGAAGCCTGAGGACTCTCTTACCCTCGCTAACCGCCTAAATAATTTCCTTTTAGCTCCTGTATCACCTTCATTCCTCCAAATAAGGAAGCGCCAGGTCTTTCTTGGATCCTAGCTAAAACATTCTTTGCAGCTTCACATAATTATTTTACCACCACCCCTCCCGGTTCTCTTCCTGGGTAACTGATTTCACGAGTTTAAAATGCCCTGCTGCCTTTGGTGGGTTCTGGGGAGTCACTCCTAGGTCTCACAGGGAGGTGGGAGAAGAGTTGAAAATAATCTCTTTAAAATGGTGACATTTGCTTGATCACATTGACATTTTTAGGGTATCAAAGCCGGGCTTCCTGAAATAGAACTCCGATGAAAAGGATAAAGAAAGCTCAAGCTTAGCTGCTGGCATTTGCGTGCACTGATTCACCACCTCCAGCCCAGCTACCCACAGGCAGTTTTTCCCTGACACTGAATCAAATTACACGCAATACTAAAGGCTGGAGGTTTGCTCACATTCTGATTTGGGATGCTGCTGTTCATTTTTAACTTCCCTGAGACAATGTGTACTTTTCCAACTCTGGTCACCACGCTGAATCACAATAAGACACTTTTTCCAGACAGCCAACAATGACACCCAGCTTGACTAGAGAAAGATGATAACCCAAAATATCCTGAGAAGACTCAAGGCACGGCAAAATAAAATGTTCTCTAATGAGGACGACTGAATTGGTATTGCTAGGTAAGAGTTCCTAGTGGGGCGCAAATGTTCATTTTCTAAATTCTTAGAATTTATTCAAAGCCAGTGGCGCCTATTCTCAAGAGAATCAGCGGGTGAGGGGTGCTGAGGGAAGTTTGCAAAAGAAAATTTTGAAGGAGGATATAGGAATGATGAGAAAGGGAGACAGCATATCATAGAATGGCAGATTCAAAGCACTAGCTGCTTGTCTCAAGTGGCATTTGAGGCACTCATGAGAAACAAGGGCTGGTCTGAGACAGTGAAAAGCATAATCAAAATAGCTTTATTGTGCAAAGTAACTTCTCTTTTTCTTTCTTCTGGGATGGTAGTAGAGGGAAGACGAATTAGGAGGATGCACTGGAACTAGGACAGGGCTTAGAAGCTACGTAAGTACCTAGAACTCCAGTAAAGTAGGTGTGGGCAATGAAAGCAGCTCTGAAAGTGGCTCACAAGTGGCAGGGCCAAGCACCCTTCCAGAACACATGTATGGATGCCAAAAAACAAAGTGGGGTTTCAAAGCTTCTTGAAACATACTAAAATGTTACAGTGGTATAGCCCAAAGTATGTTCCATGTGTTACCTGTAAACAGAATCTGTAGTCAGAGAAATTGGAGTGAGAGGGACACTTTCAACAAAGTAAATAGGTTTCTGGCTGGGCACGGTGGCTCACGCCTGTAATCCCAGCACTTTGGGAGGCCAAGGCGGGCGGATCACCTGAGGTCAGGAGTTCGAGACCAGCCTGACCAACATGGAGAAACCCCATCTCTACTAAAAATACAAAATTAGTTGGGCATGGTGGTGCATGCCTGTAATCCCAGCTACTTTGGAGGCTGAGGTAGGAGAATGGCTTGAACACGGGAGGCAGGGGTTGCAGTGAGCTGAGAGCACACCATTGCACTCACTCCAGCCTGGGCAACAAGAGCAAAACTCCATCTCAAAAAAATAAATAAATAAAATAAAATAAAATAAAATAAAATAAAAAAGATTTCTTCATTGTAGAATTTCTTGAAGTCTTAATAAGCTAATGTGCAAATGTGCATTATTTTGACTTTGCAAGAAACAAGGTGACCCATTTTCTAAGTGTATTTAATGGTAAAACTTTATTTTTTTTTGTCTTTTTCTTGTGGAAAGGACTATCCTAGTCCTCTGAAGATCACAGTCTGAAATATTAGAGTTTTGTCTTGTTTATTATTCGGTTATTACACATTTCAGAAAATAATTACTCCTTAAAAATTTCTAACTCACTGACACCTTCAGTATTCTTCAATTTTTAAAATCAGAGATTACTTTCCCCATGACTTTTGATCAAACTATTTCCCAAACTTAAAAAAAAAAAAAAATCCCTAGAAAAAGTACTTACTTTCTGATCTAGCTGTGGACACAAACACCCATTACCAAAAGGGGTTATGAAATGACTTGATTGTTAAGAGTGTGGTAGAGAATTTCCACTGTTTATTCATCTGGTTAGACAGTAAAAACAAAAGATAAAAATAAAAAGAATTTTCCTCGTTGGGTAGGTTTAGGCAATCAGTGAATGAAGAAATATAGCCCAGGAAGCCTCTTACACCCTTTCCAGACACACCATTCTGTGATTTAAAACACCCAAAGCAATGCACCTATGTAATTTCAAGATAGAGTTGTTATATCACATATCATTGATATCTCACTTACCTGAAATAAACATTTCCTAAAATAAACTAAATATGCTTGGGCTATCTTTTTTTTCTTTTCTTAAAATAGTGAAACCATCCCAGAATGCCTAGGAATATTATAGACTTGATAACCAAATGCCACCCACATCTCCAGTGTCCCATCCCTGGGGTTTCCTCAAGGCCCTTCATTGAATGCTCAACGTAAGGTTTGGGAATTGCCAGATGAGAGAAAGGGGAAGCTGTCCAGCCTGCCCTTACCCTCAGTAATCTCTATAGTTAGAAGAGCTGCCTGTTGGGAAAGACAACTTAGACGCAAAAGATCTCATAGTCCATTTCTCTCAGGACAAGAACCTCTTCTAGTCTTGAGAATACTATACTCAAGAAAGAACAGATATTAAATCTGACAAAACAGGATATTCTCAGTGTTATATTTTGTTATAATAAATCCTTATGTTAAAAGTTTGAGAATGCAGTTTAAAATATAAATACTAACACATTACAGCACTTGGTAGTCCACATGATTAATGGATCAAATCAAAGATAATATTTTCAATTGACATGCCATAGAGATTATAATCCCACACACCGTATCCTATGACATTAAGGTCTATGGAGGAACTGGGAATTGGAAGTCAAAAGAGACTTGTTTTCAAGCCCTTTGGTAGTGTGGCCACAAATCAAGACTATTCATTGACAAAGACTCAAAACTGAACCTCCCAGATACGGACTTTCATTATTAACTAAACATTGGGTTTTTCACTTTTGTTGGGCATTTGGCCTTCAACTGATAACTGAATGCTTAGATCCTGGGCTTACTCCCTGTATACATATTGAAGGCTACAAATAAAAAGAACTCTGCAGGGCAGGCAGCAGGTGAACTAACAGTACAGGCCAAAGACACAACCACCCACCGACGCTTATAGGCTTACATAAGAATGCACACTGGCCACAGTACTTATATGACTGAAGATTTTTTCCTATTGGTTTGTGCTGCATTAGCTGAACAGTATATTCCTAATATTTTAAAATGTTACATTCCCAGTCAAGAAAGCATCATCTACTTGTGTTAAAAAGAAATAAGTATATTAAAAGAAATCTGAGTTAAAAGTTTTATTCATTCAACATCTCACATTACAAATATTTAAAAATTATATGCATACTGGTATAAATAGTCATTTGCAAACTATTTAATAACATTAATTTTTCACTAGCACTTCAACAAATGAACTCTTTTAAAAAAGGAACTGTGTTATATAACTTAAGAGTAGAACATACAAAAATAGGAACTTAACGTGAAAATGACTTTAATAAAAAATGAATTACCCTTATTTAAAATGCTATAATAAATACTACAACCTCCCCATACACAGTAAAAACTATATGGAAATTCAGCCAAGTAGTACAATTAACTGACATACTTAAATAACTTTTCCTTCTGATAATATGAGCAATACACTGGAAAAAAAATTAGGGATTAGTAAAAACTAGACACCCACTTGCTAAAAGTTTCACTTCCAAAAAATATAACAAAAATCTGATGAAAATTATAAAAACTAATTATACTTTAAATTTTAAAAATATAAAAAATAAAACAGTTGAATACAATATTGTCCCGATTCTTACAATGCTATCAATCACAGTAGCTTTAAAATAATAAAATAAAGCAAATGACCAAAACCTCTTTTATTCCATTTTTAAAAATAATCTCAAATTTACATTAGTAGAAAGATTGATTTCTGATTCTTTTCTTTAGAAACACCAGCAAGAAAGAGGATTACTCTTAACAGTAGAAAATGACATTTTTAAATGTCTGCAATTAAAAACAAAGAATTACACTGCAAAGATCTTTCAAAAGTTTGAAATAAGTATTGCACATAACTTGAAGTTAACTTGCCACAATTCATCACATTCAAGTTTTAAATCACCTTTTAACAGAAGATTCAACTCTTCAAAACAAAAGGGGTGAATTATCAAGTCTTTCCAACAGCACTCTCATAAAATGCTAAATTCATTCACTGCAAGTTTTATTTTGCATTCTGCAGAGGTCTGTGTATGGAGAAGTATATATATTATACCAAAGCGCAGGGACCAGAAGGGGAAAGGAGAGGGTTCCTTTACATAGAAAATAATCAGAAACACTTTATTTTACATTGCAAAAATCACCATGTAATTACTCTGTAACTACATTGTAAGTACATGGCTGGCGCCATGCTAGTGCGCTAGAACTACATGCTTGGTGAATTGAAGTGATGCCCTACAATCTGTAAACTAATTACATGTTAATTATGTTTGAGTTACATGGTAACTCCCAACTACAATCCCATGTAATCTGAAGAACATGTAATCATAAAGTTCAGAGTAATAGATAATCATTGTTTATGCCCTGTAAATTGAAGTGTAACCAATAATCTGTAAACACACTTGTCACACAATCACAAGTAAATATTAGTAGAATAACAATTTCTTACATTAGTCATGCACACTAACATTACACACCTGTCCCAAGGCAGGCTATTTTTTTTCCTTATATATAATTTAAAAGAGCAGACATCTCTGAATCAAACACTTAACATCAATTTATTAATATTAAAAATGGCTAAACATTCACCAAAAATGTCTGCATTTTATGAATAATTTTAAAAACTTAGTAAGAAGCTGTAGACAATTTTGTTATTTTAATTTCTACCTTATGCTTATGCATTTAATTTTTTTTTTAGGAACTACAGTGTTATCTGTCATTTTCATGCGAATTTTTTTCATTAATTTGTGACTTTACATAGACTATTTCTTAAATTATAGGTACACCAATAGCTGGTGCTGGGGAAGGATGTTTAAGCAACATGCTTTCTCTTCTCTGCAGACTCTAAAATAGCATTGCCAGTGCACGACATTCATAATTTAAAATGTATGCAGAGCACTGAAATGTATAAAAAGCAGAATATAAGAAAATAAAATTTATTAAAATTATTTATATTAAAAAATGAAGTATATGAAGATCTCTCAGTAATAAAAGTACAAAAAGCTACTCTTTGCAATATGAAAAATTGAGGTATTGCATAAAGAGATATCCCGTCAGTGAAAAGTGTGCCTAAAAATGTTCACTGTTGGAAAAACAAGATATACAAAAGTAGTGCATAACAAATATACATTATGTGCATGACAAAATAAGTTAGCTACAAAAACACTGTACCGAAATTCAGCAGGTCATGTACAAAGGGAAAAATTATTATTCAAAGCTAGTTCTCAAACAGTGTTATTTCTTGTTAACTCATCACACCTGTTTACTGAGTAGGAACAGCACGATAGCACACCCCAAGCCACCTACAAGCATTTAAAAGAGTAAAAAGAGGCAAATGAACATTCCAATTAGAATCATGTAGTTCAGGAGAAAAGAAAAAAAAGTCCCTGACCAGCTACACAAGAGCACCCTCCATTCGCATGACTGCTTTCAGTATTTGCAGGGAATTCTTTAAAAGCAGCTCCCTTTCTATGTTTGAATATTAGACAGCAAATGCCTCCATTTTGACCTTTGGAACTTAACAGGTATAGTTCATTAAAGCCTGTATTAAAAGTAAAGGGCTGCTTTTCCTAAAGATCATCCATAGGGGTCATAAGCCAGGTGGTTCCACAGCAGTGCTGGGGCAAGTCTTTGGTTTTGAAGGATCCAAGATGGTACTGTTAGGTAGCGCAACTAGCAAGATTGCCATTCGATCATATTATTTCATGTTTTGCCCACTGATAATAAACCTTTTAATGATGGATAGGGCATTTAATAAGAGAATGTCAATTAAAATAAAAGTTACTTCCATGACTAGGGCTTCAAGAGACTATTTTAAATTTACCCCTGAAGCATACTGTTCAACACATAACGCCTTTCAAAGCTAGAATTTTATTTATAATAAAGCATGCATTACTTGATGAAGTTGGCACTTCAAACACTGACTATGTCCCATGCTAAATTCGGAAACTGTAATGTTATTTTAGTTTATAGGAAGAGTAAGATAAACATACGTACCTTTGCACAGATTTACACAGTTACTTAGTTCAACAGTGCAAAACACTTTGCAACTACTTCACTTTTTTTAACTGTTTTTTCATTTTCTATGTTACAACTAAATTACAGGATACCCAAAGTAACTTTAAATCTAAAAGTAAGCCAATCAGCAGCCAAATTATATATTGGTTTTGTCTTCCAGTTTTGGCTACAAGTGTACTGTAACACAAAATCAAAAATGATATCCTTGAGGTATCTCTAGATCTGTTGTTGTTTTTTAACGTCAAAATGGAGAGCAAAGGCTGACATCTGATGAGTATTAGTAAATTAGGATATAGAGTTTATATATAAACATCAAAAATAACATTTATACATTTATTCTTCAGGAGAGGAAATGCTAGGTTTCCCACCAGTTGTCATTAATTCTAGCTTTGGTAGGTTTCCTGGGGCTTTGACCAGATAAGTAAGTTAAATAAATAAGTGCACTCCCCTCAGTAGTAAATTTACCCAATTTTTACATTCTGAATTTTAAAAATTGTTTAAGAGAAAATAAACCTAGCTCTGCCTACTTTACTATTTTTTTTTTATTTTTTCTGATGTGGTGGTAACTTTTTGAGGGATAATGAAATTATGTTCAGCCTCAAAACCCTGAAAATTAATTATAATGCTGCTCAGTCTTGCTTATGCATTTGTTTGCTCTAACATGCTCTTTCCATTAAAAATTGTTAACTTCCTCCATTGCTGTTAAAAAAATTAAAAAGGGATGGAAAAAAGAGAGAGACAAAAAAGATGAAAAAAAAAAAAAAAAGAAAGGAAAAGGCAAAAGCACTTCCCTGGGGGAAAAACTGTCAGATAGACCGATAGTGTTATTGTTGCATGGTTATTTTAATAAAAGTATTCTTATATGTTATATTATTAACAATAATTTAATTAAAAACCCAAAATACTCTATTGTTTCATTTCTCTTTTAATATTTCTCTCTCTCCTCTAAGAAAATGTTGCAGGAAGTTTGGATCCTCTTGGTTTCCAGCAAAACAAGAGAATAAAACTTCCATGCAACCCGATGGCAATACGAAAAAGGAGTTCATATTGTTTGCAGTGACACAAGAATCTACAAAACACCTATATTATAGGTCATTCTTTTCATTATACTATAGTTAAGTTACAGACTGCTACAAAAGGACATGCCAGCGTGAAGAGGTTGAGGAAGGGGTCAGAATGAACAGAAGAGTGCACTTATTCTGAGGCCTGAAAATGAGCACTGCAGTTATCCTTTAGTTCCAGCGGAATGAAATATGCCGAGGGCGGTCACCGCCTTCCTTCACCAGGGGCTTGTGGAATTCCCTGCCAGCACGAGAATGGATAGCAGCCCAGCAATATTCACAGTAATACTGCAGACAGGTAACATTAGCACAGAAAAATGGAGCAAATTTCCCCCCACAACGGGCCCCCTGACATTCATCACACAGCTGATCATCCAAGACATATGGCTTAACTTCCACCTGCAATCAAAAATAAGAGTTTACATTTTTCAGTGACTAGGCCAGCAATGCTTACCATACATGTACATTTCCACCCACTATCTGAATGAATCTGTTCCAAGGTGCCCAAAGAGGAAGGACTAATTATTCATTTACTGAAATATGGATAGTTCATCTTTTAAGAACCTAGTAAGGCTTTTATTATCTATCATTTTACATTTTTTTCTTATTAAATAAACATCCTTTAAAGGAAAAAGGATTTGAGCAGACATCATGAAGTGAAGCCAACTGTTTAGACTAGAATGTTATGAGATTAAACCCACAGGAGATTATTCATAGACATAAACCCTCATTTTAATTAGTGGATCTGGATTTTTGTCATATGTGGAATCATAATTTAAACAAAATCAACTAAGATGATCCAAGTTCCACACAACTGCACTTCAATATTCAAGTTGGTGTGAAGATGCCTGACTACTGCGTCACAAGATTCTGAGCTGTCGTAAAAAGCCTGGCTCGTGGTTTCTATTTATAGTGTACACATGTTGGGTTATAATCACAAACCTGGAACTCTGTTAAAAAAAAAAAAAAAGATGCAGCCATAGGATTCACAGTCTAAAACCCTGCTTTGTTCTTTCTCAGTAAGAATGGTTCACCTGAGTCTAAAAGTCAGAGGTGAATTTCTAAAACTGGGCCTGTTCCAGCGTTCTATCGGCCAACCTGTCATGTGAACCTTTCAAGCATTAACAGTCACCTGGTTATTAATTCATCAGCTAGAAAAGAGCTGGTTATTTTTAGTCTGGAGAGATTCATGGCTGAAACTCCCTTACAGCAGGCTGTCACCAGCACTGGTGCCACCCAGCTCTGACAAGGAATCCTGACCAAGATTAGCCATGAACAAAAGGAGAAGAACATGCAGTGAGTCATGATTGTGATTCTGTGCTCCAGCCTGGGTGACAGAGTGAGACCCTCCCTCTAAAAAAAATTTTTTAACTAAAAAAATAAAAGTACAAAAGGAGAAGAAGAGTGTCACGAAGCCCAGGAAGAGCAGGCATAAGGAGAGCACTGGGCTTCTGGCCTCTAGGCTGCTCCATAATGTCTACAGAGTGACATGAACACTGGGCAAAGGATTTCATTGCAGAGGAACACAAATTCAGTCTGAATTTCTAATGACCAATCCCACAGCTCTGAAACTTATGTTGGAATAAGGCAGTGAGATGTAGGTATTTTTTAGTGTGCATAAAAAACCAAGTAGGCCAGGCATGGTGGGTGGCTCATGCCTGTAATCCCAGCACTTTGAGGGGGTGAGGCAGGTGGATCCCTTGAGGTCAGGAGTTTGAAACTGGCCTGACCAACACGGTGAAACCCTGTCTCCACTAAAAATACAAACATTTGTTGGGCATGGTGGTATATGCCTGTAATTCCACCTACTCGGGAGGCTAAGGCAGGAGAATCACTTGAACCCGGGAGGCAGAGGTTGGAGTGAGCTGAGACTGTACCACTGCACTCCAGCCTGGGTGACGGAGAGAGACTCCATCTCAAACAAACAAAGTAGGCATGTTAACATACTAATCTTGTCCCTCCCCCATGCTTAGAATAGAACAGATACTTTTCTCTTTAATAGATTCACAGTTTGTAGGATGACCACCACTATCTTAAATTTTTTTACTGCCAGTGAAGTAGACTGTACATGACATGAAACATAAAAAGCAAAAACTGCTACTGACTTGATGATTTTTACATCTTGAATTGAGAACAACACGATAAAATCAATCTATTTTAGCACAATGCCTCAGAGTGATGGATATCAAAGTCAGCATGCATGAAAGTGCCAGTGTGCCATGAAATAAAAAGGTGACCCCAAAATATAAATCAATATATTGCTTCCCTCATCAATAAAGGCTTTCTATGAAAAAAAAATCGCCAGCTGGACCAAACATTGTGCCCAGTAATGTGGTTGATTACACATTCTGGTCTAAATTCCTATCTCACTACAAACTAAGTTTACAGACTGGAGGTCAGTCCACAGGCCACACTCTGAGTAGTACTGGCAAGTGATACAGTTCTATCTGCTAGGAAATAAACTCATGAGGACAGGAACTTCTTGCCCTAAGCACTAAAACGTTTGTTGAATACATGAAACACCAAGCTAAGGAATAAATCGGTGAGAGGTGGCGGCTGTGGAAAAAGAAAAAAAAAAAAAAGAAATCTGTGAGTACAATTCATTGAGAAATAGGGCTTGCTGAGGTCTTCCCTATGTCCCAGGATTAAAAAACAAACAAAAAAAAGGGCAGGAAACCTCAAGGGCATTCCTGTTTGTATACTTGATATAACACAGAACAAAGGATTCAGTAAATATTTATTGAATGACTTACAAACTAAGTGAATGAATGGACGGATGGATTGAGATTGAATGGAAGTTAGAGAAGATTAAATTAACTCAAGTAAATTGTAGTGTTCTGATTAGGCTACTCAAAAAACTGAAAGATAAAAGAAATTCATAGGACATTATTTCATGTATTATAGACCATAATTAACTCTATAGGCAAAATTGTCAGCTGTCACTTTATTGTCATAAAATGCTCCCGTTCTAATATTGGTAATCACACATTTAGAGGACCATTTCTAGAATTTTCCAAAATGTAGTATAAGGCTTACCCGTTTATCTATCTCTCCATGCTGCAGCTGAACAAAGCGGGCACTGATAGCAGCTATGTAACTCTGTTGATTAGAGAACGCAACTCTCCCAGCTCCTTTTGGGTATTTTAGCTCAGGGTCGGTATCAATCCCAGCGTAGCACACACCTCCATATAGCCGATCCATTATCATCGCAAGCTCCACTAATTAAGAAAGGAACAAGGAGGATATTTAAAATCAGGAAAATTCATCTGGCTCACCAACCGTTTCATCAAAAGCAATTCATCTGTACTCTGAGCTCACATCATTATAATAATTATTAAAATGAAACATTACTACAACCAGTCATCCATTGTGTTAAGCCTTAATCTTTTAATTGTGGGCAAGGGGTTGCTAGGTGTTTTCTAGTATGTTCTCTTTATTCTTCTCACAACTATATGAAGTAGGTAGTAATTTCCTGAGGAAATTGAGGTGCTGAAAGGGTGATCCATCTGTCCAAGGTCACAGGTCATTAAGTGATAGTACTCCCATGTTTGCCTGCTCTGTGCCATGTTGCTGCCATAGATTTACCAGTTAATAATGTATTGATTAATGTAATAATTACTTGAACACTAGAAAACTAACTGGTAGACTCTTTGTGGGCCCTCCTGGCTTATTTCCATCAAAACTCTTTCCCCACAGTCAGTTCACCAATTTTTCATTTAAAAAAACCTTGAAATAATGACTGCATTTTCTTCTTTATGAAGTGTTAAAATCGTGCAGCTACATTCCTGTTCATGTTATGTCTTTTTATCTCATGTATATTATTAAACCTCAAATTACTTGAAGTTAGGAATTTAATTTGTTCTGTAAGTACTACCCTAAAAATCTGATGCATTGCTGGGAAGTCTATTATATCCCAGAGCTCAGTCAGTCGCTGTTGAGCAAATGAGGATGTGGGAAACAAATACTGACAATCTCAATACAGAATCTATTCTTGAAGGACTTTTTTTCTTTTCAGACAATGATGAGCGTAATAATTAGCATTATGCAACACTAGACTAAGTACTTTGCACTGGTCGTCTAATTCAACCCTCAAAATAACACTAGGAAATACTTTTTCTGGTGTTATTTCATCCTAGGGATGAAACGCTTTTCATCCCTACTTGACAGATGGGGAAACTGGGAATTAGAAAAGTCATGGAATTTGTCCAAGGTCACTTAACTATTAGAACACATGAATTCAAACCCAGATATTTTGATTCTAGAACTCTCACTCTTGGATATTAACTCCAATTCTTAGGAAAAATTTATCCTGAAGATCTTCATATTTCTTGCGCTATAGGGTAGAGAGTTTGTCGTTTGTTTAATCATACCAGCTCGTAATGGTCGAGGAACACCACCAACAAATATAGTTTTTCGTGGGTCAAGTGGCTGTGAACCATCCATCACAAAGTCACTGTCACTGAGATTCCAAGGCCGAATCTGGACCTAGGGAATGTACAAACCAAAATGTCTCATTCTCAATACAGACAATTCATGGGCAAAAAAGTTAACAATTATTACAAAGTATTTTTAAAAGCAATAATCCTATGATTACAAGTCAATAAAGCTGGGAAACTAGAAGATTTAAAAACAGTGTATCCCAACCCATCGTTTCATTTTTAGAAGTAAACTAAACCAAGGTGGAAAGTTCAATTTGATTGTCTATTATAAGCCAAATTACTTAACATGTCCACAATTATTTGTAAGTTAATTCACTGTTTTTCAGCTTATTTGGGCCTTTAGTCTGTCCAATGCCTCAATATCTACATAATTTAAATTTTTAGCATGGTATCCAATGCCAATCAATATACAATACTAAGTAAACAAGAATTGTGTGTCCAATCAGTGTATGTCTAGGAAATGCAAACTACTCCTGATACTATCAAATCTGATGCATTATTTCAAAATGGTTTTCAAAGTAAAAATACTGATGATATTTGCAATAGATTTTTTTTTATGACAAATACTTCAGTGTATCCATTAGATAAGTCAATCAAGAATCATGTACCTCATTTAAAACTGTTCACATTTTCTAACTGTCACAAATGCCCACACCAAAGGCTATGGGTTGACAGCAGTGTATTCCCAAATATGCACACCAACAGAGTCCTAGGTCAGAGGTCCCAAATTCAAATACGGATGGGGATTGGCAGGGAACATAAACAAGTCAAGCAGAAAGAGTCCAGACCACAGGAACTCTTCGAAAGTTTCTGACCTAGACAACCACAAGACTTCAGGAGAAGCTCCACAGATGTTATTTGCTTAAGCTGGGCCCACTGACAACTCCATTCTGCACTATCATCATTCACTGGGTGCTGGCTGAGTGATAATAAACTGCTGCTTTGCCAGAGTCATCAAAACATGCCAGTTGCTCCTCTTCCTAAAGACTAAATTTTATGATAAACTTTTCCAGAAAGAAAAAACAGTATGCAATGTACCTGTACATGTATATACACGATTCAGTCTACTTTGGAGAGTACCATATATAAAGTTAAGGATAATATTGGGTAAAATCTTCATTAAAGTGAGGAAAACGCTAGAAAGACGTACACATAGTATTTGTGATTTGAGTTCCGTTATTCAGAGTTGATTCTGCTATTTTATTAAATGCATTATCAAATGAAGTCTGGTTTTTTATTTTATTTTATTTTATTTTATTTTATTTTGAGACAGAGTCTCACTTTTCACCCAGGCTGGAGTGCAATGGTGCAATCTCTGCTCACTGCAACCTCCGCCTCCTGGGTTCAGGTGATTGTCCTGCCTCAGTCTCCCAAGTAGCTGGGACTACAGATGTGCGCCACCATGCCTGGCTAATTTTTGTATTTTCAGTAAAGACTGGATTTCACCATGTTGGCCAGGCTGGTCTCGAACTCCTGACCTCATGTGATCCACCTGCTTCGGCCTCCCAAAGTGCTGGGATTACAGGTGTGAGCCACCATGCCCAGCCGTGAAATCTTTTAAAAATAAAGATTTACCAATTATATTTCAACTAACCAAAAATTCGATGTCAAATTGAGATGTGCAAATACACAGAATGTCAATGTTAAGAACTTCACAACAAGACTACTTAGTCTGCTTACAAACATGTCAATTAAGTACCCCAAACACATCAAGTTGTCTATGGGTTTTTCAAATATAACAGATGAATGGAGGCAAAAACAAGAAGCTATTTTATGCTAAACCACACTTACTGGCTTATCCTTGATAGTGGGACTTGATACACAAAGGTAGAGTTTTCCATCTTCTTCAATGCATGCATCAATGAGAGCCTGCACAGAGCTTTCATCTTGAAACAGCAGGAATGCATAGCCTGGAAAAAAGGGGGAAAGAAGGCTTACATGTTTTCCTATTTTTTGGTAATTCTTCAGGGGAAAGGAATCATGCACAAAACTAAAGAAAGGAAAAAGGAATAGGAAAAAAATTAAAACAATATTTATACCAAAAGTCTGATGACATCAACATACAGTTCATTTTGGTAGTATCTTGAAGCATCTTTTAGAGTAAAATTAAATTTGAATTAAAAGAATATTATGTTGAAATTTTAAAGAGCATTTGGGAAAATGCAAGTTTAACAATGCAACATTTTACAGTGAAGGTGAACATTTATGAAAAGGCTACACATTAAACAATGTAAGAATAAATTACATAAGTATAATGAATCTTGAGAATTACCTTTAGGAGGAAAATAGGATTTGCTCTCAGCTTTATGAGGCCAATCCACAATCAGAGGGCCAAAGCGACGAAAACTAGCTGTGATCTCATCTAATAAACAACAAAGGAAAACAGTAGATTTAAATATTTTTATGATCATTTTTTGAAAGTTTTTCTTTTAAGTTTCAAATCTACTATTTACAAGAACAGTAAAAAGAACTCCTTTATCCCCTTCATCTAGATTCCCCAACTGTTAATAATTTGCACATCTGCCTTCACCCTCTTTCTTCTCTCTTCCTCTTTCTCCCTCTATCTGTACATATGCACAAATCAATCTAGCCATCCAACCAAGCCAGCCAGCCAGCATCTTTTTCTGAAATGGTGCCCTGTAATCCCAAACATAACTATTGGTATCTGCTCAAAGCAGGGTCACTCCCTTATATATCAATTTTGATATAACACTACTATGCGATTCACAGACTTCATTTAAATTTCAAAATCCTTTCTGATCCACAGTGCTATCCAGAACATAGGTTGCACTTAATTATCATATCCTCAGAGCATCAGTCTTTTTTCAACTTGGAACAGCTCCATGTTCTTTCTTGTCTTTCATATTCATTCTATAGAATGACTGCTACGGTCCAAATGTTTATGTTCCCTCAAAATTCATATGTTGAAACCTATTCCCCAATGTAAGGGTATTTGGAGCTGGGGCCTTTGGTAGGTGATTAGGTCATGGGGGTAGAATCCTTTCAATGGGATTAGTGCCCTTATAAAAGAGGCTCTGGAGAGACCCTTCACTCCTTCTGCCATGTGAGTGTACAATAAGAAGATTATTATCTATTAGGAAGCAGGCCCTCACCAGACACTGAATTTGCTGGCACCTTGATCTTGGAATTCCCAGCCTCCAGAATGGTGAGAAATAAATTTCAGTTGTTTATAAGCCACCAAGTCTGTTATTTTTTTATAGCAACCTGAACAGATTTAAGATAGTGACCCTCAACCTGGGTCTGTGCTCTCCCTCCTATGAGCAGAATCATGTGACGTATTCCAAACTGGAATATCACCATAATGGTGCAATGCCATCCTTTCCTACCATGAGCATGTTAATCTTTTTTCCCCCAAGATAAGGGCTCACTATGTTGCCCAGGCTGTTCTTGAACTTAAGTGATCCTGCTGCCTCAACTTCCCAAGTAGCTGGGATTACAGGTGCATACCACCACACCTGGAGGGCATGTTAATCTTGATCGCCTGGTTTCTCTACCACAAGCAAACCTTTTCTCCTTTTGTATTCAATTAGCGTTCTACAAGAGTATATTGTGTTGCTCACCAATATCCTGTTCCTTCATGAGCCTTGGCATCCATTGAAGACTCCTGCATGTATTAACTACCACAATAATGGTTGCCAAATAATGATTATCTGTTTCCATCATTCCTTCTACATATATTAGTTAGTATTGTGCAGTAGAAGAGTTTTCCATCTGTCCCATTGATTTATTCATTTATTGATATCAGTTTGGGTCTATTTTATTCAATGGGTTGTGATCCAATTCACTCATTTATTTTGATGCTCAATTTGTCCCCAAAATTGTCCCTGATTTGGGACAATTTTTGTCCTGCGTGTCCCTTAGGCGTGGGAGGCTCCCATGTCCTTCGCACTTCTTGCCTCCATTCTTAAGCACTTTCATGCTTTCTGGCCTACGAAGATACTCCGGGCTCGTCTTATTCTTTCCCTGTCCCAGCCCAAGAATCAGTCATTTTTTTTCAAGATGTACTGATCATTTTAGTGGCAAAAGGTATTTAGAAACTAAGTTACAGGTGCTCTATATGCTCACTGCTAGTGAGTATTCATTATTTCTAAGTCTTCACAGTGAAGGAAGCTAGGAAATAAAGAAATACACGCCCAAACACAAATTTATAACTATTTCTGTATCTGTGTATGTACTTACAAAAACTAATGAGTTCATATTGATATTTTCAATATGACTCCAACATTTCATGGGTTTTTCTAGCCTTCCGCCTTTCTATTTTTATATTCTCTTTTTGCAGGGAGAAACCTAGCTCCCAATACCTGTAAAGACATTTATTAATTTGCTCAATGTAACCAATCTTTCCCCTATAGCCTCCTCTACCTTCTACCTTTGTGCCTTGGGTCTTCTCGCCCTTATTTCTTGGATACCATACGTACTGCTGCTCAGGCCTCTGAGCAAGCCCCCTCTACATACATTCATACACATCCCCTCCACTTGAGACCTCTTCCCTGTCACCAATCCACTTCCTTGACAGCAATATCTCAGCCTTAGAGGGAGAGGAAAAAGGGATGAATGGGAAAAAATGATAGACAAGGAAGACCTGACCACATTTTGCAATTTAAATGATACAAATTATGCTACATTATACATTTGGACACTAATGAGATTATGGAAAAATACATTTCAAAGAGACTTCTAGAAAGAGTAGGTAAGCATGTGTAGATAAGACCTGATAATAGGGCAGGGTAAAGGAACAGAAAAGAAAGATGAGGAGTATGCCTAAATTCCAGTCTGGCAGAGCTGTTTTCATCTTCCCCAGACTGTGAAACAGTCTAGTCTGCTCTTCTACGATACCTATTCTCATAGGTATCATAAGGGCTCACTATGTGAGCCCTTATCTTGGGGGGGAAAAAGGTTAACATGCGCATGGTAGGACAGGATGGTATTGCACCATTATGGTGATATTCCAGTTTGGAATACGTAGTGTGAGCAGAGTAAGTTTAGTTTGTGTGAGTCTAGTAAACAGGGAACAATGTCAGTATAACATGGAAGTTGTACTGGTTCATAAATGATTTTTCCTAGGCAAGGTAAGCTAGCATAGTGAGGAAAGAATTACAAACTTCATCAGGAAAGGAAAAAGCCCCCCACTTGTCTGACGTACAGGTACAAACCCTCCCAGCTCTATTGTAAGAAAATTAAAAATAAGTGCAGCAACCAGAATTCTCTTGTCAGAGAGCTATGCCCCTAACCTTGCAGGGCTCTTATCTCCTGACAGTTTAGTTTGCGCTTCCTCAGGTGTTCAAAGGTCTGTTTCCATCTGCATTTTCTCCATGCTTGCAAGCCAGCATTTCTGCTTTATTGGTTTTGTACATTTTCAATATTCCCTGAAGCAGCCCCAAGCATGCTGAGCTACTTGCCTGAATTGTCCAAGTTATCTCCAAGGTACTAATTCTCTTCTTGTTAGTGCTTCAGGTACAAAGTTCATTAGCTTTTAAATGATTTGTCTTTAACCTTATTTTCCCCCATAAACCCTGTAATTTTTAGTGCACAATTCTGCAGAACACAATATTCTTCAAGCTATGCTGAGGGCAGGATGGAGATTGATTCAGAGAACCCTGAAATTTCAGCATAGCTTCCACCAAGACATTTTATTGTGGACAACAAGAAAAAGCAAAAACCTCTATGTTTATTTCAATCTTTGGCTTTTTAGAACCATTTCTGTCTCAACCTTCCAAAAGATAAATCATCTTGAAGAAAATGAAGTGACTTGATAAGTCTGATCCCAATCTAAATGTGAAGATATTAAACCTTATTATTTATTAGATCTTATACATGTGTAAAGAAATCTATTCTATTCTCCATAATGTGATTTAGTGTATTTCCATTTTCACTCAGGAAACGAAGACAAAAGAAATTAGGAAAGCAACCAAAAATATGCTATAAGGTCTGCTACTTTGATTTTTATTGGGGTCACTCAGACCCACGGATGAATAGCATATTCCTGAACAAGTCCCTCTAAGTCTTTGCATGGCTGGCTCCTTATTCAGGTCTCAGCTTAAATATCACTTCCTCAAAGAGGCTTTTCTTATCCACCTAATTAAAAAGAAACTCCCTGCATCACTATTTTACATCATCCTGCTGTGTGCTTTTCAACACTTGCTCTCCAGTATTTTCTTGCATATTTATACATTGTTTATGGGCCTTCCCCCAATAAAATGTAAACTCTATGTAAGCAGGGACCTTCCATCTTGTTTACTACCTTAAGTAAGATTATCCTTCTTGTAGTACAACTGTAGGCTATATTTTTCAAAAGTTCATGCTTAGTCTAAGATTTTAAACAATGAACTATACATTTGTGGAGCACTCATAAAATGTGGGGGGAAAAAGGAAAATACATCAATGAATTTGTCCAAAGTAGCACACACAGACAAAAACGCAGTTAGTACCCATGTATGCCCACAATAATCAAGTCCCTTGGAAGCTTTCCCAGTGATGTTTACTCCTTTTCATATAGTCCAATGCCTTGCTTTAGTTGGTTTGCACAGCTCTGCTCCCCTCCCTTCTATGAATTAATCTTATATGCCATGATAGGAGGATAGGACAAGAGAACAATGCAAGCAGGGCTGACTATTGGAGCCAGATAAGACTGTTATTGTAACACTATCTGTGAGTTTCCTACTATGTGCCACCATCTGGGCACCGTGCTATAAACAGTTCTAAACATACCTTCATCAATGTCTGGAGGCAATCCGCCTACAAACACCTTTCGAGAATATCGTTCCACTCTTTCCCCATTCTGGTGACTGAAGCAGTGAGGTGAACCCAGGCCACTATGAAGAGGCTGATCCCCACGGCCATCATCCAAGAATCCATCTTCCATTGGAAACAGTGAAGACTGACCTGGAATAGAAAGCAGGGAAAAAACGGTAACAGAAAATGTTCCTTGCCACTGATTATCATGCAAAGAAACAAGGAAACAGCAGATTCAATAAAACTGCTGCTTTTATTTTTCTCACTGAATAATAGAAACACTTAGCTATACTCTTGAATTCCCACCAACTTAAAGTCCCAACTGAGTCAGAGAGAAAGCACACAGTTAAATATTAATAGAAGGCGACTCAAGTATCCCACTGGGATCCAGAAACTTCAGTGAGGTGAACTGAAGTACAGGAGGAGAGAGCACACTTTAACAAGCAGTCGGCAGAAGACTGTACTCCCTTGGCAGGGCCCCATGGCTATTGGCAACCTAGACATGTACACTCAATATTAAATTTGGCTGTAAGACATTGAATCACTTACATTTCTTTAAAAAAATCAAACAATATAGCCTGCACAGTTTCCTCTAAGAATGTGCTTAAAATGAACAAGTCAATTTTTTTTTTTTTTTTTTTTGAGACAGTGTCTCGCTCTTTTACCCAGGCTGGAGTACAGTGGCATAATCATAGCTCACTGCAGCCTCAAACTCTTGTGCTCAAGTGACCCTCCCACCTCAGCCTCCCAAGTAGCTGGGGCTACAGACACATGCCATGACATCTGGCTAACGTAACAAGTAGATTTTTAAAGTGACCACTCATTTTTATTTACCTTAACTAATGGGATATAATCAAAACCCACTTAATGTTATATTCCAACTTCATTGTGTAGTCTTATGAAATTTAAGATTATTAGGCATGCTAAAGATATATTTATTATTAGCTGGGTAATTATCAGCTTGCTAAGGGTATTATCTATTTCTAAAAACTAGTCATTAAATTTGCTGTTTGAAAATCTTATCGTCCAGAATATATATGCAGGAAACACCAGAGATGCCAATATGTGTAACAGTCTTTCCATATTTACCTGACAGCAAAATATAAACTTTTAAATCATAAGGAAAACACAGAGCTACAAATAGCTGCACAATCTCCCAAGCACTGTTTTATCACTTTTCTGGCTGCCAATTTACTTCTAGGTACTACATGAGGAATTTGTTAATGGATCTTCTAGAAATGTATCTCAAGTGCTCTTACTTTAATAGAAACATTCCAGGTTTTGCCACACTTGTCTTCAATTTCTATTACTAAACACAAATAATAACAGTATATTTTTTATAAATTTATCCTATAATAGCATATGTCAAGTGAAGACACAAACTGATTATAAAACTGGAGGTTATTTCATGAATGATCTTAAAAAAATCACTTATCCTTTAAATCTAAGCTATTTAACTGTCTTACTTTCTCGTAAAAAGGCAAAATATAGGTGCCAAGAATAAGTTATTCAGGTACCTCTACGAAATGATTCTTTAGAATTACCTAAAATTTCTAGAGCTTTTCCCCCAAATGTTTGAAATTTATAGGATTAGTCATTTATTTAGCTCATCTCATTTTAAACCACATGTATTGTTTACTTAGTAAAAAAGAAAAGAAAAAAGTTGACATAAGGCATTTGAGCATAATTAAACCTCCAAGATAATGAGGTATTTTGGGACTAGTGTCACTATATTTTTCTTTTTAAAGATTCTTAATTTTTTTCTAAGAAATTCCTTTCAGAAAGGAAAAAAAGCACATCTTTAGATATAAATAAGCTGAGTTTCTCATTTAACACAGGGAAATCATTTTGATTCAAATCCAAATCCCACCATTCTGCTAAATTTCTTTATAGCTCCTTAACTCCTTCAAATTATGTCTAAAATGTTAACTGTAACACAAAAATTACCTAAGGATCAAAGCTATGCTTCATTTC